>NC_000018.10:75742950-76044306 GCF_000001405.40 Homo sapiens
AAACTTCAAACACAGAGGTTGTTTGTTTGTTTTTATGATACCTAAGGAAAAAATCTGATCACCATTTAGAATGAGGATCTGAATAACCATGATGTGTTGTATAGCTTCAAAAATAATTTGTTTGTGGCTGTGACAGTTTAAATCAGTAACTTCTTACTTCTTTGTAAGGTAAATAGCTTTTCTGACTTCCAAATTGCAAGGACAACTTCGGGTCAATATCAGGTGTCTGGCTGATATGAAATAAACAAGACTGCCAAAATGGGAGAAGAATGGCATGCACCTGCCCCAGATACTGACACAACCACCTATTTCTGGAAGCTTTTGGACTCCAGGGAGTGCTCAAAGAGTCCAGAGGCTACTTAGTCAACCAGCCAGTTCTGGAGTTCGTTAATTCTGGAATTCATAATTCAGCGCACATACAGCTGGTGTTTGAAGCCAGGAGATCTTTAAACTGTCTCTCTACTAGAACCTTTCAGTCCTAGCTCTTCTTGGGGAGACAGAAACACTTCTTTAAAGCAGAAGGAAAAAGGAGGCCAAGGTTAAACACTGCTCTGGGAAGGTAATGGAAATAAACAAGCGATGAAACAGCTCAACCGAACTTTCTCAGGACTGCACTTCACAGGGGCCCATGCTGCTATTCGGGTGACAGTGCTGAAAATGGCACTTTATTGCGGCTTCTATGGCTTCTTCCTCTCCTTCAGCACAGCATAGAACTAAAGAACAAAACACCGATGAGGACGATGATTACTGAGGAATGCGGTGAAAGTGAGCTACCATTCAGTCTCACTATTTAGAGCAGAAGAATTGCCTTGAAATTACCATCATTTTTAAACTTCACCTTTTCACCAACTTGAAGAGTTATCTGTGCCCACCATTTCTATCAACCTAGCTTAAAATCTGCCTATTCTACAGTATTTTCTAAATTGATGTTTAGTTATTAAACCGCGATTGCCACAGGTCCTCACTGTACTTTTAAAATTTGATCTCCATGGGACTGTAGGAATCTGAAGTTTCCATAAGCACATATTCTCACTCTTTCCTCGTCACAGGAAATATACATTCATTTTAGAGGTGCGGGGGCAATTACAGTAGCCAACGCAGGCCTCCAGCAGCTAATCAAAGTAATAGGCTGAAAGTTCTCAACTTCTCAGGAGACAGCATCATTGCCTCCAGCTGATACAAGCCAAACAGCACGATGGCCTTCAAAATAACGACACCACCAGGCTAAACAAAGTTTTAAACTAACGCATCACTGTATATGAGCATGCTGAACACAGCTTCAGAGAGAGGACAGAAAAAGAGGGAATTTCGTGACATAAAAAGACATCTGTTGCCTCCTGCTTCTTGGAGCCTCGTGTTGCCAGGTTCCTGTAGCTAGCTTTTGGTCCACTCGTATTTCTAGGACAGGCAGAAATCTTCCCAGTGAGCTCTTGGAGTGCAAACCTCAGAACTTCAATAGCCACACTACGAGGTAATAAATACAATACCGATGTGGGTCATTTCTTGAAATATCCATATCCTTCACGTGGTAAAGCACTGAGGCAGCCAGAAGCACATCAAATTGAAGGAGGTGGAAAAACACCTATCTTCAAAAAACAACCGAGAACTAAAGTTATTTCCTAATAGAAGAAAAAGACCAAATGGCTGGGATTCCCTCCGGTTTTATTACGAATGTCCATTTCCGGTTTTTGCTACACTTTATTGCCTCAAAAACTTGAGTGCCTCTGTCTCCAACGGCGCTCATTCTTTCCAGCCATTTCCCGCTGCATTAGTGACAAAAACCCATCAGTGGGGCCTATTCTATTTCAGCTTTATCACATCGCTGTACTCAGGAGGGCTGAACGCAATTTAAAAAATAAAACTGTGATTTCTGTCATCTGAAACCTGCTTGGAAAACTCACATGAAAATATGTCAGGGGGATGATGGAGGTGGAACGAAGAGGGAAAACGCCTCCACTTTAAAAAGTTTCTGCCTATTGCGGTAGAAAATCCACATCGATTGTCAAAGCACCGACCCTGCACAGTTCCCAAGGCTGAACGGCAATTTGGAACTGGCTATTGAACCCGGTGTTTCACTTTAGAGATTCTGGACAGAATATTTTTATTAAGCTATTTTCCAAATGAACGGCTTTCCCGGATTCCAGGAGGCTCTTTCTATTCAGTACCAAGACTTGGGAAGTGCCTGATCCTTCACCTGGCACCTGCTGTGTTGGCATGCTCGGCTCCCCTTTCTGCCTCTGTACAGGGTTTCCCAACCTGCCTCTCCTCTTGCCTTACCTCTCCTGCGAGGCAAGTCCTTAAGGACACTCGTTTTTCTTCCCTGAGCCTTTCTTGGCCTTCATAGCCTCATTGCCTTATTGTCACACTATGGATTGGTTCTCAGCTTGTGTAAGTGACTTACAGAATTACTCACGAAACCACAGAACCGCAGAACATTCGCAGTTGTAATAAAGTAGGAAAACCAGACAAAGGTCCTGAATTCAAGATACAAGGCCATTGGTGTTCCAGCCTCCAGTGTAGGGTCTGCACGCCTATGACCATCTTCTTTAATTTTTCTGAGCTCCAACTTCTTTTTTTTTGTTTGTTTTCTTTTTAATTGGAGCATAGAATTATACTGAATGAGATAACATGTGAATCGGTTGACCTTCAGCTGAAAGGTCATCTCCCCAAAACATGTTTCCATGACTCCTCCAGGTTCACCTTCCTCTCTACGCCTCCCATGTTGGACTCCACTCCATCATGACGTGGTCAGGTTTCGTTGCAGTTTATTCCATATGTGCTTTCCCTATTTGGTAGTCAAGTGTCTCAAAGACAAAGACTTGCCTTATGTACATTTGTAGTTTTCTCCAAGGGAGGAAAATAACAAATAGTAACTACTTGATAACATGGTAGATACTTATATATTTGACAAATGAATCAAAGCACATTGTAGACTGTAAAGTACCCTATGAACATAAGGTGCTACTAAATGCAAATACAAGCCACAGCTCTAAGGCCTCCTAACATGATTTATGTCAACATCTTTATTTCATACAAGAGGGAACAAGGGTACAAAGGATGGAATGACATTATTATATCCCCTGGCTCGTTACCAATACATTTGAAACCATAGCCAAGTCTCTTGACTCTCCATTCAGAGCTCCCTTCACCACCTCCACCTCTTCACCTCGTTATTTGTATGTATTGACTCACTGTGGAGATTATAACATTTTTAAATCTGAAAGTCATGTAATCTACTTCTGATAAACTTATCTCAAAGGATTTCCATAAACGTTTGAAAATAACAATGATGATATTGGTTGTGGTGACGATGTTAGTGATGAAAAATTATTTTAGGTCATAAAATTTTGGGGTTTCCATCGTATTTCCAATATCGACCTAAACTAACATATACATATAAACTATCATAACACATTTATTGGAATTAAAAAATAATGTAATTTATTTCTTTTGGAAAAGTCAGGTAGAATTAGTAAGCAAATTTCAAGCAGGTGCTTTAGTTCTTTGTATGCGGATATGTGTCCTTCCACTTATGAAATCATAGTTGACTGGATAATCTGAAGTCTCTTTCTGTTATAATATAACCATATCCCAGGGTAAATGACCACAAACTTGTTTTTTAATCCTTTGTTGAGCTCAATGGAAAGTAAGGGAAATCTCCAAAAGCAAACAAACACAAACCTCAAACAAACCAGTGAAAAGTGAGAACTGGATAAATATAAAATCAAGGATTACTGTAAAGACAGATGCCTGTAACTGTATCAATTGCTAGGAAACGATTTGCTAAGTCCACAGCAAAATGGTAGGGGTAGTGGTGGGTGAGATAAACCTGGAACCCCCATTTCCTTAATCAGGACCCCCAAAGGGGGTTTAATGTGAACCTCGATTATTAGTGTTGATTGATTTCCAGAAGAAGCAAATGCAAATTTCCAAAGGAAATCAACTCTAATCTAAGCCTCAGGATTTCTGCGACTTACAGGCAATAAAAATATTACTGCAAAATCTGACCAATGTCTTTGTACTTGAAGTGGCTTAAATGTACACAATATAGTTGGGTCTTATTTTGCTTCTAGGCAAATTGATAATCTTTGTCTTTTAAAGCTGGTGTGACTGGACCACTTACATTTTTCAAATTTATTGTTTTAAGACCATTGTAGAATCACATGCATTTATGTAAGAAATATTAATAATATTAATATGTAATATTTAATATTATTAAATATAATAATATTAAATAACAATAGAGAGAGGTCCTTGTACTCTTTACCCAGTTTTCCCCAATAGAAACATCACATAAAATGACAGTGTAACTTCAGAAACAGAGTATTAATATTGACAGTGATACAATCCACTAATCTTATTAAGATTCCTCTAGTTTTAATTGTAGTTGTCTCTCTCTGAATGTTTGCTTCCATACCCTTTTACTAGGTGTAGTTTCTGTATGTACCATCACCACAGTCAAGACACTGACCTTTTCCATATCTGCAAGGATCCCTCATGTTGCACTTTTATAACCATATCCATATTTCTATTTTCTTCCCACTTTATCCCCAACTCCTGGCAACCACTAATCAGTTCTCTACCTCTGGAGTATTATCATTTCAAGAAAATCACATAAATGAAATCGTATAGTATGTAACCTTTGGAGATTGGCTTATTTTCTCACTGAGCATAAATCCTTTAGGATTCATCTAAGTTGCCATGTGTGTCAGTAGCCTGGTCCATCTCACTTCTGCATGGCTCTCCATAGTATGCACATACCCAAGGTCTACCCATTCACCCATTGAGGGACATCTGGATTGTTGCCAGTTTTGAGCTAGTACTAAAGCTGCAATGAACATTTATGTATGGGTTTTTTTGTGAACATAAGTTTTTATTTTTCTGTAAGAAATGAACTTTCATGTATGGGTTTTTGTGTGAACATAAGTTTTTATTTTTCTGTAAGAAATGCAGCAGAGTGCAATTTCTGAGTTGTGTGTTAATGTCCTGTTTTATGAGAAACTGCTGAACTATTTTTTACAGTGACTGTATCGCTTTACATACCCACCCGCTATGCCGTTTTTCTGCATCCTTGCCAACATTTGTTAATGTCACTATTATTGTATCCATTTTGATAGGTGTGCAGTGATATCCACTGCAATTTTAATTTGCATTTCTCTAATGGCTAATGATAAATGTCTTTTTATGTGCTTATTTGCCATCTGTGTACCCTCTTCAATAAATGTCTCTTCACATGTTTTGCCCATTTTCTAACTAGATTATTTGTGGGGGTTTTGGACTGTTGAGTTTTGAGACTTCTTTATAGATTCTACATACAGATCCTTTGAGGGATATATTGTTTTCTACCAATCTGTAGTTTGTTGTTTCATTCTCTTAAAGACTTCTATTTGATTTGGAAGAAGAAGGTTCCTCTCTGAGTGGCCTTCTATTGCTAAGCTGAGGTTGGGAAATACTGGGCTTGGGTCGCGTCTTCTTTTGGATGGGAAGGTTCTAAGACGCCCTGATCCTACATTGCTCCTCCAGTCCCTGGGTCCCTAACCAAACTGCCTGTTGCATTTCACCTTTAAGTGTTCTCCTTTGGTTGTCTCTTGCATTGTTTCCAGAGTATATATGATTTTTAGCTCAGACATGTAGAAAGGGACAAGTCTATGCCATTTTTTTCTGGAGCAAAGTAGATAATTCACATTTAACATGATTGATGAGAGTAAAAGCTAACACCCTCTTGCCAGTTGCTTTCTAATTGTTTGATCATTCTTTGTTTCCTTATTTTTAATTTGTGTTCATTCTTTGGGTTAAACAGTTTTTAGGATTTTTTTCCATCTTCTATCTTGACTTATTTTCATTTAGGAGATATACCTAATGTAAATGACGAGTTAATGGGTGCAGCACACCAACATGGCACATGTATACATATGTAACAAACCTGCACGTTGTGCACATGTACCCTAGAACTTAA
The DNA here is from genome assembly GCF_000001405.40 of Homo sapiens. NCBI lineage: Eukaryota > Metazoa > Chordata > Mammalia > Primates > Hominidae > Homo > Homo sapiens. The sequence goes on from NC_000018.10 coordinate 75,748,907, forward strand.
AGTATAATTTTTAAAAAGTAGGCAATAATTAATTAGAGTCTACTTTCAAGTAATATTAAACCACTTTCCAACTTTACAGCAGTATATTTCCCGTGCTTTCCCACCATATTTGTGCTGTTACTGTCACATTTTACCCTTACGTTAGCTGTAAACATACTGTATTACAAGTGGAGTGTTCTTACTTTGAAATGCATGTGGCCATAATAATTTTGGATTTGGGATTTTTTCAAATTTTGGAATATTTGCATTATGTTTACCAGGTTAGCATCCTTCATCTGAATATCTGAAATCCAAAATACTCCAATGAGCACTTTATTTGAGAGTCATGTTGGTACTCAAAAAGCTTCACATTTTGGAGCATTTGGCTTTTAAGTTTTCTAATTAGGGATGCTCAACCTGTACTGTGATTTTTGCTTTACATAGTAATCATCTTGTATAGTAATTAATGATAAGTAAAAAGAAATTTGTGTGCACCCTTTGTTTACTCCATTCCCAGTACTGTTCTTTTTTTTTGCCCTAATTTTTAGTCTGAAATCATAGTTCCTCGACTTTAAGAACTTTCTTTGATGTCTTTTGTTGAGATTGTCTGCTAGCAATGAATTTCTTGAATTTTACTTTTTTGGGAGAATTATTTATTTTTGAAAGATAATTTCACTGGAAATAGGATTTTTATTTTATTTTTATTTTGTCTCCTTTCTGCACTCTAAAAGTGTCCACTCATTGTCTTCTATCTAGCACAGTTCCTGATGAGGAGTGAGCTGCTTTTAGCTTTGTTTCTCAGTGTGTGATGTTTCCTTATACTCTGGTTGCTTTCAAGATTTCCTTGTTTGATTTTACTTTAAACAATTTGAGTATAATATACTTAGATAATATTCGTCTGTGTGTATGTGCGTGTGCATGCCAGGGGACATATGTGTTTCATTTTGTTTTGCTGTGACCTCTTGGGGGAATTTATTCTGCTTGGTGTTATCTAAACTTCTGGATCTATGGCTCAGTGTCTGTGTCAATTCTAGAAAATTCTTGGCCGTTTTTTCTTCAAATATTTATCTTGCCCTGTTCTCTCTCTTTTTCTTCTAGGATGCCAATTACCAATATTTCAGGTTATTTGCTGTTGTCCCCTGGATATTTTGTATTGACCTAACTTAAAGTTCACTGACTTTTACCTTGGCAGTGTCGATTTATTTATTTCTGTTCTTATCTTTATTTCCCTACGAAAGGATTAGTTTGCTCTTTTTTGACTTTTTTAACGTGGAAACTTACATAATTGACTTGAGATGTTACTTCTTTTAAAATGTAAGCACTGAATACCACAGATTTTCCTCAGAGCACCATTCTCACTGCATCCACATATTTGGAACACTGACTTTTATTCAATTTATTTAAAGTATTTGATAGTTTACTTTATGATTTCTTCTTTGGACCATAATGTATCCTGACATGTATTATTTAATTTGCAAACACTTAGGGATTTTTTCACATATCTTTTTGTTATTGATTTCTGGTTCAACTCAATTGTGATCAGAAAATATGCTTTGCATAATTTCAATCATACAAAACTTACTTAGTCTCGTTTTTATTTCCAATATTAGTCATTTGTAATTGTGGAGAATTCAATCTTGCCTATAGTTCCCAGTGTTCTTGAAAAAGTGCTAGCCCCCTGACACTCTTTACATCTCACGAAAACCTAATCTGAAGTCATTTTCTAGTTAATTGCTCTGATTCAAAAAGGTAATCAGACTTCTCTAGTGTCTTCAAGTGGCCAACACTGCCTGAAGGTCACCAGAGATAAATAAAGTGTAGGACATTGGAGACATCTCTGGATCATACAACCCAAGACACACATGTCTGCTGCTTCGTGGGGAGATTTTTTTTTTTTTTTACACACCGAAGCACAGCAGTGAACAGGAGACCTCTCAGAAAGGATGGGCCAGTTACTTGCTTTCCTCTCACAAGCAGAAATAGTCCTGTATTCTTGTTCTTCACTGTACTAGGTTACTAGGGCTATCGTAACCAATTACCACAAAGTTGGTGGCTGAAAACAACAGAAGTCTATTCTCTCGTCGTTCTGCAGAGAAGAGGTCTGAAATCAAGGTGTTGGCAGGGTTGTGGTCCATTCGCATTGTGGCTTCCGTATTGCTGGAAATCCCTGGTTACAGGCACATCAATCCTGTCTCTGCCTTCATTACTCCCGTCTCTGCCTCTGTCACTCTGTCTCTGCCTCTATCACTCCCATCTCTGCCTCTGTCACTCCCATCTCTGCCTCCGTCACTCCTGTCTCTGCCTCCGTCACTCCATCTATGCCTCTGTCACTCCATCTCTGCCTCTGTCACTCCCGTCTCTGCCTCCGTCACTCCGGTCTCTGCTTCCATCACTCCATCTCTGCCTCTGTCACTCCGTCTCTGCCTCCATCATTACGTGGCACTCCCCTTTCTCCCTCTGCTTGTGTGTCTTCACCTCTACTTATAAGTGCACCACTCATACTGGATTAAAGCCCATCCTAATAACCTCATCTCAACTTGTTTATTTCTGCAAGGTCAAATTTCCAAATAAGCTCTCATTAACAGGTATGAGACACTAGGACTTTGACATATCTTTTGGGATACAAAATTTTATCCATAAGAGAGATGTCCCATAATATTTAAGTTTAACCTGTCCAAATTAAAATTCTGATCTTCCCAACTGGAAATATCCTCTGGTGATATTCTTCTCATCTGATGTCAAAGTTGCCCATCACAAATCTTGGAGTCGGCCAGGTGTGGTGGCTCATGCCTGTAATCCAAGTACTTTGGGAAGCTGAGGTGGGTGGATCACTTGAGGTCACGAGTTTGAGATCAGCCTGGCCAACATGGCGAAACCCCATCTCTACCAAAAACACAAAAACTAGCCAGGCCTGGTGGCATGTGCCTGTAATCCCAGCTACTTGGGAGGTTGAGGCAGGAGGATCCCTTGAACCTGGGAGGCAGAGGTTGCACCACTGCACCACAGCCTGGGCAACAGAGTAAAAATTCATCTCAAAAAAAAAAAACAAACAAACCACCACCACAACAAAACAAAACAAAACAAAACAAACACACAACAACAAAAAAAACTTGGAGTCCTTTGTCATTTCTGACTAATTTTTCTTACATCTAATCTCTAAAGAAATCTTGCTTATATGTACATATATATAAGCACTTATTCACCTCTTATCACCACTTCCATTGTTCCTCCCTTCGTTTCAAGCATCATATTTATAATTGTTTTCTAATATTCCATTGTGCCCCTCTACTATAACTTATAGAACTAGTATTTTAATGGATAATTTTACTCCCACTTTTTTGCTATTAAAAACAGCACTGCAATCACCATTCCTATGTAAACATGTTTCTAGACTTAAGCAATTATTGCTTCCAAGTAAAGTCCTAGAAGTTGCAGAATCAAAGGTAAGCACATTTTACATTTTGTTACATCTCACTCTATTGCCTTTTGAAAGGTGGTATAAACTGGTCCCCTTTAAATAATCAGTAGCTAACAGCAAAGATAAACTTTTCTGCTTTCTGATATGAATCTTGACTTTTGAGAAAAATTAAGCCATTTTCTTCTTAGATTTACTTACTAATATTTTTTGTGTGCCCACAAGGCACTGTTTAGACACAAGTCCTGCTCTCATGGAGCTAAAATTTCAGTTGAGAAGACAGACAGACAGACAGACTACAAATTATGACCATAGTAAACAAATAGGCTTATATAGTGTTTTAATTAGAAGGTGACTTTCACGTGGAAATGAGCAGCAGGTCAGGGAGCCAGAAGTGTAGTGAGGCAAGAGTTTCCCTTCTGGATGAGAAGATCAAGGACTCACTGCGAAGTTGATGACAGAGCAGAGGCTGGAGGAGGAGGGCTTCACTCTGCAGCCCTCTGTGACGGGGGCATTCCAGGTGGAGGAAACACCAGGGCAAGCCTCAAGGAAGAAGCATCCTTGGTGTCACATGATCCTTAGGGTGTCGCCTTCCCAGCCGGAAGTGCCTGTGGCTAGTGGTGCCTTTGTGCAAGTTTGGCTTGGGCTGCAGAGCTCGTTCCGCCCACTCGGCCTAGCAGGCTGTGCTTGGCTCTTGCTACCAGTCTGGGTCCCGTGCCTGCCAAGGGTGAGCCAGGTGTGGAGCAGCAAGGGGTGCATGAATGAGCAAGTGCAGGGTCTGGCTACTGCACACAGCCAGGCACTCCAGCTGCTGCGGGGCAGGCAGCTCCAGGTGCCAGCACAGGTGCTGGCTCCCTGCAAGGCTGTGGCCAGACCAGGCATACTGCAAGCGGTTTCCACTCTGAGGACTGGGAACGGAAACACAATGGAGCCTGGAAGCTTGGAGATGCCAGGAACCACAGAGCCCCAAAGAAGGTGTCACAGCCCTGGCTCAGGGAGCTCCTAGATCAGGGTTCCCTGAAGGGCCACAACTCTTCTCTCCTTCTCTCTTCTCTCCTTCTCTCTTCTCTCCTTCTCGTTGCCCATAACATGGTGAGTGGGGGGCATGTTTCAGCCCTGTTTGTGTAATAGCTCTTTCAGTCCCACCATTTGGTGGGTCCCAAGTTCTTGTCCCATGTCCAGAAAGAATGAGGTACACAGACAACTGAAGTGTGAGCAAGGCAAAGAGGTGCTTTATTGAGTGATAGCACAGGTCTCAGGAGACCTAAAGTGGGTAGCACCTTTCTGCAGGCAGGTCATCCTGACAAGTGTGCAGCCCTCAGCAGAGAGGAGACCCGGAGTGGATAGCTCCTATCTGCAGGCAGGTTGACCTGTTCTCTCTGTGGGTCTGACTGAGTCAGGGGTTTTTATAGGCTTCAGAAGGGAGGGAGTGCATGCTAACTGATCAGTGGGCAGCCATGGGTGAGCCCGGGAAAAGCACCGTAAGTTCTCACTCTGGGTTGCAGATTCCACCTAGAACTGACAGCCTGGCCCTCAGGCTTCAGGCCATCCTTGGCTTGAAGGTGGGCCTTCACCAGGGACCTGTCCCTTGCCACCATCTATATGTCATCCATGGCTCCCAGGCTGTTTGTGCTGAGGGGCACCTGCAGGCCCGTGCTGAGTTACCCTCAGCCACTACTTGGCCTCCCTCCTGTGCTGGTGGGCACCCAAGGTCTGGAGGGGGCCAAGGCAGCAGGGGACTGGTGTGTCAGTGCCACCAGGAGTTCAGGCATACCTGGAAGAGTGGCAACAGCACCCAGGCTCAGCCACAACTTTGCTCCAAAATCAGAGCAGGTGCCAGGAGTGGGAAGAGGCCAGGCAGAGGGAGCAGACACCTCTGAGCCTGTGAGGGGAAGGGAGCTTCCCAGGCCCACAAGAGCACAGGGATGCCTAGGTCTGCAGCTATGGCTGGGTGACTGCAGCTGCACCCAGGAGGGCAAGCAGGAGCCCCACCAACTTGGATGGGGGAGGGGCTTTCACCTGTTCCCAGCTCCCATCGACTGGTGGAGTGTGCAGCCCCAGCTGTGCCTCCCCTGCTGCAGCTGGCATCATGGTAGCAGCCACTCCAGATGGGCCACTGCTGCCATCCCTAGCATGATCAACAAAGAGCCAGGGACCAGTGAGGCTGGAGCTGAGGGGTGAGGGAGGAGCAGAAGGAAGTGAAGGAAGAAAGGTTGCTGCCTTCTGTGGTCAGTTCTTGGAGGCTTGGCAAGCGGTAAGGGAGCTTGGCTTTTCCTCTTAGTGACACAGGGGCCACTGGAGGGTGAGGAGCAGAGGAGTCATAGAGGAGTCACGTGACCTGGTCCACCTTCAGAACTGTGCATGGAACAGGATGCAGGAAGCAAAGATGGGGGCAGTTTCCAATTATATGGCCCTCGTTTCTTCTGAAGTCCTCACCAGAAGTGCTTCTAACAGCAAATTTCTACCAACTGCCTTTTCAAGGCAATCTGGACTTTTGCTATATGCTCCTCAAAAAATTTCTTCCAACCTCTACCCATTGTCCAACTCCATGGCCATTTCGGTATTGCTATGTGTTTGTGACAGCACCACTCCACTGTCAGTACCAAAATGTGCATTTGTTAGAGCTCTACTAGAGAAATAGAACAAGTGTGTTTGTGTGTGTGTGTACAGAAAAGTGCAAGCAAACCACAATCCTAAATTCCCTGTATGAGTTCTACAATTTGTTAAATAAAATTATTTTCAAAATCATGAATTATATCTTCTACTGTTTATAAAATAATGCATTAATAGAAAGAGAGATTGCAAGAAATCGGCTTAAGCAATTTTGGGTACTGGCTCACCACATCTGAAATCTCTGGAGGAGACCAGCAGGCTGGAAACTCTCAAGCAGAGCTGATGCTAAGTCCACAGGCAGAATTTCTTCTTCCTTAGGGAAACCTCAGTTTTGCCCCTAAGACCTTTCAACTGATCAGATGGGGCTCACCCAGATTATAGAAGATGATCTTCTTCACCTAAAGTCAACTGCTTGTAGATATCTTCACATCTACAAAATACCCTCCCAGCAACACCTATATTAGTGTTTAATTGAACAATATTATAGCCTGACCACGTCAACATGTAAAACTGTCATACTCAACTGTGGGTGTCCAGTCATTTGTGGAGGAAGAATGCCGTGTCATATCTCTTCAGAGGTAAATGCTAGAGGCAAAAAAGGGATGGATACACTTATTATTTACTGTAAGGCATTTAATCAGAAATCTGTCTCTGATCCAGAATGCCTCATGTGTGAATTCAGCACAAAATTAATAAAGATGAACATTAAAAACCAGCGGTCATCAAACAATAAAATAATCAATTTTAAGGAAAATATTTACTGGTTTAATTAAATGTTACAGTTTTTGAGAACATCTTCCAAAACATGCACCAAAAATTTATTGCTATAACTCATCTGAAAGTCTCAACATCTGTTGAGTGTGGATAAAATGTGTCTGTACTCAGTGGACTGTTAATATAAAATTATACTGTATCCTGTTTACTATTCGGTGAGGAAAACAGTTAAAACTGACCTTAGTGTATATACGTTGGCTCCTTCCTCCATGTCTTTCCTTTTATCGACTTATTTTTGGGTTCTTTTTTATTGAGTTCATATTTTTATTAAATTCTTAAGCACATAAAGGTATTTGTTGATGTTTCTTGAAAAGGTTCTCCGCCCCCCACAACTGTGTTCTTCTCCTGGTTTTACATGATGTTTTTAAAAAATTCAATAACTAATTAATTTTTGCCATTAATATATGATTTATTGTATTTTATTTTGGTCTTGGGAATATAGTGGTGCAGATATCAGACAGAATCCTGGCACCTGTGGAATATAAGCCCTATACCTAGAGGCAGAAAAAGTCAACTCAACAATGAATCCCATGTAATAGCTTGTAAAGAAGCCTCTCTCGCCCAACCTGGAGCATCTTCTCAGCCCCAAGAAGTGAACTTCAAGCCCCTTGCATTGGAAGATGGGCAGTTGTTATTGCCTTCCTGGTTGTGCCCACAGTTGCAGGTCCAGACTTTTCTCCTGTAGGGTGTTCTCTTTCTCTTTTTATCCAGAGACACCTTCTCCAAACTATGATACTGTGAGAATTCTAGGGATTTTATCTATTCATATTCTGAGCACAGCTTTTAGGAGCCAGGGGTAGAACTGAAATGTTCACACTGATGGTTCAGAATCTTTAATTTCTTATCCACCACAATCCCATCTACTTGAATGGTGGTTGCTGGCACATTTTAGCTAGTTTTAGGTTGTATATACCAATTTGCATCCTCATATTTAACTTGTACATCTGAACTTTGCTCCTTTGCCATCATTTCCCTTAGACGTTGCCTAGGTAACATTCTGTGGCCAGGCCCCATTCTGCCCTCTTCACCTAAAAATCAGGTACTTAACTTAATACAGCTACCTTAATATCTCCTGGAACAAAATTCTTGGTATTATTTAACAAGTGATCTTTTCTGTCTTCTTATAGGGTCCATAAGCATTCCAATAGATGATCCTATCTGTCAGCTTCACACAACCATATCTGTAGGCTCTAGATGGGTATCTGAAATCAATAGGAATGGAATCATGGTAATTAAATTATAGCACTTACATATAATTACACTTATGTAAAAAATGCCCACCCCTACTCAGAGCTACTCCTGAATATGACGGATATAAATCTTCATAAATGATCAGTTCTCCTTGGGGGTGGGGAGGGGAAAGAGCGTTAATCTTTAAAATTATGCCGGGAAAAATTAGGATACTGGAACGATTTCACTTCAGAGAAATCATTTGATTCAAACTCCAACTTTAAACAGGCACTTTTCAATAATTTTTATCTTTGAAATTTAATTTTAATGAAAAACTCTCTGTAAATCTTTACCTTGAAGGAAGCTAATCTCTGAGGGAGCATTTCTTGAGAGTGGAGTTAAGCGGGCCTTAAAGTCAGGGCTCTTTGACTCACACCTTCATGTTATCAGGAACATACGTGAGGCTTGGCATCTAGTGAGTGTTTAATCAATGAACTGATGCCTGCTTGAATAAACTGATTGATTCATTAAGATGACATCACAAAAGAGGTCTCCTCTCCCAAGCATTCAGTAACACAACCTAACGACTACTTTGTGTTAGATGAGATTGATTTGCAGATTGGGCGTGTACTACCTAAGGTCATCAGAAGGAACGGGCTTGTGAGAGTTTGCAAGAAGGCTGGCCTCAGGGTCTGCTTGGAGAGTTGGGTGACAGGGAGTCGTAGATGGCATAGCTGGACCTCAGGGTAGGTGAGCTTCTCAGGACAGAGAGGAACTCAGGGCATCATGTGGTGAGAAGTAGACTGAGTATAAAAAGTTCTATAACTTCACAGAGGTTTAACCTGTTTTTTGATGATTATTAAGCAGTAATGATATCAGGGGGATTCCTTGAAGAGATAGGAGGAAGTTTTCAAGGTGTAGGGGGCTTTGAGGGGGAAGGAGGATGGAACTGGATTTCCAAAGCCACGAGGTGGGAAGTGCTTATTATTTGCTCTCTCTGAAGAGGCGGGAATGAGCTTCACCATTATGTCCTTGAGCTATAAAGGAAAACCCTCCAAAAATTTGCCTTAATTTAGTGGCAATTCACTTGTCTTAGTTCATAATATATTCACTCAAGTGAGTGCAGATTGAAGCCACATTAATAGAATTATAGTGAAGACTGCAAGCACAGCCACTGTTTGTCCAGTGCACTCATACAGTGCAGCCCACATCTGGAGGGTGCAGCGTAGCCTGGGTCCCTGTGGAAGGCGTCCTTGTCTGCATGATGAGTCACTACTTCTGCGAGGGTGAGGAGAAGGAAACCACTTCTTAGGGGACTGATGGAAGGAACAGATGGGAAAATTTGCTTAGCGCCCTCTGCTCAGTGGTGGCGCATGACACATCTTTCCAAATAGTTGGTGTCCTGTTCATAGGAAAAGTTAAGATATTTAATTTGTGTTGCTTCAAACTGATGAGCCGAGAGCAAGTTTTGGTGCGGCAGCTTTCTGCTCATTATAAGGATGTTCTTGAGGTGAGTTAGAGCTGTCTCATGGAGAGGCTACCTTGACAGCTACAAGCTGCCTGTTACTGCAAGTGTGCAGAGGGAAGGATGGGGACTATTTCTGCAGAAACTGTGGAGATCTCCGCATCGGGTGCAGCTTGGTCTAAATGAGAGTAATATATCTCTAACTCCGACTCTGGATGATTTTGTATACTTCCTCCTTACTTTTCTCTTTCCATGCAAGTTTTTAAAAATTTAACTTATTTCCTTTTATGCTTGAGTTTACTCCTCTTGCTCTTCCTGTTCTTTGACTTGCTGCTCAAAACTAATGACCTCTTTTTCTTTTCAATTGTTCACATGCAAACCATATTCCACTTCAATGAGCTTCAGCGAATTTGTTCAATCAAATATTGGTGCAAATATTTGATCATTGACCATTAACTAGGGGAAAAAAATTGTTTTGCAGGTTACAGCTTTCAGCAAGATACTGAGTGTTGTATTAGGAATGAACTATTTTGCTGAATATGGTGGATATAGAGTTTTTGGGTTTTGTGGTTCCTCTTGTAACTTCTTCAAGCTGCTCCAGTCAGTAAGGAAATAAGCACAAGCTTGACAGGGCAGCCTGTCTCACACTGATGAGAAATAGTAGTATTTGTCTTCCAAGCACAATACAAACCAGTTTTGATGATCCAGGCCAATTTCTGCAGAGCACTTCCAGCTGATACTTCTTCCACTCCATTCATTTGGTTGTGCTATGACTTTGATCACTTCTCTTTGCAAATCACTACCCTCAAATTAGTAGCCATAGACATTTCATTCTGTTAAATTTTCTTCTCTTAATTCAAAATTTTTATTCAAGTATATATCCTCACCTGTTCAAGTCATTTTCATTCATTTGTTAATTCATATTATTAAAAATTTAGTTATTGAATGCAGGCTTCAGGCCAGCACATGGTGGACACCTGGCCAAAGAAGACTGGACCCTTGCGTTTGCCGAGCTCCCTGGCTCATGGAAGACACAAACTAACAAAATATTTGGCCAGCAGCAAATAGACATTGGGTGTAGTGAATAAAGTGTTCACTGAATAGTATCAGCATTGATGATTTTGGTTCCATGGGGAAGGCAATTCTAATGAGCAAGCTTAATTGTCACTACACACTGTTAATTCCATGATTGAAGTAAGAATGCCATGAAGAAGGAAACCAGAAGAACGAATGCAGGTTGACTGTGGAAAAGGAGCTCTGCCTGGGACCCATGCAGCTCTGACTATGCTGCTTGGCAGGGTTTGAGCTCGGCTCACAGTCCCAAGAGATATTATCATGGAGTGGCTATTAAGTTGTAGCACAGATTCTTACCATCACTTAAACAATTCTGTTACTATAACTGACTTTATTAAACCCAGGTTAATTCAGGGGGCTGGTGGGCAGGTGTGTATTTTCCTGTTTATATCACCTGAGCTCATTCTTCTATGCAACTTTGTTCATATGTCACAGAGGACACAGGTGCATCTCCTTATTTATTTACTTATATTTTTCTAAAACAAATTTTATCTTGTACAGTAGATGTAAGGTAATAAAACATGATGTTAGCTGGGTGCAGCAGCTGACACTTCCCAAATCCCAGCAATTTGGGAGGCTGAGGTGGAGAATGGCTTGAGCCCAGGAGTCTGAATTTCAGACTAGCCTGGGAAACTTGGCAAAACCCTGTCTACCAAAATAAGAAAAAAGAAGAAAAATTAGTCGGGAGTGGTGGTGCATACCTGTAGTCTCAGCTACTTGGAAGGCTGAGGTAGGAGGATCACTTGAGTCTGGGAGGTTGAGGCTGCAGTGAGCCAAGATCCTGCCACTGCACTCCAGCCTGGGTGGCAGAGGGAGAACCTGTCTCAAAATAAATAAATAAGTAATAAATAAACAAATAAATAAAACATGACGATATGGAATACCTATAAATAGTAAAAGGGTTACTGTAGTGAAACAAATGAACATATTCACTATTTCACAATTACTCATTGTTTCAGTGTTTTTGTAGTGAGGGCAGCTACCACTTACTGATTTAGCATGAAGCCCATACACAGCACCACTGTTTTATCTGCAGTCCTCCTGCTGTACATTACATCTCTAGACTGGCTCATCCTACACATCTGCTATTTTGCCACCTCTGACCTACATCTCCCCATTCCATCTCCCCATCCCACTGCCACCTCTGGTAACCACTCTTTTGTTCTCTGTCTCTGTATGTTTGAATTTTTTAGATTCCATATGTAAGTGGAGATCTTACAACATTTTTCTTTCTGTGTTTGACTCATTTCATTTAGCATAATGTCCTCCAGGCTTATTGTGGCAAATGGCAAGAACTCATTCCTTTTTTAGGGCTGAATATTATTCCATTGTATCACAGTTTGTTTAACCATTCATCCATCATTGGACAGTTTGGTCATTTCTATATCTTGGCTACTGTGAATAATGCTGTCATAAATATGGGAACTATCTTTAAAATATATATACTTAAAAGTGGTGATTTCATTTTTTTGGGGCATATACCCAGAAGAAGGATTGCTGGGTCATATGGCAATTCTCTTTTTAATTTATTTAGGAACTTTTACACTGTTTTCCATAATGGCTGTACCAATCTACATTCCCAAGAAAAAGATACAAGAGTTTTCTTTTCTCCACACCCCTGCCAACATGTGTTATCTTTTGACTTTTTGAGAATAGCCATCCTGATGGGTATGAGGTGGTATCTCACAGTGTTTAGATTTGCATTTCCCTGATGATGAATGATGTTCAGCACCTTTTCATATACTTATTGGCCATTTTTGTATCTTCTTTGGAGACATGTCTATTCGGGTCTTTTTCATCTTTGTTTACATCATCTCACAGAAGACATACAGGCAATTTCTTCATCAAGAAAGTAATATAGGGCACATTTTATTGTGTATCTACTTTTTCAGAAGGGATATAGACTGATAAATAAGTTGATTCTAGATTTCAATAGGTTTTTATTCTTCCTTTTCAATGTGACATTTAAAGTTTGTATTTTCACTTATTTTCTTTTTTTTTCTGAGACGGAGTCTTGCTCTGTTGCCCAGGCTGGAGTGCAGTGGTGCAATCTCGGCTCACTGCAAGCTCCGCCTCCCAGGTTCATGCCATTCTCCTGCCTCTGCCTCCCAAGTAGCTGGGACTACAGGTGCCCGCCACCGCGCCCAGCTAATTTTTTGTATTTTTAGTAGAGATGGGGTTTCAGTGTGTTAGCCAAGATGGTCTCGATCTCCTGACCTCTTGATCCACCCACCTCGGCCTCCCAAAGTGCAGAGATTACAGGCATGAGCCACCGCACCTGGCCTATTTTCACTTATTTTCATGAAAATTCACTCATTGGCTTAGCAAATACTTGCTTATTACATTGCAATTTATCTTTCTTGCTTCTCATACTAGTCACTAATCAAAAGTCTATTTATGTGGGCTCCAAATAATGAATGATATGCATTGCCTAAAATAAAAATGTTTCTTCCACTTTTGGCCACATAGAATATGAAATGTCTGGGAGGCAAAAGGGGGCTAGCTAGCAACCTGAAATGACAAACTGTGCCTGGTGATAGGCCACCTGCCTCTATCAACTAGACCAGTGCAAAATGGAAGATGTATATCTACTAACCCCTTTAAAATGCCATCATCCAAGTAGCCCAAGTTATGATTTTGCCTCCAGATATATACAGAACTATTCTCCATTTCCTTCCAGGAGTTACAAAAACATGTATTTCTCTTGAAATTGGAGAATCTGTGCTTAAATACGAGTTCTCTCAAATACTCAATTTGAGGTCTTAAGTTCACTAGCTGTAATATAGAAATAATTCTTGTCCTATCTACAGTGTGTCAATTACAAGAAAAAAAATAAGTACAAAAATGCTTTAAAATTATAAACTTTTAAATTAGCAAATTAGTAAAATATATACATAAAGTGTTATACAAATACAAAGTATTATCACTGAAGTTATCATCATAATTAACAACATAATCAAAAACTTTTTTTGGTCAGTATTTCTTTAACATGGAAAATTCAGCTGATTATAAATTACTAATTTATATGTGACACATCCTAGAAAAGAGTGTACCTACTTAAAAATCTTAATAATAAATAATCATGAAGATACTGTGTTTAGTATAGCAATTTTCTTTTCACAGTTAGAAATGTGATCCAGATAATGTCTATGTCTATATGATGCCAAAAACTTTGCAACTTTCTGTTATTTAAATATTTGCCATTATGTAAATAAAACATAACATCTTCACTTTCCATTGATGAAGATGCATTTTACTGTACATTTTAGCTATTTAAAGAAATACAATGTATCATTCGTTGCTTTGTAATCATTCTTGATGTTTGGCAAAAAGATGTATAAAACAACAGAATCACTACTTCGTTGGAATTTCACGTTTTGAGAAGCTATTGGTGTAGTAAAAGAAAGGAAGATTATGAGTGGTGGGGCTGATAATAAATATTAAACTTTCCACATTGGCAGATCTGTATCATGTGTGTCCATTTGAAACCTCTATTTCTAGATCCAGGAAACATGTCATGATCTGGTACCACTCTTCCCAAGAACAAAGGACAAGAAATATCACGTGATTAATTGCAACATAAGCTGGTCCATCACCTTATAATATGGGTTGAAAGACCTTGAACTAGTCCTGTGAAAAGCCATATTCACCTATTGATTATTCCTAACTCTAAAGAGTCCTGCTATCACATGTTGATAATTTTACCATGAGGGTATCTGGAGACCAAACCACAAGGCAAACAAACCCTTTGTAACTTCTTTATACCATAGAAATCCTGGCTCACTCTGTGGGTTGGGTTGTTATTAATCATACTCATTTTAAAGATAATTTAGTTTTAATACATTGTCAATGCAATTCTCTGGGGTACATAAAAAGTAATCTATCTTGCGTACATCTGCTTAGTCCCATTTCCTTAGCCTGTAGCAGCTATCTAATATTTCAGCTTTCGGCTAAGGGAAGTGACCTAAAGTAAAGATGAGTAAAGTACATCCTGATGCATGTTGTAACTTCCAAAAGTCTTTGGGGGCACTGCTTAAAAATGGTACCAGAGAGTCATGGCTGCATAGCAGAAGCATTAGAATCTTCCATTTCTGTTTTATTCAGCTCTTACCTGGCTCATGCTGCTGGAGACCTCGCTCCCTTCCTCTGGGGGAAGGGGTGGGAGGATCAGTATTTCAGAGAACCAAATTGCCTCTTCCGGAGAATCACAAAGCTACAATTGCAAAAAAGGGTCTGCTATTTAAGGTACTTAACTGGCTGCCTACCACCTTGCTATCTGCTTAGGTGTGTGGGACAAATTTTATTGCGTCTAGAAAGCACCATTAATGCTCTGATATTAGACTAAGTCATATGAAGTTGCTTTATGTATGTAAAAGTATCATCCAATATTAGCAGTTTTGTGCAGTTCAACTTAATACTTGGGAATCTTTTTATTCCTCTTCCCTAAGCAACTTTTCCATAGAAATGAAGAATAATGCTCGCTAATACAAAGGATATTAGTATTCTGATTTGCCCAGGTAGTTGTAGAATGGCACGTTGCCTTTAATAAGTTCTAGCCAGAAGGTGCCTTTTAAAAGATCTGTTCAGAATTGCTACACTAGTTCATGAATAATCTATAGTAAAGTAATTAAAGCAACATACCTCTTTCTGCCCCTCACAGATTAGGAGCTTGGGTGAAGTGTGGTAGGTAAATTATCCTGTTTGCTCCATTTTAAGATTTCTCTGTTAAATATAAGTTTATCTGTGGGTATAAGAAAGGAATAAATGTGAAGAAGAAAGTTAAACATCAAATATATGTACTGATTGCAATAAGTATCCCCAAAGCTGTATTGGGGAGGCGGTTAGGTGACAGCATTTGTATCAAGGGAATCCCATTTAGCCTGTTTGTATTGGAAAATATTAGGGATTTGGGGACAGAATTCAAGCTAGTGTAATGAGTATATCTAGGAAGGGTTCAAATAGTATTTGGAATAAAATTTAATAGCTAAGACAGCAGCCTTCAGTGGTGTTTAGCTACTTAGGAATATTTCACACTCTTCCACCTAACAAATTTTTTTCTGGAATTGAAACACAAGCCTTGTTAACAAAAACAAATAAAATCAAACTTTAAAAATGTTGCTATCATCCAGGCCCTAAAGGAGTAAGAGTGAAGAGATAGTGCAGAACGCACGTGTGCTTTGAGAAAAGATGCAGTAAAAAAACAAAAAAGAAGCACCCTGACAAGAAGGCTAATTGAGACTCATGAAGACACGTTAAACACTTCTAATATGTGCACACGGTTAGTTAAAGGCTGGAGTGAAGCTCCACTGGAAATAACTGAACGAAGCAATTGAAGTGAGGATAGATGCTGTGGGCTGGCTTCTCAATGCTCAGATACCATGAGTGGGAGAAAGTAAGGGATTACCTTTAAGTAAGTTCCAACTAGATGAAGAAGTGATTGATTTGAACATTAGACATGGTTCTAGATAACAAATATTGAACATAAAATAATTTTATTTATATTAAAATGATTCAATTAGCACTTAGAAATAAATTTTATTGGGTTCATTTAAAATCTGTCCCCAGATTAAAAAAATGTATACAATAACACATTATTGACATGAGCTACAGATATATTTCAAATTACAATGAGCCTCCATGAAGAAGAAATTCAGGAAATTATTATCCACTATTGCCAAGTCCTGTGGCATCACAAAATACCTGGCGACTGCTATTCAGGAGTAAAGAGATGGGTCAAAGCTTATTTTCTCCAATATTTTTTGGCTCCTTTGGATACAATGACCTGAAATATGACCTGTTTGGTTATATCTATTTTCTGATCTGTATTCACCCCACACTTACTGTATCTCTGGATCCAAGAAGAGTGTTCTCATGACTTAGCACCTTCTTCACAGAGACCAAGGACAAGAAGGGCCCTCCCCGCCCTCGCTACCCCTTGGCCACTTCTATCTTTTGGCCATAATGTTATCCTGGGATCCTCACAGTTCTTAAATTGACACTCCGCACCATAAATCTTACCATGATGTTATTTATAGGAGGATCTTTGTGAAGTTTCAAGGATGTGGAGGCACACCAATCCCATAAAATGATTATTTGGATTTATTTTGGAGAAACTATCACTCGAGTTAGCCACAATCCATTTCTAATTTGTTAAAATATTTATTTTAAAATCTTTCTGTGAGCAGATAGCTCTCTCCCATAGAATAGTCAGTGATGACGAGAAATATCTGCAGCTGTTCCAGGTACTGTCACTAGTGGTTGATTATGTATATCACCATAAACTGTGTTTATAAATTATGTTTATTGTGTTATAATTAGTAGCGCTAACAGTGCATAATAACAATAAGGTCATTAAATATGTAAATAATAAATAATAGCAATATTAATGCCACCAAGCAGCAGTGCTTGATCGCAGCATGTACATCCATTCAGCCTGGAATCACATTTCTCATCATCAGGGAGACATGGAACAGAGCCAGTCCTTGGTTTAACGAACGCAAAGCCAAGTGCAGAAGTTGTACGTAGACTTACTCGATCCATGGAAAACTAAAACTTACAGGTTGCTTTCTTAAGAAATGGAGAAATACTGCACAGCATGGCCTGTTTCACAAAGCAGTGGATTTTTGGAAATTTGAAAAGCGGATTTGCATGGAGGTAGGGAAACACCTATTTACCGTTTCATTTAAAATGGCGTCTGTTAAAATTTGCTGACATAGCTGCCCCTTTATATTCCCACTAAACGCCTATGGAGAAATAAATAACATTTACAGACCCTCAAAATGACCACAAGAACAAGGACTGCCAGACAATTTATAGACAGAATCTTGGGAAATTTTCTACTGGATCCCTGCCTATGAAACTGGGTTAAAGAACACAGTGGATAGGCAGATACAGTTCACAGGAATCTCAGGCGGGCTCATCAGCAGGCTGACTGCCTGCATCCACCCTCACATGGTCAAGTGTGGGCCCCAGGTCTGTATAAGGCATTCCCAGGTCTTGTGATAAATTAAGAATGTATCTGCAGGAGAAGAGGAAAGGAATACCTAAAGTACAGGTATTAAAATACATTTCTATTAGGACAAAGAATTATTTAGAACACTCTTCAGCATCTGTTCAGTTCAAAAGCATGATGATAGATGAAATTTATACAGTGGGTGGTATATGTCAGAATTAACCCTAGCCAGAAAATTATTTGTATGAAGAATTTATTATCATTTTATTATATATTATATTGTTATATTGTACATTACTAGTAGTATGAAAAATAAATTTGTGTATTATTAGTAGTATGAAGAATAAATTTGAGAATATATTCAGGAGGGGAAAGCAACGGAAAAGAAAAAAAGAAGAGACTGGGTGCAGTGGCTCGTGCCTGTAATCCCAGCACATTGGGAGACTGAGGCAGGTGAATCACTCGAGCTCAGGAGTTTGAGACCAGACTGGGCAACATGGCGAAACCCTGTCTCTACTAAAAACACAAAAAATTAGTTGGGTGTGGTGGCGGGCGCCTGTAATCCCAGCTACTCGGGAGGCTGAGGCAGGAGAATCACTTGAACCCCGGAGGCGGATGTTGGAGGGAGCCGAGATCATGCCACTGCAGTCCAGCCTGGGTGACACAGTAAGACTCTGTCTCGAAAATGAATAAATAAATAAGTAAATAAATAAAAGATGGAAAGTTTGTAATGCAACAGCATAGCCTAAAAAAAATAGTTAAAAAAAAAAGAAATAGAAGAGGAAGCCTGTCAGAGATACAGCTGAGAAAACATTCCTGGACTGAAGTAAGGCAGGTCCTGTAGGTCCGAGAGGCTCCACGTGTGTCCTGGTCTCGTCCAGGGACGTGGCCTCTAGTCCCTTTTGCAAGGCTCATAAGGTTCTTCTCTTAAATGTGAGCCGAGGATTAAGAGAATTTTTTTTAAGTTCCAAATGAAAGACAAAGAGCAAAAATAAGCAAAAGATTAAAAGAATCTTGGAGGACAAATAAATCGAGATTGGAGAAATTTTTTAAAAAATTACTGATATTATCAGAGAGAGAAAAGTAGCTATTCTATTCACGAAACAAGAGCAGAGTCCAAAAAACAGGACAGCGTTTTGAAGTCAGGAAAGTGCAAACTTTAAAAGACGGAAGACGCCGTTAAAACATTAGTGAGTGAACTGAAATACAACATCTATGAGATCCCCAAAGAGCAGAGCCAAAGCACACACAGATACCCCAACACGTGGAAAACGGAGAGGAGATAGGATGATTGGAGGACAATTCCAGGAGCGCCAACATCCTCAAGAATCTTCTGCACTTTTAGAATGAGCTTCCACGGAAGTAATTGAAAGACTTCAGAGAAAATAAACCGATAAATAATTCAAGAAGCACTCTCTGAATTAAAGGTCATGAGCTTCCGGAGTGAGTAGGCCCACCGAGCGGCTAGCACAATGGATGAAGATTGCCATACGGCAAGACAAGGTTGTCATAAAATTCAGAAAAGCGGGGACAAAGGCAACATTTACAACTGCAAAAGGGAAAAAAAGTGTGATTCATAGAGAGAGCCAAGAATGAGAAGAGCACAAGAAATTTCAATAGCAACGAGGGCTGCTAAAAATAATGGGCAAATATCTTCTAATTTTCTGGGAAAATTACTTTCAACCCTGGATTCTATACTAATTAAACTACTAAGCAAGGGAGAAATAAGAATAAAGACATTTTAAACCATGAAATATCTTAAAAAGTAACACAATTGACTCAAAAAAGTTAGAATATCTCAGTAAAGTGACAACGTTAAAAATGCACATGTTGATTTTCTACAATGTGAACTAAAAACCTAAAGTGAAATGATACTGTAAGCCAAAAGGTTTTTTTTTAATCAATGAGGACGTTTAAGCCATCCATCAATAAATAACTTTATGTGTACATATTTTTATAGCTTAGATAAGTAAATAGAACATGTACTCAATTTCTTTTG
Source organism: Homo sapiens (assembly GCF_000001405.40). Lineage (NCBI taxonomy): Eukaryota > Metazoa > Chordata > Mammalia > Primates > Hominidae > Homo > Homo sapiens. The sequence continues at coordinate 75,768,348 of NC_000018.10, forward strand.
TAAATCTGGCATATAATTTATATCTAAATTCATTGAAAAATGCAAAAATTAAAGAGACATAATCATCTCACCTATAAATATAGACTCATAAATTCTATATTAAGCTTTTTAAAATAAAATTCAGCAATATATTTTAATATCAATCATTCTTAACCAAGTAAGGTTTATTTAAAGAATATAAGAAACTTTATCGGCCGGGCGCAGTAGCTCACGCCTGTAATCCCAGCACTTTGGGAGGCCGAGGCGGGCGGATCACGAGGTCAGGAGATGGAGACCATCCTGGTTAACACGGTGAAACCCCGACTCTACTAACTATACAAAAAATTAGCTGGGCGTGGTGGCGGGCGCCTGTAGTGCCAGCTATTTGGGAGGCTGAGGCAGGAGAATGGCGTGAACCCAGGAGGCGGAGCTTGCAGTGAGCCGAGGTTGCGCCACTGCACTCCAGCCTGGGCGACAGAGTGAGACTCCGTCTCAAAATAAATAAATAAATAAAATAAAATAAAATAAATTAAATTAAAATAAATAAAAAAAGAAACTTTATCAGCAATTAGGCCAATTAAAAATTCCATAGACTCATACTAATATTGTTATTAGCTCTCTTACCATATGCCAGAAACTGTGGTAGTTAGTTTGCAAATCCCTGACACTATGTGGAAAAGTTAAAACAAAGTTTCCTCCCGTGCTGGTTGTGCAGGAAGCACAGGGACATAGGAGTAACGGCAGCTGTGGTGGCCTCTGGCCCTAGACATTCAGAGATTGCATAGGATGTGAAGCCGGTTGCCCAGGGAACTAAACACCCCTCTATTTTAAGCATAGCATTTATACTTCCCCAAATCGAACATTTTAATTGGGCAAATTTTCGCCACTTTCTATAGAATACTACAATCGGGAGGAGTTTATGGCAAACATCTTTCAGGTGTCTGGGGGCCCTTGTGCGCCACCTTTGTCTGTCTGCTCCGGCTTAGGCATTGGCATAAACTCGGCCTGCATGGCTCAGAGGGCAGGTAACAAACTATGCAAGCAATCTTGCATGCAGCAATGGCTGGAAACATTCTGTTAGTGACAAAAATGGCCTCTCAAATTAGTGAGAAAGGAAGAGTTACTCAGTACCCATCTGTGTGAGTGCATGTGCACGTGTGTACTTAGAATCATGGGCTCTGATCCATTTTATTATTTTACCCAGGGAGAAATGTGCAGATTCTTGGTTAAACTGAATTACAATTTCCTTCTTATTCTACTTTGGACATAAAGGACTGATATCCACTGAATCTGTCTACTAAGGTATGTCTAAAAGCATAAGCAGACAGGGTTCCTAACCAAAGAGGCTCCAGGAGGGTGTATGACAAGGATATTCATTGTAGCTCAGAAAAGCTACAGTCTAACTTTGACAAAAGAAAACAGAAACAGTGATGTTTCTTGCTTCATACTACAAATCATTAGTCTCACCTGTTCTGGGGAGAAAGCAAAAATTCTCCTACGGTAAGATTGAAACTCTGTCCACTTAGGAATTGTTGTAAGAATCTTCCTTAACAAGACTGCAGGTTCAACTGTAAGGGGCTACTTAAACATGTGATGAGATATGCTAATATTGCAACTACTGAAAATATGATTGTTTTTAAAAAATATGATTTCTATAGTGTTTATTTCCTTAATTTCCAATCATGGTAGTGTAGCTCTCTTTAGGATACATATTAACATAGGGTGGGTGGGGGGTACGCATGTGAAATTTGAAAACAACTTTTCAATATGTTTGTGAATGAAACCAAACACCTCTTGTTTTTCTCACATAAAATGAAAATGGTAAAGCTGACAGAGCTACATAGACAACAGAGTCTATCTTCTGTCTTCTTAACTGGGAAGGACATTCTCGGGGAGTGTATAATTTTCATGCTTTTCAAAAAGGGGAATGAATTTGAAAAGGTTTAATAACTCTGGTTTAATGAAATGCAAAATGCTTCTGTCTATAAGGTCATAGAAAATAAAGGCCCAGATAATATTATTCAAATATAAAGTTGTATATAAACATGAAATATATGTTAATATATGTCTATATGCACATGCTACTAGAAAAAGACAAAAAGGGAAAATCCCAAAATAGTAAAAATATTTCTCTCATGTTAGTGGATCTAGGAGTTATTTTTAAAAAATATGTGTTTGCTTAATTTTCTAAAGTAACATTCTGTAGTTTAAATTAAAATGTTAATTTAAAAGAAAAAAATAAAATCTTAATAAGCTAATTTACTGATGAGGGCCAATCTCTATCCTCACAGGTAGGAAGAAGGGCTGAAGTCGGGCTGAAGTCAGGCAGAAGTCTTAGCTCCAACCATCCATCCGCAACCGTGGGACTGGTGACTCCCCAGGATGGTCCCACCTTCCTCCCGTGTCCCACATAGACCTCGTCCTCATCCATCCCATCCTGAATCTCTAACCACTCTTGGTTCACCAGAGTAGTGAACCAAGATCTACTCACCCAAGCCATCCACATCTTGGGTCATTTTTTAAATTAGGGTTTTTTCTTTGTATTTGTTCTCCACATGTGCTTCAAATCTATTCTACTTTCATTAAAAAGAAAAGAAAAACAGATCTATAAATATGTGGTTGCTTATAGATATATGAAGTGTGGTTTCCTTAAAGATCTATAAAAGTGTGGTTACTCAGGTATCCCTTCTCTCTCTGTCTTTTTCTTGTTATTTTATTCTCTTTCTAGGAAATTGCTGCCTCAGTGCTTCTCAAGTATTTCACAGGAGTCAGAATTGATCTATTTCCCAGTGCCAGGCCTCAGGGCCACACACAGTAGGCACTCAGCCCATGTTTCCAGATGAGGTTGTTCAGAGAAAAAGTTTATCTTTTCCTGGTAACTACCGAGTCTGGTGGATAAATGCTAGTGTTTCTTGTCATCCCAAATAGACAGCTCTCAGTCACCTTGTTGCCAGTGGGTATGATTCCATTAAATGTAAAGTTCATTGTCAGACTTTCAACTCCCTATAGAACTACCTGCATTACCCTTCTACCTTTGGTCCAGGTTACATTATCGAGTGGCACCCACTCATTTACCTAATGTATTTTTCTAGATGGGTTTGGGATGCCAAATACCTAGACACAGCGGCGTAACGCACGGCTTTCAGTTTTCACTTGGGGTATACATTGGAACCTAGAAGCTCGTAAAAGTGCTTCTGGGTGAACAGCTCCAAAGGTCCTGGAGAACCCAGACATTTGGGGTCAATGTGAGGAGAAACACAGCTTCCTTATGTAACTGTTGACTCATAGCTTGGTGACATTTTATCATTAACTTTTTTTTTTTTTTTTTTTTTGAGGTAGGTCTTGCTCTGTCACCCAGGATGGAGTGCAGTCAGTGTGTATGATCACCACTCACAGCAGCCTCGACCTCCTGGGGCCAAGCGATCCTCCCATCTCAGCCTCCCGAGTAGCTGCAACTACAGGCACACACCACCATGCCCGGCTAATTTTTGTATTTTTTTGTAGAGATGGGTTTTCACTATGTTGCCCAAGCTGGTTTCGAACTCCTCAGCTCCAGCAATCTGCCCACCTCAGCCTCCCAGAGTGCTGGGATTGTAGGCATGAGCCACCATGCCCTGCCTGTCATTAACCGTTTTTATTCCTACCTTTTCCTAACCTTTAAAGCCAGGGATATTTATAGTCAAAAGTATTTTTAAGAGGAAAAGATGTTTGAGAAGTACCCCCAGCCATTTCCTCAGATAATCTCCCTACCCCAGTGAATCACTTTTAAATCCAAAGAGAAAATAAAAAACTTAGTTGGCATCTCAGGTAACCGACTGCAAAAGTCCTGAGAAATAATCATGTAGGAAAGTAACACCCTCTACTATTAAGTGTTGCGGAGATTTGCAAAATAAAAATGAGACTCAGAAAACGAGTCAACATGTTTCCCTTGCTGGCTCCATTGCTGAATTTGTCTCATTTTCCACCCTCTTGCTTTTATTTATTTTTATTTTTATTTTATTTTATTTATTTATTTATTTATTTATTTATTTATTTAGAGGTGGAGTCTCACTCTGTCGCCCAGGCTGGAGTGCAGTGCTGTGATCTCAGCTCACTGCAGCCTCCACCTCCTGGGTTCAAGCAATTCTTCCTGCCTCAGCCTCCCAAGTAGCTGGGACTATAGGCGCCCACCACCATACTCGGCTATTGTTTTTTTTTTTTTTTTTTTGTATTTTTGGTAGAGACCCGGCTTCACCATGTTGGCCAGGATGATCTTGATCTCCTGACCTCACGATCTGCCTACCTTGGCCTCCCAAAGTGCTGGGATTACAGGCGTGAGCCACTGCACCCGGCCCACTCTCTTGCTTTGAAGTCTCCAAGGCTCAGTCCTCAGTCTTCTATCCAGACTCACACCTTTGGTGATCACAGTCATTTTCTGGCTTTGAACACGATCTTTTCACCTACATTTCTAAGTTTATGTCTCCTGCCTGGACCTCTCTCCTGAACTTCAGACCTCCATTGAACAACTCAAATCTCCACTTGCCAGTCTAAAAGATGTCTCAAATGTGACGTGTCCAAATCTCCACTGAAAACACTCAACTCCACCTCCTCTCCCTACACCCTGGGGCTGCTCTTGACTCTACTTCCCTCACACTCCACAGCCAGCACATTAGCAAAGCTCGCTCTCTGTTTAACACACGACCAGTAGCTAACAGCTTCTCACCTTCACCACCTATCTCATCTCTCTTCCCCTTCAATCTGTTAATACTCTACACGGAAGCCAGGTCTTCTTAAAAAGCATGAGCCAAATCTGTATGAAGGCCCTACAGCCCTGCACAATCAGTCTTCATCCCTTTCCTCTCTGGCCTCTCTCCCTCTGCATTCATCTACCTCTGGCTTCCTTGCTATTTCTGGAATTTGTCTGCCAAGTTCTTCAGGGCCTTTGCATTTGATGACGTTTGCTGTGATTGGAACCCCCTTCCCCAGAAATCCGAGTGTCTGGAGTCCAGCCTCTTTCAAGTCCTGTCAGCCTGTTTATACCTATAACTTGCTCTTTCCTCCCTAGAATCATGATCCTCCCCTTAAACTGCTCTTTTCCAAAGCACAGACACACCTTGTAATACATAATATGATGTTTATTTATACTTTATTTATTATTTAGTGTATTATTTACAGTCTCTACCACCCCACAGAATGTAAGCTTCAGGAAGAGAGCAATTTTTAGGTTTTTTTTCCCCTAGTAAACCCCAAAGCACTTAGAAAAAACAGTGCCTGGGTTACAGTAGATGATTAACATCTGCTTAATGAATGGATGAATTTTCCATAGCTAAGATCTCTATTTTAAGTGACTATATTTTAATCACTTTAAGTACAAAACTTCCAGAAAGGCAGGATGTTAACATTAGAAAACAACCCTCCTAGTGTGCATGAACTTGGGACTTAAATTGTTTCTGGTGGAGAAATGGATGTTACAGGACCAAGATGGAAGAGTTACCCAGCAGGGCCCTCATGTGGGCTTGGCCAGCATGCTTCTGAGAGTAGCACAGCGAATACAAACATACCGTCCAATAACAGGCTCTCAAACTGCTCTGTGTTGTAGAGTGTGGCACGGTGTTGTTCTGCATTGGATCATCTGTTGTATGTTTTTAAGCTCTTGTAAAACTAGATATAGCTCCTTCCTGCTTACACCTTTCATTGTCACATGGATGTTCTGTTATTTTTGAGATCATTATATTCAAGTTTTGTTTTTACTTGTGTGTTTGCTTCTTCGGCCTTTTAAAATGTTAGGGCAGAATGGACCAGGTGTGCTCAGCCAGGTTTAGAGGTACCCTAGCACCCTGATGGAACAGGCCAGGTATGCTCACTCAGTGTGGGGGTCATTAGACGAGTGTCCCGGGAGAATGGACCAGGTTACACAGCCAACGCCAGGTTTATTTTAGGAACATCTGGTCAGATGAGGTGATGTGAATCTTAAGTTCCAATTAAACTTCCTAATTTTCAGTTATCAGTTAGGGAAAAGTTTGGTTTTCATGTATAGCCCAGACACTAGGCTAATTGCCAGGGACACAAAGAGGAATAAATTACAGAGTCTGCTTTCCAAAGTGTTGATTATCTTGTTTCCAGACCACAACATATTTGGAAAAGAAAATGCTAAGGACAGAGAGAATGTGGGCAAGTACCTTGACCTTACGAAGAAGTCATAGGGAAAATCTCTTACAAACCAAATCCAATCAATAAGAATTGTTCACTGCCTGGTGTCATTTGGTGCTGGGGCAAATAGCTACATGCGCTTCCACAGCCTCTGGGTCCTCCCTGTGTTTTGCGCACAACCATGCCACTGGACGATGTTCTGCACTCTTTCTAAGAAGACAGGCATGCTTGGGCTATATTTTAAAAGTAATTCCACTTAAAACTATTTGTAATAGTTTATGGAAATTTCACAATGTCATCGTGTTAGAAAAGAGCACATCGAATGTTCCAACTCCTTTTTTTCTTTTCAGATGTTTAATCCTAAAGTTTCTGAATTACTGTTGTCTTGAAAATCAACCCTGAGAAGTTTCAAATTTTTCTACTTTTGTTAAAACTTTTGAGAAGGCAGTTTAAGGAGACATTATAGTTAGATCTTTTTCATTTCCCAGAAATGCATTCCTAATTCACAATCACTGACAATGTAAATTCGCCAGAAAGCTAACACTTTCATGTGTTGAAAATGTGTAGTATTGTCAGCAGAACAGAGAGGTTGCCCCTCTATATTGGACAACTTATGGCATGATCCATTCCATATATTTTGGTTATTTGTTTCTGATACTCTACTAGACATTTGTCAATTGGAAATAAGCTGCCCATAAATAGGCATGATAGCTAGCTGTGTCCATGGGGGAAGCATGTGCTTGAAGCTTTGAGTCAGGATCTCAGCTAGCTTCCTTGGAATTGGGAACAGGCATCTCCTTCCTCCACAGGAACACAAACATTAACAGCACTGAAGTTGTTTGAACCGGTCAAGAAGGTCAAGTTGGGATAATTACAGTTATTGGAGTGATGTTCAGAGACTCACATTCCATGATGAATCCATAACAAATGCTATGTGATGGAAATATCTCACATTGTTTTTGTATTTGCCAGCTTGCAGTGTCATTCCAGATGGCAAATACAAAAATAGCATAAAAAATTTCCTCCCGAAATTCAGTCTTTGAAAGTATTCTGTTAGCCTAATAACAGATACTCCAAGATGTTCCAACATTCCCATTCTAATGGACATAACTGATGCCCCCTCCTCTCCCGAAAAAAGTCCAGATATGAAAATGTTTCATTACAGCAAATTGCTTGTTGTTATTAATGTCATTATTGGTTGCTTCCAAAAGTACTCTCTCCCACCCCTTAGGAAATACCCGGGTGCTTTATTCTTAGAATCTGCATTCATAATAGTAGGTGGATCTCTAGAGCAATAGAAACAGGAAGGTCTCAGTTATTAACACAAAAGTGAACTGCTTAAATTTGATTACCTTGCTTAATGAAGTGTCGCATTTATTTACAAGATGACATGATGCATCACATTACAGTGACCATAAATCAGCTTATAAAAGTGGACAAATGGGTCAATAAAGTGATGCATTTACAGACTTAAGATGAAGATATTTGCACTCATTCTAATACTTCCCACTTTTTAAAACATGCTATTCTGAGACCAGCTGAAGAATTAAACTCGATGATTTGCTTCTTCATATTTTTCATGCTCTTCCATCACTGTGGCCCTGAATTCTATCGTGGCCTCAATTTGCATCTTACAGTGCCTGGAAATCTCCTTCCCTTCAACCTTCTCAGCATCTGTATCTGCAAGCACAGCTCCATCGTTATACATGCAAACCCACTCCCCAGGCTGCAGGCTTCCACCGAGAACGCACAAAATCACTGTGATGTCTGACAACAGGACAGAATTGCCGAGGGCACTGGCTACTCCTGTCTCGGTGTTTTTTTTTAATCTGCCTGGTGGAAAACCATGAGTAACCCCTTAGATCACAGGGTGAATGCCTACACCTACCTGGAGTGAATTCAAATCTACATTCACCACAGGTTCACAGGGGAAAAGCCCAGTGTCTGATGTGTAGAAAGAACAAACATGAAGTTACACTACAGGACTGAATCTGGGTAACCCTGTCTCTTGCAGGTGTGACAACTTACCTTCTCAGTTTCCTCCTCATCCCCCACATGTGGCCATAGCTATGGTGCAAAAGTGAGAAAGCACAGGGGGAGACATAGGCTTGGACCTGGGTCTGCACTTCTCCGCTGTGCAATGTTCACTAAGTAGGGAAGGAAGGGTTAATAATATCTGCCCAACCTAATCAGCCTGAAAGAATAAAATGTTATGATAAAGATAGCAGTCCAGAGTTGATAGTTTGGGATTCACAGATTTGCAAAACAGGCCGTCTTCACTGGGGTTCACGAAAGACACTTTGCATAGAGATGATGGAAAAAAAATGTGAACATGTATTTGTTAGTTGTCAGAATTTCCCAAGACCAACAACAAACAGCAAATATTTGATGCTTTCAAAGCTTATTTTCCCCTAATAGGCAAGACCTGCATTAATGGGCTACAGTGAAAATGGGTTGCAGGTTTGGGTTAGAAGACTTGGTTTTACAATCCAGCTCTATGACTTACTAGTTGAGTGGCCTGGACAAATGGCTAGTTTCCTCATCTGCAAATTGGGGATACTGACATCTGACTTTCTAGGATCTTTGGGAAGAAAAAAGACAGGGAACTGATCCTGCCAGCCACTTAGCAAAGGGTGATTTCTCTCCTCCCTCATTCTCTGCCTCCCTTTTCCCTCTCTCCTCTCTTCTTTTTCATCTGTTTAAATCTGCACAGGCTCTCTTTTTGCCAACACATCAGTTGAACACACACACTCATCCCCTGCACCCCACCCCCCACATTTTCATGTTTACTGTATCCTGAAAATTATTCTTTGTTAATCTTAAATGACTATATGTTAAAAGTATATTTTGAGTTTGGCTCATGACAAAAAAATATAAAAAATGACGCTTAAATTTAAGTCTCCAGGAAGATAGATCACAGAGCTCTCGATTTTAGTCACGAAACGTAAATAGAAGCATTTTACTTCCATCCTTCTGGGTTTTTTCACCAGGCAAACAGATAACCCTAACCTTAGATCCCTGGGGACTATGGAGGGAAAAAAGGAATGGGAGAAGGAAGAAATGCAAAGTGATTTTGGCCTTTTAAATAGGACCCAAACCTACATTTTAAATAGCAGGTTGGTTATGAATTTGGTGAAATTAATCAATGTGGACTGATTTTCTTAAGGTTGAAAAATTCGAATATTGTGGATATCTTAATAAAAATACTAAGAGAAGAACGACTGTAATCTCAGACACTGGAGTCTCTAGAGCATAGGAGGCTGCAGGGGGTCAGAGCCACCAGGGCAGTGTCTCCTGGGGAGCAGCCCTGCCTGCCCACTCCAGTCACCTCCTACTTCGGGGACAGTCCTGCCTGCCCACTCCAGCCACCTCCTACTTCGGGGACAGTCCTGCCTGCCCACTCCATCCGCCTCCCACCTCGGGACAGTCCTGCCTGCCTGGTCCAACCACCTCCCACCTCTGGGAGCCAGATGTGGAAAAGGACTAAACACCCAGCCCTGTTTGATGCTTTTGTATCCACCACCTAACTTCTTTCCCTACTAACCAGAAGGCTTTCAGGTTTTCCTTGATCTCTTTGATAACTTTGATGATATTACATGCTGAGGTCTAGGGACGTGTTCCCCAAACTTAGAAATCCACCACTCAATCCTGTGCCTGGTGGAATAGCGTTTGCTCTGGCACTCATCTGCCTTGGAAAGCCAGCACAGCAGCTCTGTCTCTCCGCAGCCCACAGCTTCTGTTTGGTGCTCTGTGGGTCTGCTGGTCCTGGGTCCCAGTACCGATACCCAAGGTCTCCCATGCTGTGGCCTCCGGAGCCCTCCCTGTGCTGGGGGAGGGGCAGCCAGGACGCATCACTGGGTGTCCAGTGCCAGGTGGGGGCAGGGGCAGGAGGGACCCCCAGCCTGCCACCACATCTGCAGGTAGTGCCGCTTGAGTGACAGGTGTAGTGGATGCCACACCGGCTGCCAATATGTTATGAGACCATGGTAACAATCGCTCATCTCCAGGGAGTGCGCCGCTTCCTTCTTCACTATCAGACTTGAAAGAAACAATTTCAGGTGCCAGAAAAGGATCTCTGATAAAAGAAAACATTTCAGCTTTCATGGTGCTGGAGTTTGCCCCGAAGCAGTAGCTTTGACATATATTTTTAAGTCTCTTTCTTTATGTTTACAATTAATCCATGATTATGTACAATCTTTTGACCTATTGGGTGCTAGAAGATGGGTATTGGTTTCTTTCTTTCAAAACCATCCTTGTTTTTAGAAATTTTCTTGAGTATCATGTGTAGTGCCATTTGCATAGTGTTTTACCACTTCCAAAGAATTTTCCGACAGGTAACCTAATTTTGGTTCACTTAATCCTCACTGCAAACATGAATGTGTAAGAATTACAAGATGATCTCTCTTCTGTAATGAATGATACTAAGTTTTATTCAAAGGGAACACTGAACACAAAATATTCCTTGAAACCTTCTTGACATCCTTTTGGTAAAATTTTTATGCTACCCAACCCGTCAGTGGAAACTCTTGAAGAAATGGTGGGGTAGTTAGAACGACAGAGATATCTGAGGCTGTTTACTAATTTTTGATGGAGTAATGTCCACAATAACACATAAGGAAGATGTTAGCAGAATTCAAACAGCCCTGCCCCTTTTACCTTCCAAATCCTTTTTGCTGTTGGAATCTGCTTTACATAGAAGAATTCACAACAAATAGAATGCACACTTAGGAAAAGCACCAGCCTTGTTTCAATTTTCTATTTCTTGGGGGTTTGAGATGTAACACAACACACAGGGGGGAGTTTATATGTATGCCTATGTGCGTATCCATATATTCTATATTGTACCTTCATTATATCATGCCTTTGTTCTTAATTTATTAAAATCAAAAGCCTCAAACTGTAGCAGCAAGGAAAGAACCCAGGAGTACTCACTAACAAGCAGGTGGATTTGGAAGACTGTGGTGTTGATCACAGCTCACACAGGGTGCAGGATTAGACTGCAGGGAGCACCAAGCTCTCCCACTCCCGGGATGAGGGGAAGGTGGCCACACTTCCCAGGAGTGTGGCCGTAGGTAGATCACATCCCATCAGTTTCAGGACCTAACACGCCTCAGGCACGCTGCACCCAAGGTGATCACAGGAGCTAAGGGCAGGAGCAGGTGGGACACCATCATACTGCATACACTGTGGAAGACTGTATAAGGGAAGGTGTCCCCTCCACACAGAGGTTGACTGACTGCAAGGCCCCCTGGAAGAGGCAACCAAAGGAAGTGAAGTGGATGCAAGTTATCTCAGGCCCCTGGGAAAAGTGCCATAATACTCCATTTGAGCCATGGTTAGGAGAGAAGCAAAGTGCTTATATCTAGGGGGAAAAAGTCCCCAATTAGCTGAACACTAATCTCTTAATCTCTGAACTTCTTATTTTCAGCTCCAAAACTGGCATGTAACCAGATTAAATGTCTGTGACTCTTTACTTTGACTATTACTGGATCAAAACTGAATTGGGAGAAAAGTTTGATAAAGATGGACACAAGCCACCTCGATTCCCTCCCTCTCTCCCCTCCCTGCAGGTGGAGCTTTGCTCTCCCCAGGCATCAAGAGCCAGGTACACAGACACAATAAGGCCTCTAGGTGCTCCTTGCAAGGTATATAATGATTCATTTAATTAAGTGTCCCCAGAGAAATTAATTCTCCTCCTAGGCTTAGTTGGCTCCTGGGAGGATATTTTCCTCATTCTCACTCCTGGTAGAACTGGTCCAGCCCATTCACTGTTAGATTTTTAAAAACAAAAGCAGTTGAGTTTAGAAAGGTGGGAGGGACGGCGTGTTGGGAGGAGTGAGGACTAGGGCTCCTGCCTTTTCTTCCCCAGGACCACGCCCTGCACTGGCCAGCCCTGTGTCCCTGTTCCCAAAGAAGGGCTCATAAACAATCAGGCCAGAGACACTGCTGTACCAGGGTCTGGGCTACAAGTTTACTCTGCTTATCCCAAGATCGATTCCAACTAAACCTGGCTCTCTAGCTCTTCCCACACCCACAGGTTTCTCCCTCTCTCTCTCTCTCTCTCTCTCTCTCTCTCTCTCTGTCTCTTTCTCTGTCTTCTTTTTAGAAAAGCTCTCACTCCATCCCCCAGTCTCTGGAGTGCAGTGGCATGATCATGGCTCACTGCAGCCTTGAACTCCTGGGCTCAAGTAATCCTCCTGCCTCAACCTCTCAAGTAGCTGGAACTACAGGAAAGTGCCACCATCCCGGCTAGTTTTTAAATTTTTTTTGTAGAGGCGGGGCCTCGCTATGTTGCCCAGACTGGTCTCAAACTCCTGGGCTCAAGGGATCCTCCTGCCTCAGCTTCCCAAAGTGCTGGGATTACAGGCGTGAGCCACTACACCCAGCCCCAGTGAGCAGGTAGAGCCCAGGACATTGGGCTCCCTAGAAGACGAAACGGGGGCATTTTGGGATAAGGTTGGGCTTCCCTCAGATGCCCCGTCATCTCCCACAGAAACGGCCTTGATTCGTGCTCCAGCTGGAGTCCAGTAAGGGGGCTCATGTTTTCTGTTCCAGCTTCATCCTGCCCCTTTGCTTCTTGGCCCTTTCTCCAGTTGGGGGCGAGAATACGTGGATTCCGTGTGTTGGCCTCCGTCCCCTCTGCCTGCCTGGCAGCCCCAGCTCCTTCTCCTTCACTCTTGCCTCCTTGTCTTTTCGTGAGGCTCTCACTGAGATCTAGCCCTTCGGCAGACTTTCATTTAGCCTTACACTTATTGGAGTTAGAAAGGACTTAGAAAATTAAGAATAAAACTAACGTGTTTAAAAATCGGTTTTGTGACAAGGTGCAATGGCCGATGCCTGTAATCCCAGTGCTTTGGGAGGCCGAGGCAGGAGAATTGCTTGAGGCCAGGAATTGGAGATCATCCTGGGCAATATGGTGAGACTCCATCTCTACAAAAAAAAAATACAAAAACTAGCCAGGTGTGGTGGCTCATGCCTGTAGTTCCAGCTACTAGGGAGGCTGAGGTAGGAGGATCATTCGAGCCCAGGAGTTTAAGACTGCAGTGAGCTGTGATCAAACCACTGCACTCCAGCCTGGGCAACAGAGTGAGACCCTGTCTCTTAAAAAATAAAATTAAACAAAAATTAAAAAAATAAATAAATAACAATAAAAATCAATTTTGCTTCAAGAACATTGCCTAATGGCAGCAGTCCGGGATAGTGAGGAAGAGCAGGCTGTTTAGGAACACATTTGACTCCAAAAGCTCCTGTGTGCCCCTGGGCAAGCGATTTCTCTGTGCCTCAGCTTCCCCATGTGCAAACTGGGGCTGGCAGTAGCGACCGCCTCAGAGGGCCGACGGCAGCTCAAATCCCGGAGCAGCCCTGGGCCCTGACGAAGGGAGGCTCTGCAGGCACCGCGTCTCTTCTTTTGGATGTTGGCTCTTCTGCTGGCATTGTGCTTAGATAAAGCATGGACAAGCACTGACACTGGCTGGGCAGACGGTGCTGGCAGAGTGCACCCGGCTCAGGCACGCTCAGATGGGGCTCACCCCATCATCCAGGCAAGCCTCCACATCCTACATGTTGAGTAGGTTCCATGTATTGATTCAGAAAGTTGTTACATACAGGAAATATATTATATATAGGGGAAACTGTCCTAATTTCTAAATGATACACGCTTCATATTTTTAGATTTTTGTGACTTTACATCATTCTCTCCTCAGCTTGATTAATATGGCAAAAATCTAGTTTTGCGCACCCTGTTGCTTTTATTTAATTAAAAGGGGGAGAAATCATAATGTGCGAGTGAGCTTTCATTTTCTTTTTCTTTTTCTTTTTCTTTTTTTCTTTTTCTTTTTCTTTTACTTGCTTACTCCTGCTGGAAACTTCCTCTTGCCAAGATCCACTTGGGAAATTTCCATTCCAGGAATTTTTTATGAAGTTGCAAGAGAAAAATTAGGTGATTTGAATAAGTTAACGTCATATTTGCTGCTTTGTAGATCACAATACAGAGCATAAGTAATAAATGCTATTCGACTTGTGGTTGATGCAATACTTCATTAGCTGAGATTTTGTAAAACGTTTACAGATCCTTAATCAAGAGGCCATACTGGAAGAACTTAACTGATAATAGGCATAGATATTTAAGTTGTATGCTAAATCAGTTTGTGGAAGGACACCAGACCCCATAATGGAAAAAGGAAACTAGAGCATGGCATTATAAAAATACACAGCATTACCCCTGCACAGTTTGCAAAATTGGACTTATTACTCCAGAGTATTTCGGTTAGACCCAAATAGAACATATTGAACCGATTTTCAAGGTTGAAAATACTGTACATTCATTCATCTTTGCAAATTTGACCACCCTGACTGCTGCTGATGGCCAATGGGCTTTCCTTTTCCTAGGAACAGGAAGGCATTCATTAAGCATCTCGGTTGGTATCACTTTCCTCTGTTTGTGCCACTCCTCCTGCAAGGCAGCTTCTACACACCTACTCTTTCAGGGGGGCTGGGGCCCCATCTGGTTTAGAGGGAGATTATCTCAGGAGAGGACCTTTTCGTCGGGGCTCTGTTGGAGGAGCAGCGTCATCTTCCCCTGCATGGGGATTGCTTAAGCTCCCTGGCCTGGGAAGCCGCCGCCATCTGCTCAGTGCACCCACTGTAAGTGGATGGTCCAGGTGTGGACTGCCGGGCATGGACCCACGGGCACCTTGTGCTAGCCCCTCTTCCCTCCTATCCAGCAAGGGCACAGAAGTGAATCTACGTGCAGATGTAAGTGCCGCGTCCTCTGTCCCCAGAATGAGATAGAGAGCCTAGAGAGCCGGTAGAAGCCTAACCTGAGGTTTCCGTGACAACTATGGAAGCCTCCTGAAACTTCAGCACCCCTACCAACTCCCTCTCAGAACCTCCAGGTTGCCAAAAAATATGCAGTACTGAAACGGCAGCTGAAGGAAAGGCAGGAACCATGTGCTCTAAGACAGGGACCCTTGAGCTTCTCCCCCAGGTGAGACGGGATTCTGGGAAGCTGATAGTGTTTCGACCTCGCCAGGCGTCACGGGTTATTGATAATGCTGCTGAACATAGGGCCGAATGGCTAGAATGCCCTGAGATGCTGCAATTTAACTCACCCAAGAATCTAAATGCAAATCAGCCCTATTCACCAGTACATGCCAAGAGCACATCTATGGTTATAAATGCTTCGGCTCTCCCTTTTTCTTATCTCGGGGATGTCAGTTTTCAGGTTCAGCCCTCGTGGAGAATGCATCTTCTATTCCCACCCTGTTCAGGCGGTCGGAAGGGACTGCTTTCTCCCAGGGGAAAATGGCTCCTGCAGCACAGCCAGACTCCTGGGGTGCATGGAATGGAGCAGTTTAAGCAATAAAAGAACCATAGCAAAAGCTGGAGGGATCACCCACTTCAAAACTGTGGAACAAAAGCAGGGGGTTTCCCCCCGACTCCTGCAGCTCCAGATGATACCTTAGCTTTTCTGGCTCCTCCTTTCTTCCCTCCTGTCTTCACCATCTATCCTTAGGGATGGAGTTTCTTTTTGTTGATCATCCCCTTTCCCTCTCATTCGCTCCACCTCCCTCCAGTCCGCATCAACACGCCTCCTGTCCAGTTTTATGTTACTGTCTTCCAACTAACCAGGCAGCCATGCTTCTAAAGATGGGCAGATTTATAGAAAGAAATAAAAGCAATCCAAAGGATAATAACAAACAGATTGGGGAGCCGAGGGAGTTATTAGGAAGCAAACCCGGGCAGGGCTGTGTGCAGGTCCCTGCACTTCGCTCCCGCTCTCCTCTCCATGCGAATGCTGGGGGCTCCTGTTCTTCCTCTTTCCCCCTCTCTTCTTTTATTTTGATTATTTTTCCTTTTCAAAACAAAAATAGAAAGAAAATAACCCACAAAACAGAGCTTCAGTGTATATGTTTGTTCATGTTTTAGAGGAGAAAAGAAAAAAAAAAAAAACCCAGGGCATTGTGTGAGAGAAAACTGCTCTGCCGCGAATCGGCAAGGGTTTATTATTCCGAGCAGCACTCCATCAACTGTGGCCCCATGAACGGAGAGTAATGCTGGCGAAGCGTCCTGGGGGCTTTTTTTCTGTGTGTGAGTGGTATCCATCTGTCAGCTGTCAATGCCAGTGAGAGATATACAGGGCTGTCACTTCTCGTCAACCAGCATTTGTGAAGCCTTTTGCAGCTGCTCCGGAACCACATCCTGTCCTTATTGAAGGCCGGGAGGAGCCTCGGAGACGATTGTGCTGGCCAGGGTGGAAGGCAGAAAAGAGATGTCAGAGTTGCTCCAGGATAACAGTGTCGCCCCGTCAAAGACAGAAGCACAAGCTACATTTGTTTCCAAAAAAAAAAAAAAAAAAAGCACTAAAAAAATAAAAACTCTTAGAAGGTAATGTTACTATACTTTGTCTCCAGAAAATCCTATGTGGATTCTAGGGCCTGTGAAACCCATAACAGCAAAGAAAATTTATATCTCAGTAAATGAATACATTCAAGGCAGAGATTGCAACATATATTTTTTAAATCAGCAGACTATAAAGAGGGCATAGGTTTTATGTTCTCCCCTATATAAATTACGTTACTATGAAGATTATGCATATGCAAAAGTTTGTATAATGGAATATATATTTAATATGTGTTTGTAGCACAAAGATGAACATGAACGACGGACATGTCTGTACTGCAATAATGCAGATGTTTAAAAACTGGGTTAATTTTGATATGGAAACACTCTATTAATCATTACTCCAGTGTTCCATTGGACTTTTCAATATGCTTATTTATAGGGTGACTCCCACTTAATTGAATTATTTTAAACTAACCATGGTTCTGGTTTTGTGTTCCTTCTGCAGAACCCTCTTTGTACAACACCTGCCTCAGGAAAATGGCCCCTACTCACCCTCAGTGCACTCACCGGCCACAGAGAAAAATGCAAAACAAGATGTAAATATGCTTTCTCTGTAATGTGCTTTCTGTCCTAAGGTATTGTGAAATTTGATTATGTTTTCCGTTTTCTGAAATTGTGGGTTTGACACAGCTCTAGTTAAGAAAGAAGTCAGATATTTTTAGCTTACATATGTCATAGATTCTTATTTTAAAAATAAGAAGCCAAGAAATTTCTTGGAAAAAGAAATTAATTGATATCAGAGTCACTGAAAGAGAGAAAATAAATGCAGATGGAGTGAGTGCTCGGAGTACAGTAGCCCTTCTTCAGATCCCGAGGATAATGATTACCCGGAGCACACAGAGAAGTTAAGGCTATTGCAAAAAAAATAAGTATCATTGAGCACATTGGCTGAGATATCTTGGGGAGAAAATCTCAGCTGTAAAGTTATTGCTCCTGTCATATAAAAGCACACTCTTCATGTAATGATGGAGAATTCGACTGGGGAGAAAGAAGAGGAATTGATAAACCATCCATACTCATATTCAGTGCCAGGGGAACCTGGAAGATAAACACTCATTCAGTTTCTTCACTCAAAGAGGCTACAATGAGGTAGTAAAGACTATGTAAATGTATGAAAAAGTTAAATAATCCAGGTACTTACAGGAGTATTCAAGTACAGCTGAAGAGAAGGGGCAATAGAGTGTAAGTTATGTTTTAACTAAACGGATCAGAGATAACACTTGCTCCTTATGTTTAAGAGGAGAGCAGTCAGTTCAGACCAACGTCACAAATAAAACCAGGTCTGGGAGGGTTGTAGGGTCCCACTAGGCTCAATGAAGGGAAGAAAGCCTCTTAGGCATGATTTTTTTTTTCCTGTTGTTGCTGTAACAAATTACCACACACTTACGGCTTTTAAAAACACAAATGCATTATCTGATGGTTCTGGAGGTCAGAAGCCCTACTCCAGCCATCAGCAGGGCTGTGTTCCTCCTGCAGGCTCTGTGGGGAACCCCCTTCCTTTGCCTTTTTGAGCTTCTAGGGCTGCCTGCTCTCCTTGGCTTGTGGCTCCTGCATCTGCTAGGCCTCAGCTTGGCATCGTCCAATGCCTCTTTCCTGCTGTCTGTCTTCATATCCCCTTCTCCTTCCTCCATGGTCACATCCCCTCAGTTCATTATCTGACTTTTACCATCCTGCCTTCCTCTTATAAGGACCCTTATGATTACGATGCAGGGCATCATCAGTGGGACTCATAAAGGGCATCATGAAGTGAAGCTTAGCCCCTGGCGATTCTTGGCTTCACCCAGGAAAGAATTGAAGGGTGAGCTGGTGGTAGAAGAAAACAGCTGTCTTGAAGCCGCAGTGTGACATCTCCATGACTGCTCCCGCAGAGCAGGGTTGAACCAGAGGCGGAGAGTAGCAGCTCAGGGCAGTTCTGCAGGCATATTTATACTTATTTTTAATTGCATACAGATTTAGAGGCGGTTTATGCAGAAATTTTGAGGGAAAACATAGTAACTTCTGGGCCATTGAGTCATTGCCATGGAAAGGGGCAGTAACGCCTCCGTGTTGCCATGGCGATGGTAAACTGCCATGGCACACTGGTGGGCGTGTCTTCTGGAAGGCTGCTTCTGCCTCCTCCCTGTTTTAGCTAGTCCTCAATTTGGTCCACTCGCCAAGCCTCACCTCTGGAATTCAGTCCTGCCTTCTACTTACATCATCAATTACATTATCAATCAGATGATGTCAACTTGGATAGTCCAGAATAATCTTCCCCATCTCCAGGTCCTTAACTTCCTGGTATCCTCAAAGTCCTTTTCGCCAGATGTAATAACATATCCGGTCTTTGGGGGAGCAATGGACATTATCCAGGCAGCCATAGGCAGCAGAAACTTTGGAGCCAAAGCTGAGGTGAAGAATCCCAGGGCACAGCTGGAGGAAGCCTGACTGGAGGAGGGAAAGAAAGTAGATTTAGACAAGGACTGGAAACATGCTTGGACAACATTACAGGGATTGTTGAAATCCAGGCATAGGATGAGAAGAATATAAAATGGTATACATCAGTTCAGTGTGGGGAAAACTTTCTAATAAAGAAATAAATACAGAGATAGAATAGGGAAATAATGAGTTATCTGACAGCAGAGATGTTCAGGCAAATACAGGTAATACGTTTAGACAGAACTGTAAAGATCCTTCCAATTCTGAGATTCTAAATTATTTTTATTATCACAAAATTGTCACCTAGGAGATCAGGTTTAAAGTTCAGGAGCATGGGTTTCACAGGGCTAAGAGTAGTCTACTGGTCTGTCTTTAGGTTAGCTTTATGAGAATGATAAAATTATAGTATAAACAGTAAGATTATATGGTGTTCATATGGTTCCCAAGAATGAGAAGCAAGATTTTTTTTAATATTTAGAAGTATCCGAGCAAACTTTGAAACACTTTGAGAGTCGTTTCTACTCACCTTGAGTATCAACCAATATGTGGTACAGTTGAAATGAACCACGATCCCATCAATCATTTTGACCTTTTGATATTTTGATTGTTAATTCAGTAAATTTTTTCAAACCCAAATGAGTCAATAAAGAAGATGCGTAGAGATGAAGAAGGAAAATAGAATGATTGCATGTGTACTACATAGTTTATCAGTAATGACTCCTGAACAGAGCTGTAAACACAGGCAGCTGTGGGTTCTGCACTCCAAGTAACAGGTGTACATGAAACCTGTGTTCCACAGGAGTAAATCCTTCAGAGGTACCCTCCAGAGGCTGTACTGAGCTGTGGCCTCAGTTTACTGAAGGAAAATTGACTGGATTACAACACATTGCCTTGTAAAAATTATTCTTTCCTTGGGGGCATAAGAGAAATGGGCTTTTGTGGAAGTCGGGAAAAGTAGGGAGGGGTGATGATACGAGTTATCACGATTAAGAAGCCCAGGAGGCGAGGGGATCTTTATAAACTTAGTTATTCTCAAGGATAGAAGGCGATAAGGCCCAAGTAAATTGGATCTGGAGAAGGCTGTTTTCCACTAGGTGCTGAAGAGGGCATTCTGGGGACCAGAGCAACAAAGAATTATGGCTTCTCTCTTATTATTTGGAAGTCACTAGATTACATAGTGTTTAAATGACTTATCGCTGTTAATCTTACTTTTTCCTTTCCTTCCTCCCTTCTTCCCTTCCTTCCACCTACCGTGTATATTGCTGCTTCATGGAGACAAGCATGCCCCTTAAATCACACGTCTTTTTGTGTCTTTTGTGGGACTGTGGGTTATGTATCCAACCTGCTAAGAGGCAGGATGGATGCAATTTACGGTAAGAGGTGGGCCTAGAAATGGATGATCATTATCAGAAAGCTTCCACTAATAGGAGACAGTATTTTAGAATGTTTGAGTGTTTGGTGCATATACGTGTACCGTGATATCTAAGTTGATGGGCAACTGGACACTGGTAAAATGCATTGTGTGGAAAACGCAGTCTTCACTGTCTTTCATTTACAATAAACCCACAAATTTATTAATTAGCAAAACCCTCATTATTACGTATCCTTCAAATCTTAAGACTCTAAGCATGAGGGGACAGTCAGCAAGTTGCAAATCTTTGGCAGAAACAGTCCTAAACTATAATGAGATGCAAGCTTGGGATGAAAAAAAGGCAACAAAATGTGTTTTGCGTATTGCCATTTTTATTAGTAAAATATAACCAAAGGAACAAAATTGACAGGGATAAAATTTTCCAACCAGCAGTGGTACAATTACAGCTTGGAGATTTTGTCAAACATCAGGAGACCATTAAGAAGTAGTCCTAGTCATTGCACACCAAAGAAAACAAATTCACAAAAAATACCTTGTCAGGGTAAATTCCTTTCTGCTCCAGATACTAAGCATCTAACAATTTTCTCCCTAGGAGAGGTAACAAAGAGAATGTGTTAGAGCAACAATAATAATAATTCCTATAGTTGTAAGTTATTTTAGTTCTATCCACATTTCCCAATGTTCCAGTTAGTCTAGTGGAGCTGCAAGAAATCCTATGAGAGGGTGCAGAAAGTTCCAGGTTGGGACCACTGGGTATGGTAGTCTTTTACACTACTCTTCTCCATGGAAATGCTTCTTTGGAGACGGATAGTGGAAAAAGGGATTTCCTCAATTATCTTTGTCCTCATTCTGTTGTTTTTCTAAATACACACTCTCACCATCATGGTGCATGTATACTTGTGTGTACCTGGAGGGTAAGAACAGGAAGTGTTTTGACTGTGACCTGACCTTTTTAGCGTTCTCTAAGAAGGACAGAGATGAGAGATTGCCTTTTATTATCAAGGCCGTAGGGAGGATATGCCAAGGGAAGGTGAAGAAAGATGAACATCATGAAAGAAGGCCAAAGTCAAAGGGCCAAGAGGGAGCCCAGAGGTACACTGAAACCAAAGGGGTGGGGAGGGTCAAGGATCACGTCTAGGTAGGGGGCCAGATTCCAATGGCATCCCATTGCACTCCACTTAGGATCCAAGTGCCTTGCTTCAGTTATAAACCTCTATGTGACCTTACTCCACTCACTTTTCCTATCTTATCTTCTCCCCAACACTGAGATTCAGCCGCTCTAGCCTTTTGGTCTGTTTCTAAAGCATATCAAACTTGTTCCCACCAAGGATCTTTCTTCTGACAAGTTAAAACTTCCTAAGCTAGGAATAGGGCCTTCTTGCCTTTCAGAGCCTAGAGTTCACTTTAGCTTCCTGTAGCTCTTACACCTTCTGACATTGAGGTCTCAGCCTAAGTGTCATCTCTGTGATATAACTTCCACTGTTGGCCAAGATAGAGTTGCAGGAACGGGATGTATTTTCTCACCGGAAACAATGAAAAAGTAAGTTAAAGTACAGAAAAATATATTTAAAACAGTTTTTTAAAAAACTAGACATCAGGCAACAAAGGAAGAGTTTTTTGAGAGACCAGGAATGAATGAATTGGGCTCTCTGACAGATCCAGCTGACTGCCAAAAGAGAGTTTCCAGGCCATAGTGTAGAGAGCAGGAACCCAGAAGGAGCCCAGATGATACCCTGAGTTGGGAGACAAAGTGAAATTCAGGAGAGAATACAGCAGCCAGACTCATAGGATAAATTTCTAGAGAAGAGAGCTGTTCAGAGAAAGAACCCAAGAGATCTGTGTAGGGTCTCCCTTGGGTGTTTGTTAAAGTATATTTGTGTAAGGAAACTAATTGCGCTCGAGGGAGAAACCATCAAAGTGTATTTGTATAAGCAGAATGGATAAATTAGATCTCATTGAAAATTCAAAATTTTTGGTCTTCAAATAACACTTAAGAAAATAGAAGAACAAGGAACAGACTACAAAAGAATATTTGCAAAACACCTATCTTGCAAGATACTTGTATCCAGACTACACAAATAAAACCTCTTACATCTCAATAATATGAAGAAAAACACTCCAATAAAAAATAGGCAAAAGATTTCTGTAGACATTTCACCAAAGAAAAAATCTGAATAATTAATAAATACATGAAAAGATGATCAACATTGCATTAGGGAAACACAAATTAAAACCACGAGATGAGACCATTTCACACCCACAAGAATGGCTACAATTTTTCTTAAAGACTTATAATTTCTTAAACATGTTGGCAAGGATGTGAAGAAATACTCCGCACACACATTGTTACTGGGAATTGCAGCCACAATGGGAAACAGTTTGGCAGTTTCTTCAAAAGTTAAATACAAATTTGTAATATTACTCATCAATTCCACTCTTAGTTATTTACCCCAGAGACATGAAAACACACATTCACACAAACTCACACATGAATGTTCTTTGCAGTAATCTATAGTAAAGTAGATTAGTATTTGCCTAGGGCAAGAAACAAGGATTAACAGTGAATGGGCATAAAGAATCCTATTAGAGTGGTGGAAATGATCTGAAACTAATTTATCAGCCGGGCGTGATCTATCTCAGCACTTTGGGAGGTTGAGGCATGTGGATCACTTGAGGCCAGGAGTTCAAGACCAGCCTGGACAAAATGGCGAAATCCGCGTCTCTACTAAAAATACAAAAATTAGAAGGGAGTGGTGATGCACGCCTGTAATTCCTGCTACTCAGGAGGCTGAGGCAGGAGAATCACTTGAGCCTCAGAGCTGGAGTTTGCAGTGAGCCGAGATCGCGCCACTGTGCTCCAGCCTGGGCCACAGAGTGAGACCCCGTTTCAAAGAACAAACAAACAAATAAAAAAACTTATGATGATGGTTTCAAAACTTGTTAAATTTACTACAAATCATTACATTCTATTCTGGAAGTTAGTGAACAATATAATGATATATTAGGTTGGTGCAAAAGTAATTGTGGTTACTAATACATAGAGCAGGAAGAGTACAACCATTAACACATGGATAAGTATAGTGCCTCTTCCCTAAAGTCAGACTGGAAAATGTCATAAATTATGAGGCTACTCACAATAGTCTTGCCACAGGAATTGGAAATAATTAGTCTTATTATAAACACTGCTCTGGCCCATCTAACAAATATTAAAACAAAGACCTGAAAGAAAGAAATCATTTTCATGTACTTACCTGAACTCTAGAACAAAAACTTAAAAATATTTTTTGGAATAGAAATATAGTACAAAAGAGAATAAAATTTCCAATGTCTGACTGGCATGCAATCAAAGATGAAGAAAGAAACAAGCAGAAAAATACAAATTGTAATCAGAATTTAAGAATCAATTAATTGAAATTTATCCAGAACTATAAGACCCAGATATGTTACAATTAACATCAAGGACACTGTTATAACTATATTCTGTATGTATAAAAAGTTAAATGGAGACATAAATGATATAAAAAGACGTAATTTTGAGAGATTAAAAACTCTAATGGCTAAGACAGAAATACACTAGGTGAGATTAATGGCAGCTTAGGTATTTTGAGAAAAAAAGCATAAATAAATTTGCAGCTATAGTAATAAAAAACTACTAATAAAACACATAAGGAAAAATAATTTTTTAAAAAGTGGAACTGTGAACTGTGGAACAACTGAAATGATTGAAAATGTTCCAATTTTGATAATAACTATAAATTCACAGGTACAAGAAGCTCAAAGAACTCAGTCACAAGAAACATGAAGAAAACTACATCAAGTTGCAGCATAACAAAATTACTCAAAACCAGTTCTAAATAGACATTTTTACAAGCAGCCAGAGGGAAAGGACAGGTTAATTACAGAGGAACAAACTTAAGGAGCACAGCAAAATTCTTCTCGGAAATGAGGTAAGTGAGAAGACAGTGATGTAGCATCTTAAAGTGCTGAAAAACTAACAAGCAAAACAAAACCGTCAACCCAGATTTCTATAACCAGGGGTGAAAATATCTTTTGAAAAAGCAGGTGAAATAAAGACCTCTTCAGACTTGCAAAAGCTGTCTAGAGCAGTAGAACATCAGTCCAACAGTTGATCTTCACCATGGGATCCACAGTACAAGAAATGTGAATGGAAGAAGGAAGATGTTTAGGCAGAAAGAAAATGATACCAGATGGAAATATAGTTGTATACAAAGGAATGAAGAGCACTTGTAATGGTAAAGAAATCTTCTTTCGTGTAATATAGATGAAATTGTGCATCACTTGAAGGTAAATGGTAATAAAGGAGGATAAACAAAGGAAAACAGAGAAGAGAAAATAGAATAATAAAATATACTCAAACTAAAAGATGGCAGAAAAAATAATAAAAGGGAAACAAAGAACAGATGGAACAAATTTAAAAATATTCGAAGATGATAGATTGATATCTAATTATTTTAATAATGAAACTAAATGTAATTGGCCAAAATATTCAATTTAAAAGGCAGAGATTGTCAGATTGGATAAAAGAGCAAGTTCCAACTACATGCCGCTTACAAGAAAATTACTTAATATATAAAGGAGAAGACATGTTAAAAGTAAAAGGGTGGGAAAAAATATAGCATGCTAACAAAAATAAAAATTAAATGAAGAGACATTATTATCAGAAAAAAAGGTATCAGAGCAAAGAATCTTAACCAGTAAAGGAAAGCTATTTTGTAATAATAAAAAACTCAATTTATTCAGAGCACAAAACTTTTCCAAATATTGATGTATTTAATAGCAAAGTTTCAAAATACATGAATTAAAAGAAGCAAAACACAAACTAAATACACAATCCACAATTATACCCGTTGATTTCACTATCCCTCTCTCAATAATTAATAGAACAAAGAGAGTGAAAATCAGTAAAGATATAAAAAACTTGAACAACACTATCAACCAACTTGTCCCAATCAATATTTATAGTGCAGTCCACCCCAAACGAAGAGAATACACATTTTTTAGTTGTACACAGAATATTTATCAAAACGGAAGATATTCTGTGCCATGAAACCATTTAAAAAGTCTAAATAAATCTGTAAGAATTAAAGTCATACAAAGTATGTTCCTGACCAAATGGAATTAAATTAAAAATCAATAACTGACATATTTCTGGAAAGTCCCAAATTACGTGTAAACTAGATAACATATTTATAAATAATGCATGGTTCAAAGCAGAAATAAAAATGGAAACTAGGAAGAAATTTGAATTCAATAAAAATAAAATTGCAACATAAAAGTAAATGCTATCTCCTCCGATGTCTCTCCTGATCACCCGATCTAAAGTACTAATAGCTTCTCAGCCATTCTCCATCACAACACCTAACTTTATTTATTTATTTACTTAATTTTAATTTGTATTTTTGTTTTAAGTTCCAGGGTATATGTACAGGATGTGCAGGTTTGTTTTATAGTTAAACATGTGCCATGGTGGTTTGCCGCACCTATCAACCCATCTCCTAGGTACTAAGCACCAGCATCCATTAACTATTTTTCCTAATGCTCTCCCTCTCCCTACCCCACTCCCTGACAGGCCCCAGTGTGTGTTGTTCCCCTCCCTGTGTCCATGTGTTCTCATTGTTAAGCTCCCACTTATAAGTGAGAACATGCAGTGTTTGGTTTTCTGTTCCTGCATTAGTTTGCTAAGGATAATGGTGTCTAGCTCCATTCATGTCCCTGTAAAGGATGTGATCTCATTCCTTTTTATGGCTACATTGTATTTCATGGTGTATATGTACCACATTTTCTCTATCCAGTCTATCATTGATAAGCATTTGGGCTGATTTCATGTCTTTGCTATTGCACAACACCTAACTTTAATTCTCTCTATTAAACATGTTTATATTTGATATTTTAGTAGTTATTTAGTCATTTTACTTGTTTATTATATGTCTTCTCCCTTTAGAATGGAGACTCCATGTGCATAGAACACTTTCTGTCTTGTTCGTTACTGTGTCCTCAGGACAGTGCCTCACACCTAGTAGTGTTCAGTAAATGTTTACTAAATGAGTGAATGAATACAAAAAAAAGGTATCAGGAAGGATAAAAATAAGGGCTGGGAGGTGAGAGTAGATAAAAAGAGGAAATCCATTCTTTATTCCAACCAAGCTAAGGATAGGGTGGGAATTGGCACAACTAGAAGAAAGGGGCTGGAGAGAGACCTCCAGAAATTTTACCTGGCAAACAGAGATCCTCTGAGCTGTCTGATCATTTTCACAGCTGCTTTTGGATGCTTTGGCAAAGATAGCATGAGTATTGTTTTCCTAAAGCAATACTCACTTTGACAACAATTGGTATTGAGAGCCACAAAACACAGATTATCCATGAAACTGCTCCTTCATTGCAAGAAGGTCTTCTTGTCTTCTCATTTGCATCTGACACCTACCTTTTTCTTTACTTCTATGGAGCAATGACTTCATTGCATTACAGTGTTAACCACTAGTATTTTGGAAATTCTTATCTGCCTGGCATGCAGGTACTGTGGTAATAAACATAACATGAATAAAATTAACATATTGCAAACTAAATTAAGTAATGAGTAAATCTCTCAAGGGTTTATACAAATCTCATAAACAAGCAGTAGTTGAACAGAGGGCTGGGATTAATATATTTAAATTAACCTCAAACAAACCTCAGTTGAAACTGTAGGTATGATAGTCCAGAAAGACCTACTGTCAGCTCAAAATGCCCTTGATAACCTTCTGAAAGAACTACTGAGACTCTCTTCTTAAACAAGGCCTACTATTGTTTTGTGGTAGTGATTTGTAGGAAAACAGGAACAAAGATACTTGTATAGACACGTATCCACATGCATAGGTATACACACACAGTGCGTTCTCATCATTTGCAGCAGTTATGTTCTGTCAAATCACCATGAACACTGAATTAGTGAATTCTAAACCCATAACTCTTAGGGGGAGTTATATATAATGTTTGTTTCTAAGGATTTTTTTCTAACATTTTTGGTTTCCCCTTATGTCTAGTATCTCTGCCCATAAGCTCTTTCATTTCTTCTTTCTAGTCTTCATTTCTAGAGACAATTACAGTTTTAAGTCTCTCAAAGCATTGACAAATATTTCTACATAATTTTCATCTTTTTTGGAACATCGTCATTTTCTGATTAGACACACTTATTTTTTGGTTAGTGACATTTATCTAATTTTAAATTTCATTATATTTTCCCACATTATTTTTTCTTATAACAGTTTTGTATCAGTGCTATGAAAACTTTCATTATTCATCATCAAAAAAATCAGGTTTTTTACGCAGTTATTTGTGGGAGATTCTTATGTGTGGAAAGTAAGAGGGAAGGGCCAGAATGACTCCCTATAAGGTTGCCTCTAGGATTCATTGCCTGCAGCTTCTCTCTGTTTATGCTGCCACAGCTCCACACTGCTTCCCACAAATATGGCTCCTCTCTTGCTTCTTAGTGTAACCCATTTTTTCTACTTCTCTGTGTCCAATAGGGCACTCTGCTATTGGCCTTGCTCACCAAGTCTGACACTCTTTGTTACAGAGAAGACATATAGATTTTTTTTAACTTCAAGTTCTTCTCCTTCAAGAAATATTCTTTTGCTGATATTTTCTGAGACCTGCCTCCTCTGGTCTGCTATTTTTTTGCAGACATCCCTTGTCTTCTTCCTCGTCTTCTGCCCAATCTCAGATGCCTTTGAAAGGCTCTTCACATATATTGGAAATTACAAATCATAGTTTTTTTTTTTATTTCACTGAAAATGAAGTTTGTGAGGTTTTTGTCTTCTTCGTTGGTGTGATCTGTAGGAAAATGCAGCCATAATCGTCACTTACTGCTTTTAATAATTATATATGTTTAAAATTATATGTCCAGAATCTACCCCAGGCCTCAGACACTCCAACACTGACATTTTAGCAGCTGCCTTCCATTTTCCCGAGGACACTGTGGGCAATTCCTGGAATCCTTCTTCTTACCATGCATCTATTTCTAGGGGGCATCTTGGGGTTGTTTGCAGCATATGCAGTAGCCTTGCCAGGAAAGCTGATTCTACTCGGAGAGAAGCATTTCTCTTCTTCCTTTCTTTTTAGCCACCTTTTCCTCTTCTCCTTCTTTCCTTTTCCTTTGGTTCCTGGCTGCCCTGTGGGCTTGATCCTCTAATGACCCATGGACTTGAATTAGAACATCATCCTGGATGCTACTCAACATCATGTTGGCTCTGCTGTGAGGATAAGAAGAGTCTTCTCTTCCAATTTCCAGCACACCCCCCATACAAGAGAGACAGGAACATCAGAGTCAGAAAGAGAGATTTGAAGATGCTGCTCTGTTGGCTTTGAAGATAGAAGATGGGTCATGAGCCAAGAATACACATGGCTTCTAGAAGCCAGAAAATACAGGAACATAGATTCTGCCATAGAGAATCCAGAAGAAACAAAGCCCTGTTGGCACCTTGATTTTAGTCCAGTCAGACTTCTGACCTATGGAACTGCAAGTTAATAGATGTATACTGTGCAAACCAGTAAGTGTGTGGTTTGTCACAGCTGCAATTGGAAACCCACAAAAGCCTTCTCTTGTCATTGTGGAATGTGGTGTAAGGATGATGGACACTGAGCCAACCATCTCATTCAGGCTCTAACGTCATTTTGCTTTCCAAATTCTTGTCTCTCCTGATATTATTTCACTTGGCCCTTTTTGTTTCCAGCATAACTAGGAGTGCCATCTTATATATTTTAACAAAACTATCAAGGTTTATAACCAGACAAGAGAGGAGTTATGTGGGAAAATATATATTTATTATCCAAAAATTAATATCATATTTCCTTGTCAATCCATTTTTCCTTCTTCAGGCTAAACATTCATGGTTCTCTTCTCCATTCTTCATACAACAGTTTCTGGCCATCATTCTCTTGAAATTTCTTAGCCTAACAATACCCCCACTAAGTGCTTGGTTATCAGCACTAGACACCCAAACATAACTTAATAGATAATAATAATAATATTAGCTAAGATTTCATGAGTGTTTTCTATGAGTGAGAAATTGTTCTAAGCATTAGATAGAGTCAATGATTTAAATTTCACAACAATCCTATAAGCACTACCATTAGCCTTGCTCTAAAGGCCAGGAAACGGAGACATAGAGAGGTTGAGGAACATGCTTATGATTGTATGGCTGGTAAGTGGAATTTAAATTGAGACAGTCTTGCCCTAGGAGCTGTGCTCTTAACCATCCTGCTAGGACTGTTTACTGCCCTACTTTGGTTTTATTTAAACTAATGTTAATACAATATTTTATAGTGTTAAGGAATGAACTGCACATTTGAAGACAGCCTCTATCCTAAAGAAGACAGAATAAAAGTTGTAAAAGTCAAAATGGAACCAAATGGAAATAGTGGCAAGTCAGTGTAAGAAGAAAATTATAAAGAAAATTTAATTAGTAGTCTCAGAGAGAAAAGGAAAAATATTGCTTTGGTGAAAATGTAGACATGATACATTAAAAAGGGAATAATCAGTGAATATAAGCTCTTATAAATAAAAAAATTTAGTAACTGAAATAAAAATTAGATGGAAAGGTTGTAAGATAAATCAAGGTAATCTCTTTAGAAGTAGGAAAAAAGCTCAAGAAAATGGACAATCTGAGAGGATAAGAAAAATCGAAAATTAATGCAGAAGGACTTATATCCAACTAATGTGTAAAAGATCCTTTTAGGTCAATGAGAAGTAGAGGAAGACTTTTTTTAAAGTACATAGAATTTTTTTTTAAATCTCAGACTGAAGTATACGACAATCAAGATGAAAAAGGCCCTTTGTGTACTAAGCACAATGTTGGAATAAAGAACAAACACTGAACATAAAGAAACATTCCTAAAGGCGTTGAGAAGGGGAGACAGACTGAGCCAAATCAGTAACATGACAAATAATAAGAATCAAAAAGTGGCATCACGCTTCTTGACTTGGATTTCTACACCCAGTGAAATTATCTTTTAATAAAAGAGGAAATGAAAACACTTCCAGACTTGTATAATCTCATAACATTTACTTTCTATACTATGGAAAAAAGTTCTGTGCTCAAACAATAAAATAAACCCAGAAAGAAAATAACATGGGAACAAACTCAGAAGAGGAATTACTGGATGACTACAAAAGCAAGTCCCAGGGAAACTGCTGTGCCAGCCAGACCAGAAGACAAACATCCCAGAATGGAGTGGGAGGTAGATGGCTCAAGGTTTGGGGCCAAAGATAGATCAAGAGGGTTATCTTCTGGAAGAAACAAAGCTGACAGGTTATGTGGCAAATCGTAGAGGGAATGCTTAGCCAGAGAGTCACAAAAAAACTAACCAAATGTGAAAAAGAAGGAATTAGTAACTCCAAGGAAACACTAAAATTTGCAGGAGATAGAAAGCACAAATACAGTACTGTATTTGGCTCAGCACTAAACAGTATATTCATGGTCATGATAATGAAAAAGCTGACAATAAATTTAACCATATAATGATGATAAAACTATATTTTGGAGTATGGAGGAAGAAGAAGAAAGTTTTTTTTAAATTAAAACCTTCACCTATCATAAATAAAAAGTCAATAGATAAAGTCTGTAGATGGTGCATCTGATAACAGTATATACATATTATTTAGAAATATGAAGATAAACTAAAAAAAAAAAAAAAACAGCTGAAGGAGTTGCAAATAGATACCATTGAAAAGTAAAAGAAATGGAGTGGAGGCTTCACCAGGGGAGACATTAGACTATTTTTTAATTTGTATGCAACTTTAAAAATTCATTAATTAAAACATGAAACAAATTAAACCAAAAAATAAATGAATAAAGCAAACATCTCCAAGCATATGAACATTCTTTGCTGTATATTTGACTCTTCTATGGATTGTTGACATTTGATGCGTGCACATCACGAGCATTGCCATGTTTTCAACATTTAATAGACGAAAAGGCGTAACTTTCCAAGTTCACATCGCTGTGGTGCTAGTGGAGATGACTCATTGGCCCATTGATATCCTTTTCTGTGACTTTTTTCCACTCTTTTGCCTATTTTAACTTCTCATTGATCTAAAAGGTTCTTTCACATCGAGATGATTGACTTGTTGGCTATTATTTTCAGCAGTTAATTTTTTAAACTTTATATTTTCACATTTTAAAATATTTTTGTGTGGTCAAAACATCTGTTTTTGGA
Organism: Homo sapiens; assembly: GCF_000001405.40. Taxonomy (NCBI): domain Eukaryota; kingdom Metazoa; phylum Chordata; class Mammalia; order Primates; family Hominidae; genus Homo; species Homo sapiens. Next base: position 75,799,861 of record NC_000018.10, read on the forward strand.
ATTTCTCCTCCTGTGTGGTTCACTGTTTTCAGAGAGTCAGTAAAATGCACTTAAAAACAAAAGCAAACAGTAACAACGAAATACCAAGGTCCTGACAGTGTCAACACAGTATTTCAAAAATGCCCACTCACTGCAGGCCTCTGGCTTCCATCAAAGTGTGCTCCAACAGAAGCAGGCAGAACAGAGAGTCACTGGGCCCACTGACTGGAGTGAATCTCCACGGCCAAATCACTAGAGTTCAGGAACCAGAATAGCGGTGATAATTCACTAATGCTGACTGAACACTCATTAACAGGCAGGCACTAGTCCAAGCAACTTACCTGCTTGCCTCATCAGTCCAGGAGACACTGGAACTGGGACTTCCAGGTCTGGGAGCCTTGCTACACAACTTGTGTGCTGGGAGGGGTCAGGACAGCGGGGGTCAGGTCCTGGTGTGTGAGTCTGAAATAAAAACATAGATCATTGATCATTCTCACTGTAAATTGGGGATCATGTTTGAGGCTTAAATAATAACCTTTCAAACCATAAAACCAAAACAAAGCATTATTTGTGTTTCTCCACGGCATTCCTTTGCAATGCAACAATCGACTTGTTTAAAGACGTTGCCGCTGAGTGGATGGGGAGTTATAATTCTCAGTTCTGCTGCAGCTTCTATCACTCACCTTTTTTTTCATATTCGGAACTTGTTTTCCCACCCACAAATTATAAATATCACATGTCCCCTCTATTTGGAATGCGCTGGCATTGCTATCAGAATTCTCTTCCCTGTGTGTGAGACACCTTGCACCTCGGCTTTTCTGTGGATAAGTCACACATTTTGAGTCTCACTTAGTGCGGTCATGGCCAGATGAGAAGCGGGAGAGGATACTAGCTAAACGTACAGGCGGGCAGTCCCGCCAGCTCTTTCGTAGAAGGAGGTCGCGGAGGACGCCTAGAGAGAGCCCCACACTGGCTCCCATCCAGCCACGCTGCAGGGCAGCAGGCACGCTTCCCACTCGGCTTCTCCTGCATCGCCCCCTTTTTCATTCTTCTCCTTTTCTGCAGTTTCTGCCCCTTGGCCTCCCACATCTGACCAGTACACCTCAGCTCCATCCGTCCACAAAAGGCCTTCCAGTTCTATCTTCCCTGACCCTTTCTCCCCACACCCTCGCCTTTGCAGTCTTCTCTAGGACTTTGCTCTGAGATTTCACAGACTAGTACCTGATAAACTGTTAACTAGTGATCATGATTCAGTTGGTGACTCTCACACCACACACTTGCCTTTCAGCAGATCTGTTCAAAATTCGCCTCAGTGGTGGCCTTTTCAAGGAAGGGCTCTGCAGGCAGGCCTGATGTCCTCACCCTGTAGACGAGGGAAGCAGGTTGCAGCCTCTCCAAGGATGCTGGCGAATCTGACATCCATAGCCAGTGGAGGATCAGTGGGGTCTCCTATTGATCGGCATTTCACTGTTCCTGAAGTAGCACGATTTTCAATAGGTGCTGCTGCCAGGGATAGCTGGTTCCCAGGGTCACGAGCAACATGGCTGTACGGGAAAAGCACGTGTCCTTGGAAAGGTAAAGCGACTGGAGGGGATGGAACCTCCGGTCACGCTCATGACAAGCTCCCTCCTCATCACATGGCCCTCCAGGGTCCTGCGGATCCCAGTTCATGTTAATTTCTGGATTTTCCTGAACTGCTTCATAGTTGATGTGGCTATCACTCCGGTTTATAAACTTAAAAAGCAATATACAAATTTAAATTTTTAAAAAAGAATTGCTACTATAATGACTTCATTTTAATATATAATATATAAATAAAATAGGTTAACTAAATATAATAATGATATTAATCATATAATTTTATAATTACCTCAATTAATTATATAATAATTACAGTACATTAATTAATATAATAATACAATTATATGATCATTAAATAATTTTAATACTGACACATATATAATTTAAATAGTTTAATAAAATCCATTATATAAGAAATAAATTTAAATAGTAATTTAATACAATAAGTTATAAATACATATAATAAACAAATTTTACTATACAAATATCCCACTCCTACAAGCACAAGACAGCTTTCATATAGATCAACTCCCCAGAACGGTGCTCAGCTCATTTAACATTTAAATTAAGCACATGGTGTGAATCCCTTTAAAATCGTGCCTTTGCTGAAGTGGTTTACCCACATCCATGGCGAGGTTCCTCTGCCTGCCTCCGCTGATCATATTAGTGAAATGTCAGACGAGTTGTTTGACTGACTTGACTTTTAAAAGTCTAATTGGGTAGTCGCATTGTTTAGAGTCAAACCTGTTTTTAAATACAATGGAATTCCAAAGTTCAGAAGCAGCCACCTTCCCACTGGCTTTGGGTCTGAGCTGCCTGTGACCTGTGTGTGATGCTGCCCATGACAGGCCCTGCCATCCTGCCCTGGCCCATGGCTGACCCGCTCTCCTTGGCCAGCTGACCCAGCTCCACCACAGACACATGGCACACATCATACCAAGAGGCTGTAAAGCTTAGTTAATATTTAAAACATTTTGATGCTCAGATAAAAGGGGATTCAAGTTGTCACCAATTAGTAGGAAAAGACTAATTATTATACAGACCTATGATCCTTTATAAGTAGAAACATTAAAGGAATCTAAAAGCTATCACTTTTTATGAGAGAGCAGATGGCCTGAATTAGACCCCTAAAAGATAATGAATGTGTGTGCGTGTGCCTGTCCACGAACGCGCCTGTATGTGTATCACTAAACAGGAATCTTTTCATAAGGGCTGTTGAAGGAAAAAAGAGAGAATAGAACAGAAAACACAATGTCAATGTTGCTGTCGTCATTCTAGCCAGTATTGTCCATGGGAATTTATCCAGAAAAACATTGTCTTCTTTTCCACACCTTTAACTGCTTGGAAATATGCTTACATTTCAATTTTTCTATTTCAACAAAATTCAATCGTTTAGAAAATAAATATTTATTGAGTTCCTACTATGGTTTGAACACTCAGATAGCGCGATAAACAAACTACCCTAACTGGTTCTTCAGGAGCTTACAGTTCAGCAGCAGAAGAGAGTTGAGCACATGACATGTGGTAAGGGCTGTTATCCTATAGCCCAGTTTGGCCTCATCACCCTGATCACCACCAAAGTGCCTTCTGGTGCACACGGGAAGAAGCAGCTTGTTTCATGTCAGCCCTTGAGTGTTCTCCCTACTGGGTGTTTTTTTAGGATTTTGTTGTTGTTGTTCTGTGTTCCTTCCTGAACCTCATAGAGGGCTTAGGATCACTGTTGCCCCTGCTGCTGGTCATATCTGAAACCCCTCAGTGGACAGTCATGTGCCATGATAGAGGTGTTGTGGGACACACTGAGGGGACATCTTTCAAGAGTAGCAGTCCAACGCTGTCTTCGCCTACCACACGTGGAAACCTTTTGCTTTGTCTGCCCAGACTTCACTTTCGTACGTCATGGTGTTTCATAGCCTCTACTATAGGCTTGGGAGGTAGCTGAGGGAACTTGATGTATGGAAAAGCATACCAGAATAAGCGTGGTCCCTCTCAAAGGCCAAATGAAACTTTTGCAAAGAAGTTCAAATCTCTGCAACCCTCCAAACTGTTTTTCCCCAAGAAGGAAAGTCGCAGGACTCCTATACCTTTTATGCAAACACAGTATCTTCCAGTGGTGGCTGAGAGATGCTGAGTGCAGGAGGTGTCTGTACTTGAGTGATCTGGACTGTACTTTGTCATTTATAGTTGATCTCCTCTGAGGTCTCCATGCCAGTGTAAAGGGAGAATATTTGCTAATAATTTGTCTACATCTTCTGAAGAAACCCATTGGTTCTAACATGCATACACAAGCATACAAACACACATGCATGTGCATACACACATGTACAACATGCATGAGCATGCAGAAACACACATGCTTATGTACACACGCACACCACATGCACCAATGATTTTCTGAGATTCTTTAGCATATATCCATTAAGTAAGGGAAATATTTTCCTAATTGCAACATGATCTATCTGTTCAGTTTTCTGTCCCACAAAGGAGATGGCATTCCACATTATTACTCTGGGTAGTTTCAGACTCTGTTTGTCTTCCTGCTTTAAGAATCTGTACCCTGAGCCTGCTGGTGAAAAATAGGAAACCAATGCGTGAGCTTCACCTCTTATTTTCTTTACATTTGGACACGTCAGAATTATAGCTAGGGTATCATCAATATCTGTTTTTAAGAGTAAACTCCCAGGGACTGGATGAGAGCAATGAGTGAAGGAGGATAGTTAAGTATTCCAGAAAAAGTAGGAATAAATAATAATAACTACAAGACTGTGACCTTTGGAAAGGACTGAATTAAACTGCCTGCTTTCAATATAACTTGTTTCAATTCGATGGGTTTTTTTTCTAACTTGGTTTACAAATATAATGTTAGAAATACTATAAGTTTACTGCACAATGTAAATAGACATAGATTATTTACAAACAGGTGCAGAAATTTGAGGAATAAGGATTTAGGGTAATAAAGATTCTTTGCATTGAGTTTATACTAGTAACTGTGGGCTATAAAAATAAAGTATGGTAAAATGGTAGAGTGATTAAATTTGGCAAGAAAGAATGAATCTTTTACAAACTGAGGGTCTTTTCTCAACTCAGCAGTAAGAGCTGGTATATTAACACTTTTATACAATTACTAATGAGTTATTCTAAAATAGTGACTGAGCTTGGATTATCTGACCACAAATGAATTTCTATGCACACGGAGCTGCATTTCAGTAGTGGGGGCTGCATCACTCGTAACACCGTGCAAAGACAGTTTGCCCCGGGGAGAGGAGGGTCCTGCTTGAGGAAGCTGGACAGGACCTCTCCTTGGGCCATCATGTTCATTCATCCAGTTTTTATTTGGCCTTATTCTTCCATTAGTCTAAGTTTCTTCCACTGAGAACACATCCCACCTCTTCCTAATCCAATTCTTTCAACATTTCACCTGTTTGATGAGATATTGTAAATAATGAAGTGCATTAAGGAATGCCCCATCTGTGAGCACAGGTCTCTCCTAATCAGAGAAAAACATTCTCAGTTTTCTTTCATTCTCCTTTCCCCTCTTCATTGAATTTTATCCAGTTTCCTCTTCTTCCTCCTGACCTTCTGTGACAAATCCATTGATTGAGCTTCTCAGTTTTAAGACAATAAAGAAGATTTGTTCTTCTAAATTCTTGGTGAAAACAGAAGAAATAAAGAACATTTTTTAAAAGTTACATGAGAGATGGAAGTGTATGTAGGTCCAGTTCCAAGCTCCTAACCCCTGGTAATGCCAGATCAATGGGGGCTCTGTAAGTGACCTGAGATGAGACACTTTCAGTAGTTAAAAGTGTTTTTAGGTGATTTTAAAATAGGGCCAAAGAATAAATCCAATAGAAACAAGAAAAGGAGAACTCTGATTCTGGAATGCCCTGTGGTTCTTGAAATGTGAATAAAATTACTTCCTGAAAAAGCTCAAAAATGTTGTTAATCATTCCCCTTTCAGTCACAGTGTTTCGCAGAGCCCCATATGCCTGTCTAACAAATAGTACCATTGGCTTGAGTGACCCAAACTGAGCATAAATCCCCACACACTTCCTACATGTCAAAGTGGCCCATAAGATTTTAAAATAAACATCCTTGCTTGACAACTGCTTTGCGATTAGCTCATAGGAGCATGCCTGCTGTGTTGACTTGTTCATTCTACCGCCATTCTTTCATGGGTCCATTTGCTCTGCTCTCTGTTTTCAATTGTATATTTTATAGAATACTTGTAATCTTCATAACTCTAATGTTCCTGGTAGTCAGACATCACTGAAACCAGGATATTGTGAGTAGTTAAAAGCAATTTAAGTGAGAGTCCAAGAGAGGTGTTTCAAAGAATGTGTCGAGTCCAAGCAAACTTTTATCTCATCAATTTGTCTCTTCTCCTTTAAGAGAAGAAAGAGGATATCCAATTAAAAAGTATATAGACCTGCTTGCTAGAATGTGACATGCTAAAAGTTGATTTTAAAACTGAAGTATCATGTGAATATATCCATGCATTAATTCATTTATTTAACCCTTCTATTAGCATTTGTTATCCACCTAGTATGTAATAGACATTGTGCTTTTATGTTTTATTACATGAGAGATATAAGCTATATACCATCACCATCTGCCTTCCAGGTACTTCAAATCTGGTAGTGGTAATAAGTTACATACCCAGATAACTTTATTACAAAGTAGAAGGTAATGGTACAATAAAGATATTAATAATGCTCTTGGGTGTTCTCAAAAGAAAACACTGGGATCCAACTAGAAGAATGTGAAAAAGTCTTTATGTTGGAACTGGATTTTCCACTCAAAGAACGATCTCTGAAGAAAATAAAGGCTTCAGCAGGTAGCGATTCAGTAGGAGGTCATCCCAAAGCTACAGTAATCATACTTGGAAAGTCAGTGAGGTGGAAAGCTTAGCTGTATTTGGAAAATGTTCGTGTAACCTCACTGAGATGTGCCAGGAGATATTTTATGTATGCAAAGTTTTTGAAGAAGACATGAATCCTGACTTAGGGGAGCTTCCAGTCTGGTATAGGACATGAGGAATGAGAAACTACGTTTAGGACAGTGTGAAGCACTGTATTAGAGATCTACACAGAGAGAGAGAGGAGAGAAGAGGGGGTACAGAAAGCAATGAAGACTGCATACAGTTTTTACAGACCCAGAGGCAATAGCATATACAAAGATACAGAGATAGGTTTCAGTGGCCAGATCATAGAAGACAGACAGAGCCAGGAGGGGCAGCAAAGAGAGAGATTGGATAATTAGGTTGAGGTTAGACTGGGAAGAGACTCAAAAGCCAAGAAAAAGCATTTGGTTTCTTTACCAGGCAACAAAGGCTTCTGACCAAGGAAACAAAATAATCATAGAAAATTTATATAATTTTCTTTTTTGAAAAGAAGTGCAAATGCCCCTTTTTAACCAAAATAATATATAAAACCTCCTTCACTAAAGGCTGGGGGGGTAACAATACATAGATGGTAACACGTAGCTAAAGGATCTGCTTGTGAAGCAGTTTTAAAATGTTTGACCACAGTCAAGTACAAGGATAGCTCAGAACTCCTGAGATTTTAAGATCCACAGGGCATAAGTGTCTGTGTTTATTCATCACCAGGCCCCAGGCATTTAATTAATATTGGTTAAAAAAGTGAAGGAAGTATCTGACAAGTGAATGAAAAATAAAAATAACCCCAAAATGACTTCGATGTTTACAAATGGCAGAACAGCAAGGAAGAGCAGTGACGTCTGGGTTTGGATAGACAGCCTCGGAGCACAGGGGAGACCAAGACGCAGTCTTCTGGGTAAGGACGAGAGAGTCAGGCCCGGACGTTGCTTTCTCCTCTGGTGATCTTCACAACCAAAGGATAATAACAAGAATATATCCTAAAGTCAGAAATAAGCAGCAGATACCACCCCCAGCAAGCAAAGCCTTTGGTATGGCTTCATGTCTTCTGAACTTTTAGCAAATCTTAAGCAAATCAACAGGTAAGAATGAAGACAAAAATGGGAGCTATAATAATGGCCAAAAGTAAGAGCACGGAACATATTAATTCTGGTTATAGGATAAGAAATGACAAAAGGAGGGGTGAAAAGTAATGCTTCACAGCAGAATAAATATCGAGTGGTTGATTAATAGATTCAGCAAAAATGGCATGTAAATACACATAATTATTAAGGAAAACAGTGTAAGAAACCCTGTTACTGGCTTAAAAATATCTGTGGCCAACCAGGCACAGTGCCTCATGCCTATAATCCCAGCATTTTGGGAGGCTGAGGCAGATGGATCACTTGAGGTCAGGAGTTTAAGACCAGCCTGGCCAACATGGTGACACACCATCTCTACTAAAAGTACAAAAATTAGATGGGCATTGTGGCCTATGCCTGTAATCCCAGCTACTTGGGAGGCTGAAGCAGGAGAATCGCTTGAATCTGGGAGACGGAGGTTGCAGTGAGCTGAGATCACGCCACTGCATTCCAGCCTGAGTAACAGAGCAAGACTCCATCTCAAAAAAAAAAAGGAAGAGAAAAAACACCTTTGGCCTCTCTGAAGCTGGAAACCCCATATCTGTTGTCTTTGGTTCCCAGCATTTAGCATGGTCCCTTACTAGTCACTCAATAAACAAATAGCAAATGCAAATGAATTTCCTCAGCTGCATCTTCTGTTCTGAATTTACTTAGAGGTAACAGGGCGAGGTGGTGGTGTGGCCACCTTGCCACCAGTCTCCCAGGGTCCAGGGCTGACCTCAGAAGATGGCCCATCCTGGGGAGCCCATCTGCCATTTCAAGATTACGGCAGTAAGCCGGAGATAGTTGTTTTGCTTTTCACTTTATGATTTAATTTTTTTCTGCTTTGTGGCTTGCTAGGGTGCTCATGAAAGCAAGAGACTAACACAGCTCTGGACAGAGTCAGAAAGAGTGAAACTGTAGGCCTTGCCCGCCTTTCCCAAATGCACTGCCAGGATTCCCAGTTGTGTGCACCAGACCTCAATGTTGACCCGAAAGGCCTTTCCAGAATGTGTCCTGCTGGCTGGGGTGACTTGCCAAATGCCACTTGGGTTTGAGAAGGCTGACCAGGATGCACAATGCATGGGATGAGGTTGCACAATCAATGTCCCTTGACACTGAGACTTCACTTGGCTCTAACTCTATGAGATAAAGTAATAGGAAAGCCTGAAACCGGAGTTCTCTCACCTGAGAACAAATAGCGGTTCTAGTGAATTCTCATCCTTGACACTGGCAGTGTGGCTCAGCTCTCCAAACCCCATCCTGCCTTCTGTCCATCCCCAGCTAGGAAAAGCAAAGCCAGCCTGGGTCACCTTGTCTGGTGCAGAATCCATCGGGCTTCACAGCCTCTGGCATCTGCACAAGTCTCCTTTAAGCCGGAACTTGTCTGTCACTATTTCCATGGTGGAATCATTTCATCTGTAATACTTTTCCATCCAGGGCTGGAGAGGAGGCGGCTGCAGCTTTACCTGCTGTTCAAACCAGGCACGGTAGAGAGACCATTTTTCTTTGTGTTTGAAACCAACAGGAGGACGAAAAGGCCCCATAAATACAGCCAATCAGGAGTATTTTATATCTATTGCTGTGATGAGAAAGCCCACCTGTAACGAAATAGAAGAGGGATGCAAGGAAATAAGAAAAAAAAAAGAAGTAAAGGAAGAAAGATTTAGGGAAAAAAGGAAGCAGGGTTAATCCTTCATGTTGAAAGCTCCTGTGGTTTATAGCAAAATAGGGCTTTGGACTGTCAGGGCTATTAGTCAAGGGTTAAATGTCACTCAAATCACGCCCGTTATGAATTGGAAAGTGCGTGTGTGTGTGTGTGTGTGTTTGTGATGTGCGTGTGTGTGTGTGTGATGTGGCCGTGGGAAAAGGATAGAGATTCTACTTTTTTATGCATTTCAAATTGAGCCACGCTGGCCTGGAGATGACCCGCCACACGATTTTTAAATTATCTCCGTGTGCGCTCTGCTTGTTTTGGAAATACCCTAAATAAAAATAATGGACTGTCTTTTAATAAGTCTCATTGTGAGGATTCCACATATCAAACAAAGCTGTGCAGCTTGGAGGCAAACGGCGGGCGTGTGTGATCTCCTGGAAGAGAGACAAATGGCAGTGTGGGGAGCTCCATCCAGGGAACGCTGACAAGGAAATGGCATTCTGAAACTGACACATCTGTCAGGGCGGAGGATATTGGCACCTGTCATGCAATTTCAGTCATGACTTTTAATAAAGCTGCTTTCCCTTAGGTAAAATTGGAACTTGACTGTAATATTAGCTGCAAGCACGTCTTGTGTTCCCCTTCAGAGCGCTTTTGTACGTGAGGCGGTTCCAATGAACCTGAAAGCTGAAGTAATGATGTTTACCAGCTTTCCTTGCCTCCCCAGAACTCGGGATTTGAAGAAAGAAAAAAAAAGATGCTGCACTGAGTTCTTTTCTTCCTTTATTTTTGTTCCTCCTTGCTTCCCTCTTTCCTTCCTTCCTTTCTCTTTCTTTCTGTCTCTTTCTTTCTTTTGCAAAATGTCTCCCTTCACCAATTAAAGCTGGTTTCCGCGTTTATGCTCATATCACTTGCCCCTCTCCTCCCCCATTGCCTCCTTCCGCCTTTCCTCTGCTTTGACTGGGTTGTTGTTTGAGTAAATTTAGCCCGGAGAAGTATGTATATCATAAAAACTGGGTTGGGATTTGTTGGCTGTCAGTCAATAAATCAGTCAGAGTTTAATTACCAGGCATGTGAGGGGCGGCGGTGACAGGCACCAGCTCTAGCAGAGACCAGTTCTTTTGGGACAACCACTATTAAAAAAAAAAAAAGCTAAAAATGAGATCTGTGTGTGTGTGTGTGTGTGTGTGTGTGTGTGTGTGTGTGTGTGTGTGTGTGTTAGAAGGCTAAGGGGCAAAACAGAGAGACCTAAAGTTAAGAGTGCATCAACCAAAGAGAAATGAAACATTAAGAAACCCTGCAGCTGCAATAAACTCTAAAAAGTTTTGGTTTCAAGATGTAAAGTTTTAGGAATTATAGTAATAAAGCATTCTTTCATAAAAGGTTATCTTTCATATTATGCTTGAAACATCACTGGTTGAGTGTAACATGAGGTTTCTACACTAACATATCATAATTTAATTATGGCTTTGTTCAACGCAAAGAAACATTTTGTTTGTAATCTATTGAATAAAACAAACCCACTAAACTGAAAACCTCACGTGTCACCTCCCCTCAAAAACATCGAAATTGTATAACGAATGACATCATGTGTTCAATGGTGATTCACAAAGTGGACGCCAAGTGTGTGGTGGATGCTTCCCCTTATTGAAGATTCCCAGCACTGATGGACAACTGCTTCCGCCCTTACTCTCCCTCTCCCACCCCCAATCAGCACTTATGGTCAAGATTCCAGGTCGAATGACCCTGAAACAGAGTCCGTGTTTTCTTTTTCTTTTCCTTTTCAAAGGCATTTCACACTCATCGTGGATTTTATTTTTGACTAGTTATAAGAAATGTCATTTCTGCCTGTCCTCTGTCACGAGGCAGTATCTGGAGATACTGCAGGATATTTTGACTGAAAGGATGTTCTATTTTCTTTTCTCTGTTCTCCAGTGTTATGTCTCTGTTTGTTTATTTGAAATCCTTTGATCTTTCTAAGGGATTGTGGGAATCTTTGACTAGAAGTAATATATCTCTGACTCAGAAGGCCAACTTCTTGGCTGGGAGTAGGGAAGAAAAGGGAGAAGTCAGAAAGTCCCGATCATCCAGGATGGCAGAGAGAGCCTATTGTATGAGTCTTTTCTCAGAATTAAAACTTCACAGGATTTCACCAAGTTATCCTGGATCTTATCCTCCTTACTGGAATTCCTTTAGGATGATAGCATTGGAAGGATGTGCTCATCAACCTAGCTCAAAAGCCTGAGATTTTTGTAATTATGTTATGCAGGTTTAAGACAAAAGACCAGGCGAGATGAGTGGTGAAGCCATGAAAAAAAATGACACGCACAACCAAAGCAAAACCAGCAGGCTTCTGGAGTTTGCCAATTCTTCTTTGTGAAGAAAACGTCTGGCAGTTTGCCTAAAATCTTAGCCGTGAACAGCTGCCACTCCAGTTTAAATTGCTGTTAAAAAACAAAACCAAAAAGCAAAACAAAACAAAACAAAAATCTATACCACCTGTCCAGAAAATTGCCTGTGCCTGGAGTCCCGCAAACTGAAAAACCGGAGCGCACACCCCTGCTTCCCTTCACTGTTAGGTCGAATCTGTCCTAAGCCTCAGTTTACCTAGCTTGCAGCCCAAATGCCAACAATCTTGGGGCCAAATAACTTTCTCTGTGGTTTCAGTCTGGGTAGCAGTGACCACTTTCAATAAACTTAAGAGTGAGAGATCTTTGTTTAAACAATGAATGTTATGAATTCTTCGGTGCCGCATCACAAAGCCCAGCACCTCCGTGAAGTCCATAAATGTCTCCCCAAACTACCCCAGGACGTAGAGTTAAAGAACCCAAATCTGCCCTAGCGCACCCCTTGTTTGAATACTTCACCCCATATTAACAACCTTTATGTCCAAACTTAATGTAATATTTTAACCAGGCTTGAATTAGAAAAAGTAATAATAATGACATTTTCTTAAAGGAGAAAAGAACATGAAGATAGTAAGGTGAAAAAAAAATAACTAAATACTATTTTAAATTATCAAAAGTAGGTGCAATCTATATGGTTTGACATTTCACAGTATCAAAAGTTTTCTGTGTTTTGGCCCCAACAGAATTCTTACCAGCCCCCAAAATTGTGTATAAAGGGAAGGCAGAGATCATCACCCAGACCCTAGTACCACAAATGTAAACATGTTCTCAATAATACAAAGACAGGCTAGTCACATCACTCATTTAATCTCACTATTTCCGTTGGATACTATTTACTTGCATCTGCAAATAAAACAGAAAACAAACACTGAAATAATTATTAAGTCCATAGTTTTCTATGGCTTCCAAGTCATCAATACCACATAGAGAAGAAATGTCTAATGGAGATTTTCTGTGGGACACCTTTCATCATTGGGTTCCAGAGCAGAGTAAACATTAAACCACATCTTTATATTATCTGATGTTTAAGGATCTCCAGGTGGGGTTTCCACTAATGGAATAACATTCCTGCATGGCAGGTGGAAACCTTCATCCCGCACCCTAATGTGCTGGAGCAGGGGCTCATTCCCTCTTGTTCTCTTAAGGAGGAAAGATTTCACTGACACGCTGTGTCTTTAATTTTTAGAGACCAGTTCTCCGGGGCAGGATGAAGGGCCTCCACAAAGATGCCTATGGAATTGTTGTCCACGAGTCCCTGAGGTTCTGCTGCCCAGCCCCCACCCCAAGCCCCCTTGGGGCCCAGCAGTCCCCCGCTGTAGTTACGGCTCACACTCGACTCACTCACTCACGTGCTGCTTCACTTGTTCACGGAGGCAATCCACAAATTTTGACTAAAGACTTTCTTGTGCTCCAGGGAAATACAGTTGTAAACAAGAAAGGCAAAGCCCCTGTTTTGAAAGAGCTGACATTCTCATGGGGATAAACTGAAAACAAACAGCACACAAGCCAGAAAAATATCAGATGGTGACGAACGCTATGCAGAACATTCAAAGACTGTGATGTGATAGAAAGCTCCTTTGGTTTTCTGGTCAAGAAGGATCTCTCTGAAAAGGCGACATTTAAATGAAGGAGTCAGATGAGTGAAGAACATTCCAGGTAGAGAGCACAGCTTGGAGTTTTGGGAAATGAAATGAAGGCTGGTGTGTTTAAAGTGTAATAAATAAGAGCAAAGCGACATAAGATGAGTTAGGATACGAAGGCAGAAGGGAGACCATGCAGGGTGTCTACACCATGGGTAGTAGCTTAAATTTTCTTCTAGGTTTTGAGAAAAGCTATTGAAAGGGTTTAGGAGACAGACATGATTTGATTTGATTTAAGTTTTAAAAGCATTACTCTAATATCTGTGGGTATAAAGTCATTAAGTGGCTCAAAGTAAAAACAGAAAGACCAATGAGGGGTCTCTTGCAATCATCCAGACAAAGGATGGCTTGAGCTAGGATGATAGGAATGAAGATGGTGAGAAGTGAACAGAGTCAGGACCTGTTTTAAAGTAGAGACAAGAGGAATCCCTGGAGGACTGGATGATACTGAGGGACAGAGAAGTATATCATCCAAAGTGGGCTAAGCTATGCTGCCTAACAAATAATACCAATATCTTAATAGCTTAAAACAAAAATTAACTTATCCTTCTTGATCCATGTTCATGGAAAAGGCAGCAGGGGACTGTGTTTCATCCTGTCCCCAATGAAAGACCCAGGCTGATGGAGACTTCCCGATTTGAAAGGTGAGTAGTAGCTGAATAAGGGCTGAAAGAATATGAAGAATCCTGCACTAGCTCTTCGATGCTTCCATGCAGTGGTGATGCCTATCCCCTCCACTCACAGCTCATTGGCAAGAACAAGTCACTTGGTCATGTCTAATATTGAGGGTCGAACAAGTGTCATTCTCTATGGAAATAATAGAAGGAAACTACTGGTGAACATAGTTAATATCTATCACAAGAAGTGTCAAGGAAAATCCCTATATTTTTGATTCGAGCAATGGCATAGATGGTGCTACCATTTACTGGGGAGGTGGAGGACATCCTCCTATAATCCCTTACCATGATTGTAGTTGTTGGTTCAACACCCATCTTATCAGAAAGAGTATAAACTACAAGTTCTCCAGATCACTGGTGTCCCAGACTCTCTGAACCCAGCACTGCGACTGGTGATAAGACATATTTGGTGTCTTTATGAATGAATTAATGAACCAAAGAATACAAATAAATCATTAAGCCATTTGGTTGACGTTTCAAGGCTGACAGACAATTGCACATTCATTTTTCCTCTCTGAAACCCATGAAGAAATCCACCATGTACCATCGGCAAGGTCCCAGGGACACAGGCTGATTCATAGATGAGTTGCCAGCAGCTGTGGATTTTCCCAGGTCATCAGTAGCCATCTTGAGGTCTTATGCTCTAGCTCATGATATCTGCATAATTTTTGGCAATTTATTTGAATGCTTCAGATTACCTCCCTGGATGCTGGTTTAATTCTCAATTTTAGAGTCAAATGCATTTCCAGCTTCCTCTAAGAAATACTTTGGTTACCTTGGGTCCCCAAGGGTCAACATAGGCCAGGCTGGTGCTCCCCTCATAGGACAGTGAAGGAGGTAAAAGAAGTCAAAACAGTCTGCTGAGATTTGAGTGTTCTTCACAAGTCAAATCCTAGGCTCATCAAAAGTTTGGCCAAACATGGAAGGACACAATAAATACCACATAATTATCAATCAATTTATCAACAAATATTGACTGGCCTATGTTGAAGCATGTTATGGGAGATAAAGGACAGATAAAACGTCATCCTTACATTAAAAGATATGGCCTTATTTTACAACCCAGTTAAAAAGAAAATTCTAAAAATTCTTACAGAATTTCAAGTGGGGAGAGAGTCCTGTGGCTGGAACCCTGAAGATGTGAGCTTTGGCTGGGATGTGATTTGAAAAGATGAATGCCATTGAGAAAGGTATTAAAGGTGGGGAAACATAAGTACAATCGCAGAATCAGGAAAATCGTGGTAAATTTTGGTCAGAGTCAAGTAGTCTCAGTAGTTTCTCTAAAGAATAGAGTAAAAATCAATCCAGCTAGTATAAAATGTTCTAACAAATCAAAGGAGTGCCTCGAATGCCAGACTGGGGCATTTGGACTTGGTCTTGCCAGCCTTGGACCCCTGACCGATTTAGAGTGAAGGGTTCACTTGAACTACATCCAGACTGAAAGCTCCTGAGGGCAGGGGCTGTGTTCCTTGAACCTAAGCACTCACAGCATCTCTCAGAGAAAGAGGCACACAGAGGTACACGAAATCGTGATGCATGAATAACAGCATATGAATGAACACATGGATGATTGAATGGGGTTTACAAAGATTAATGGTGTGGCAGTAGACATTCTAATTGGGGTAGGCACAAACTCATGGCAAGAAAAACCAGACATTGTTGGAAGAGTCTAGAGGTGAATTTATAAGTCCCTCACAGGAATTGACAAATGCTCAGATACTGTCTGTCTCAGTTCAGTGAGCTCCTGGCTAAAGATGGGTGATATTTAAAATTGCAACTCAATATTCCTTCTAGTTCAATGTCAGTGCAACTTGTTATAAAGACACAGAACAGGATTTGAAGAAATAACTTGTAAAAATAAAATTATATCATCAGAATTACTAATACCTTGACTACCTGCACAATAGTAACCTTGAATCCCAACACTGTATTCAGTCTAATAAAAACATTTATTGAGTAATGTTAAATTCACAGGCCTTATAGTTGAACTCTTTTTAAATCTGTGATATCAATGTAGGTACTTTCTCAAGAAACCCAAAATACATTTTTGATATTCAGGAATACTAAAATCAAGTTAATGTTTGAGTGGTATGTTAATGTGTAGTTGCTTACTTGCAAGAACAAAAATACAACTGAAACTAGCCTAGGGAAGGTATGTGCTCATATAAACAAGCTGAAGTCAGGGCAAGGGTGCAGTTAAATAAAGTTGCATGCAGAGGTTTGAGGATGTGAGACCTAGAACTCAAACGCCACCAGCTCCTCTTGTTCTCTTCCACCAAACCTCCTTGTTCTGTATGTTAACTCCATTCCTTCATGCTACAGACCAGCTTCTTGCACTCTAAGGAAAACCTGGCAGCCAAAAATCCTAGGCTTTTACATCTCCAGCCCTGGGAGGAACACCATCACTTCTCCACGCTCTAATTGGCTAACAGGCCAACATTCCAACTCCTGTGGCCAATCATCTGTTACCTGGAGATGTAAAGGAATATGATTGGCAGTGGTCATTGAAGCCACAGGGTTGAGGCTTTTGGGTGATGAGCAGAAACCTTTCTCAGGAGAAGAGCCATGGCTGTCTTCCGCCATCTCACTGTGCTGTAGACCAACAGGAGGCTGCTGCTGTCCTTATTTGCTCTGCAGAGATTTCTGTTTTTAACCCCATGTCTTGATAAGAGAATGCAGGTGCATTAGTTTCCTAGGCCGCCATAACTGACTACCACTGGGGGACTTAAACAAGTGAAATTTATGCCTCTTGGTTCTAGAAGTTGGAAGTCTGAGATCAAGGCAGGATTAGTTCCTTCCCAGGGATATGAGAGAGAAGCTCTTCCAGGCCTTTCTCTGAGTTTCTCGTGGGCTCCCGGCAATCTTTGGTGCCCTCTGGCTTGTAGATGCATCCCCCATCTCTGCCTTCAAGTTCATATGGCATCCTCCCTGTATGCACATCCATCTCTGGGTCCAAAGTTCCCCTCTCTACTAGCTCACAGTCGTATTGGATTAGGGCCCCCCCGATGACCTTTAAACTTGATTATCTCTGTAAATAAGGTCACACCCTGAAGGACTGGGGATTCAACATATCTTTTTTGGGGAGGACACAGTTCAGTTCATAAAAGAGGGTGAAAGACATTTCTGCTAAATAAAATAGACTTGTTGAGAATTAATTCTAACCAAGCCACTTGGCCTCTAAATGTCTTCTTCTCAATCCTCTTTCATTTGTTAATGTCATGTGGTCTTTAGTATTGCTATCTGTGTTTTAGGATTTTTTTTTAAACAGATGTTAAAATTGTCAATTTACATTCAACTCTGGCAAGTATAAATTATCTTTTAGTTTTTGACTGTTACCAAATACAAAGTAAGTATACATTTTTACAAATCTATGTACAATCAACATAAAACGTATTATTTATAATTTTTTCAACAAAACTAGTTTTTCTTGAGAAAATTTCTCAAATGGACTATTGGATATTTCCCCATCTACTCTCTAAATTCTCAGTACATGCAATCACTGTAGTATACAAGGTTAAAATGGAGTTACAACTTATTGTAATCAAATATTGAATCTCTTTTTAACACTGTTATGTTATATCAAAGTAGGTATTAAAGAATGAAATTAAGAGATAAATTACAATCAAAGGTGTTATTCATTCTTATAATTTGTGAAGAGAAGAAAATTTGGTCTTCCTAAGAAAAGGTATCATCCTCAGGGATTGGTCTGAAGTTTTGTTTTAAAATAATGTCATGGTTTGATGCATCTGTAAAAACCATCTGTGCTTCTCCTGTGAGCCACTGGGAAGACTTAGTGGCATCATCTGAAGGAATTCCTGGAGACCAGGCTCACCTGTTTTGCACTCAGAAAATTTCAGTATTAATCGGTATTTATTTGGGAAAGGCTGTGATGGCCCACCGTGGTGTATGCTGCCTGTATACATATAAACACTGATGTGTCTTTCCTTTATTCTCTAAGTGACAGTGGAAGAAAGTGTGTTGGAGATGTACTGACATCAGTATATTGTTACAATATGAGTAACAAGACAGCCCCCTGACAGGTGGGGCTGTTCCATTTATAACAATCACACTCCCCTTTCTTCCACACTCAAAGGACGAGGGTGCACAGCGGGCACTGGGAGCAAATGTGGAAACTGAAATTTGGCAACGACACATCATGTTCTGGGGGTCCCCTGTAAATGTGCACTCGTGTTCTGGTGGCAACCTCGGGGACTGACAACCCACCATTCCGTCACCTCCACTGCAGTAGAGGAGGGCAGACCCACCCCCTGTGCACAGGTGACTGCACACAGACAGTCGTGAAGAAATGAATTGACCCAGCAGGATATCGTCAGGTGCCAGAGACTCCAGCACCAAAGACGTGAAACCCAAGCTTTTTAAGAGAATATTGCACCTCCAGCTTTTACTGTGTGTTTTCTTCCATTACGTTTCAGTATCAAGCAAAACAACGCTTCTTGTTAATTGTCTGTGCTATTATTTCATCAGAAGCAGAGCCAGATATGGGAAATGCATTCTGCTCCTCCATTTCACCACAGAGGAAGAGCTGCCCTGAAAGGTGAAAGAGAAGCTACCAGGGTCTATGGGACTTGCAGGACATGAGAATCTGCAGGACACTGCTCCCAGAAGACCTGGGAGGGCACAAAGGAAGATGTTCTCTCAACAGTTTTCCAAGCAACGATACAGAGATAAAAAGGTCAGCGTCTGGCAGCCCCCTCTAGCATATGCACGTCTATTTATGAAGACACTTAGCCAGGATTTAGTAAGTTCACTGCAAAGCTCCAGGGGCGCCTGTCTCTTTAAATCCGTCTCTTCCCAAGTGAAATTTGTGGCCCTGATGAATGGCAGAGCAGAGTCATCCATAAAAGGGCAGAGGAAAATCACATTCATTTGCATACAGTAATTATTCTGTGAATCAGGCCACCTTTATTGCTGGCAGAAAATACTGTCAGCATCACTCTATAGATCACATTTGAAAATCTAACAGCTGAGGAAAGTAATTGTTTGGAATCCATGTGGTCCGGCACTCCTGTGGCCGCAGGTCAGCGATCATGTTTCTGGGTGGACAGCAAAGTTTCTAGGTGCCTGTCAAGCCCTCCCTGCAGTGCCTGTATCTGCTCAGAGGAGTTTCCCTGGAGACTGGTCATGGCTCTGTTTTCAAAGAATGAGTGTGAGCACAGGAGTGAGCTGGAACCCAAGGACCTTAGAACCACCCCTCCACTTGTTAGAGTTGGCATCCCCTGTAAGTCACGCCAGGGCATTGACCTCCCTTCCCTAGGACTCGCCACCCTGCCCATGTCACCCCATAGTGCACACAACCACCAACACCACCACACCTCTAACTCCAGCTGGCTCGGCCTCGCCAAGTGTGCAGTAAACAAAGATGTGGCCAGTGCACCTCTCTCCCTGATGTGATGGAGAGGAAGAATGAACATGGTAACTTTTCATGGCCCTTGAATTTTTGGAAAGTAGGGGGAATTGAGGTGGAATAGATGAAAAGCAGAACCAGCAGCCCTGGGAAAGAATAAATGCATTACTTAAGGGGTGGTGGAAGGACACGCAGCATGTATTTTAATCTCTAGAGGAAACCTGTGAAGAAATCTTTCCATTCAGAAAGAAGGGTTTGCAGCAGGCAAGGTTGAAAGAGTTAGCAAGAATGGCCTAGAGCAGGAGGGCTCAAAAGGAAGTCAGAAGCAGGGAGACATATAGGTCTTGGGACTGAAACAGGTGCTTTAGATTCTGGCCATTTCCATTTTTGCCTGTAATGTAAGGTTTCCTTCTAGGTGGTTTAAGTTTCAAGATGCACCAACGTAGCCGGGGCAAAGACTCATAGAGCCTGAGGAGTAGCCCCATGAACAAAGGATTTCCCTTGACGCTTTGTTTTATCTTTCCTACACCTAGGTCCAAAGACCTGCTGTAAAACCAGAGGAAGATAAATGCATATCAAAAATTCAAGTAAGACACTTGATGTAGAAAAGAAAACATTTGAAATACTGTTAGCTGAAGGGCAGTGTGAAGCCACTTTACCGCCACCAGGAATTCACTTGGAAAGTTAACAGGGGGAGAAAAGCAGTTAGCATGGTGCTGCTGTGCTCATTTTACTGGAAGAAGGGCTGTAACTAGAAGTCTTAAACAAGTGTCATTCCAGCCTGAGTGCTTAGGTTGAGGTTTGGGTTGGATAAGTTACGTGAAGATAAATGTTTATCAAAGAAGGTTTAAATTCTCTGTGACTCTTTTATCATTTTTCTTTCTTCTTTCACCCTTATTCTTCCTATTTAAAAAAGCACTTTTACTGTGTGGATAAACCTTGAAGACATTATGCTAAGTGAAATAAGCTGGACATAAAGGCACAAATACTTTATGATTTCACCTATATATGATTTCTAGAGTAGGAAAATTCATAGAGTGGAATGCTGGTTGCCAGGGCCTGGGAGGAGAAGAAAGTAAGAAGCTGCTGCTTAATGGGTACAGAGTTTCAGGGAAGAGAAAAAGCTCCAGAGATGAATAAAACACCACTGAATTGCACACTTAAAACTGGTTGAAATTACATATATTGTACAGCAAGACGGGCTTGGGTTTGGTGGAGGAAAGGCAGGCACATCTTCTCCGAGAAGCCTCGTTTTCTCTCTGATATGCAACAAGGTCATGAGCCGGTGGTGTACAGGGAAATGGGTGTTAGGCTGGAGGAAAGAGTAAATTGTAAAATCGTCATTGCAGAGAATAGAAGGCATTGTAGGGTCCTCTGATGATTCTGAGTGCCCTTTAAGATTTGTTGTAAATTTAACGTGAGTCCAGTTTGCATGGTTGAATGATTTTTGTCTTCAGCAATATTTAGGTAGAGAGCTTTTAGAGTACTAATATTGCTTCCAAGGAAGAATGCAGCAGGGATATTAAGGATGATTTTAAGGTGCACAGAAAATAAGGTGGATAAAGAGAGAAGTGAGGGTGTGAAGAGGACTTGCTGGTGGAGAAAACCACTGTGGTCAGTAGACAGGTGCGGAGCCTCCACGGAGGTCAGGGTGCTGTTGGAGAACAGTCAAGAGGAGTATGTCAGAGAAGAGAATCCCTAGAGGCAAGATTTCTAAGGTAGTGAAGCTGCCAGAAATTACACAGCTTCAAACAGGCCCATGTGACTGGCTGGCTGAGCAAATAGAATAAAAAGATGGTTTAGCTGAGGGTTGAGCCAGGAAAGGTGAGCATGGGGAGTTAGCTATGTGGACGAATGCTCAAGCTGCCACCCATGATGACAGTTGCCATCATGGAGAGAAAATGAGTGTTCCAAGTCCTAAATCCATTAATGAGGGAGAGGAGTTGCTGGGGGTTTGGAGGATGACTGCAAACATGGTGGCCAATAACCGGTGTCTCCAATAAGATAGGAGTTTGAAGTAGGAGAAATGATCTTAAGTTAAATAGGGAGCAAAGAAGACACCTGTCTGCCTCCAGTATTTGAGGTCTATAAGATAAGGAAAAATATAATCCTTGATTTGAGACCCCTGTTCAGGGGCATGCTAGTTGCAGGGAGCAGTAAGTTGAAGAATATGTTCAGTCAAGCAGGTTGTGTAGGGGCCCCCAGACCACACCACATGTGAACACAGAGGAGACACAACATCCATTGGATAAGCATCCAGGGTGCAGACCTTGCAGTTCACATCCCAAAGAAAGGCACATCTGGATGAGGACACACCAGGCCACACCACAGGAAGTCCTCAGCCATGGCTCCTCTGCCTGCGCCACCCTACCTGCAGGCGGTGCTGAAAACACTCATCCAGAACAGGAATTATCTTGCTTCCTGAGAACGTCTTAATCTGACCCGAGTTGAGTTGAAGGCATTTGCTTACCAAAGCCGCTGCCTCAGCAAGAGGTCTTGTGTTCTTTAGACAGGTGAACAAGCTCAACACAGGGCCACAAAAAGAAGCTGGAGGGTCAGTCTTCAAGGACGATGGATCTGACTTCTCTGCAGTGGTTGTGGTTCCCTAGGCTCCACTAAGGTGGATTCTGAGCTCCAGAGAACACAATGGAGGAATAGAGAGGGCCTGAGGTTTGACAGGCTGAGTTGTAGGAGGATTAACCAAGCTGCATGGTACTAAATCTAGTTTTCTGTGATTAATAATGTAAAAAGATTGATTTACAAATTAACCTGATGTGAGGTGTGATTAGATTAGACGAAGGGTCAGCTTGCCATTATTACAAAAAAAAAAAGACTTTAGAATTTACTTCTTACTCCAACTAAGACCCAAGACTCCCTGAGAAGGTATATGCCAAATACAATACACAGGTATACGCCTGTGACAATACTCCAAAGTCACAGGTGCAGAGGGAGCCAGAAGCCCATCAGTTGGAAATGAGGTTGAATGACCATCAGGTCTATGGGTTTCCACCAACCAGAGGAATCTTATCTAAGAGCTCTGTGATCAAAATGCATTGGCTTCATTAGAAGACTCTGGTCAAAGTCTAATTTTTTCCCATTTCTCACCCATCTTTGTCTTCCTTCCTAGTAGAGCTAAACAGTTCACTTTGCACATACTGAGCATTTAATGAATATGTAAACATTCAATAAATAATAGCTAAAATGTAAGTGATTGATGGAGGAGGGGGGAAGAACAAGAAAGGCAAAAGTCATGCCACCAATGAACAAATATCAAAGACCGTACTATATTTTAGACTATATACAAAATATTTTTTCAAATTTTAGTTTCAATTTTACGTGGTACTAATGGTTATATTGGTTCATACTGTATCAGGGCAACAAGAGGTTAGGATGTAAATTTTCTCTACAGAATTTTATATGCCAGTCACAGTCAGAAATTCCTACCATCTATTTTCTTTCAAGTTTCTTCTGTATCACATGAATTTTAATGCAATAGAAAAGAATTGACTCATCTGTGTGCGGTGGCTCACGGCAGTAATCCCAGCACTTTGAGAGGCCGAGGCGGGTGGATCACTTTGAGCTCAGGAGCTCGAGACCAGCCTGAGCAACATGGTGAAACCCCATCTCTATTAAAAATACAAAACTTAGCTGGGCGTGGTGGCACGCGCCTGTAATCCCAGCTACTCAGGAGGCTGAGGCAGGAGAATTGCTTGAACCCGGGAGGTCGAAGTTGCAATGAGTGGAGATCACACCACTGCACTCTAGCCTGGGTGACAGACGGAGACTGTGTCTCAAAAACAAACAAACAAACAAGAAGAATTGGCTACATTGACTTAAAACATTCCCATTTATCATGATAGTGATAAATTCCCCACATGTGAAATACAATATTTGACAGCACTGGGCCTATCTCAGGCGTGCTTGGAATATTCTAGTTCTGTAGCAAGTTCCCCTTTCTCCCTTTCCTGAGGAGCCTCTCTGGATACCCTCATGTTGCCCGATAGGGAAGTTTAAAGTACTCTCTGGAAAGTTCCCCAAGTCAGCCAAGTTCATTAATACATTAGGCCTAAACATGGTAGGCACATTCACTGTTCAGAGTATTAGGTTCCCAAAGAGGAACACAGAATTCAGCACTTTTCACATGGCAGAGCCCTCTAAGGGTCAGGGGGAAACCCAGTTAGTTCTTGAGGCCTTTTTTGACCTGGTTCTCTCTCCTGTTTCATTTGCTTCCTGAGTGACTGCATGCCCTCCATCCCTGGGAGGGGTAAAGGAGAATGCTGACACTTCTGAGCTAAAATTCCCTGTTATGTCTCTCCCCTGCCAGATCCAAGCACAGCCATGGAGGTGCTGGAAAAAGTATACAGAGGTTTCTGCTTCGATGTTTTTTGTTTTGTTTTTTTCTCTTCTGGCAAGTGGGGCCCCTTCAGGGTTCTGCTGTTCATTAAGGATCAAACTGCCAATATGGGCTTGCTCAGATTAGGCCTTTATACAACTGTCCCGATACCAGTGTTTGCATTCCTCTTCAACTGAAAATTTGTCAGAGAAGAAAGGCATTAAACCTGTCACTGCAGATAAAGATCAGATGTTTGATTTCAAACAGAAGAAGCAAACACTCTACCATGGACTCCATTAACTCTTGAGTACTTTGCTCA
This sequence comes from Homo sapiens, assembly GCF_000001405.40. NCBI lineage: Eukaryota > Metazoa > Chordata > Mammalia > Primates > Hominidae > Homo > Homo sapiens. The sequence continues at coordinate 75,823,811 of NC_000018.10, forward strand.
GGATAATGTGGAGGACTAGACCAGACCTGGGAAGTGGGAAATAAATCCAAATTTCACCACCATTTTAGTAGTTACAGGGGATATTGGACTTTGAGCAAAGATATGGGGGAAAGGAACTAAATTGCAAAACCTTTCCCATGTTCTTCCTTTGTTTCTTTTTATTACAAATGTGATTTCACAAAACAAGTAAACCTAGTATATTTTATCTGAAAAATAAATCAGGTTCTACCACTTACAGAAAACTAAGCGTTTGGGAAGATGGTTTTGGAAAAAGATTAGACGTTAAAAATTTAAGCCATTTTGCAATACCCTCATATAATCATTAGAAAATCAACACCATGTTGGTAAATCAAATGAATATCTTCAAAAACCTTGCTATCATTGTTATATATATTTTACTACCATTGAAATAAAATCAATGCATTTCTGTATTTCATTTGATAATATACACGTAGTTGTCTGTGACCTTAACTTAAACCTTGAATTTATATGGCAGCTATTTCCAAACGGTCTAATCACTAAAAAGATTAATATTCATAATATTTCTGTGACAAGCTATAGGACAAGTATTATTATCCCCATTTTATGGATTCAGACACTGGGGCAGGGAGAGGTTAAGTGACATGCTGAATGTCACAAAGAAAATTAAACTCTCAAATTTAGTGCACTTTTTATTATGCTATTTCTGAAGAAAGGTGTAAGATAGTAGACCAGAAGTCAAGATTCCAGGGCTCTAATCTTGACTCTGGTACTGTCTCATCATGTAGCCTTAGGCAAGTCATTTAACCTCTCTGCAGCTCTGTCTCAACATTAGGTAAAATTGACAATTGTTCCCAACCATCTACACCCCTGCTGCGAGGATTAATGAAATGAGACCTGTGCTGCACAGATTGTTGGTAGAAAGCCTCTCTATAAATACAAAATATGCTAAGTGCCTCCTTATAGGTTCTGTAGGATTTCAGCAACCCTCTGGAGACAGTGAAACATATTGCTGTGCATTTGAATAGGCTGCCCCTGAGTGCCCCTGAGGCCAGGAAGGCACAGCAAGCCCATGGCCTCTGCTTCAAGGGGAGAAGTGCCGGCTGCCAAGCGTCCTTGCTGGCCTGGGAATGCTGCAGTCACCTTGCTTGTGGAGACTGGGATGGGGGCATCCAACTGGAACTGCCCAGCCATTCTGCCTTCTGAGGCTGGCCCTGGAGATTGGAGGAATCACCTGGTAGGTAAGTTTGTTCTTGGAAATCCCATCACAATTCTATCTGGTCTAGAAAACAATCTTAGTGTTGCCAGGATGGATTTGGACTTGCTTCTGTCCACCGAGGGAGGCTCACATGGCTCCCGTCACGACAAACACCCCAGAACGAAGACTGAAGCCAAGAGCCTGGTGGCCCTAGGAGCTGGCAGTCCATACAGTGAATAGAAAGGGGCTGTTGGACGTGGCCAGCACAGTTCAGGTGTAGAAAGCACCACTGTGCAAAAACAAGGGATTGGAACTATGCCCTTTCCTTGACACACCACAGTGTAGGCCCCCTTTGACTTTGTGCTTGAAAAATGATGGAAGAGACTTCTCTTCTCCGTCCATGCCATCCTGAATGCTGACTTTACACACAGGATATATGATGATGACCCAATTTCATATCTCCAACCCAGACCCCCACCCTCAGACTCCAATCTTGTATACGCAACTACTTAGCCAGCAGCTGCCGGATGTTGACTAGACCTCAATTCAATATGCCGAGCTCTGAATTCCTGAGCTGCCCCCACAAAACCTGCCACTGCACAGTCGTTCTTATCTCAGGTGACAGCAACTCCATCTTCCCAGTGGCCCAGGGCAGACACACAGGAGTCACCTTGACTTTTTCTTGTTGTCCTAGGTGCATCTGACCTTCCAGGAAAGACTTTGGGCCACACATTCACCATTTGTCCAGAATTCTCCTCTCATTACCTCCTCTGAGGCAGGTCTGAACCATTCTCTGGTCTGAACCATCTTCATTGGCACATGGGCCACTGCGGGAACCTCCTAACTGGTTTTCCTATCTCTCTCTTTGCTCCCCTATAACCTATTCTCAACACAGCATACAAGTGTTCTTTTAAAACATAACCAAGACTGCCTCATTTTTTTTCTCAAAACCTCGTATGGGTGCCTGTTCACTCAAGGTAGAAGCCCATGTATGACCTGGTTCCACTGTTACCTCCCTGACCTCATCTCCTGCTCCTCTTCTTTGGATTGACCCCCTGCTGTTTCTCAATTAAACCAGGCATGCTCCTGCCTCATGCCTTCACACTTGCCATTTCCTCTGCAGGAATAACCTTCCCCCAAATATTCACTTACCTGGTTTCCTGCATGTCCCCAAGTCTTTGTTCAACACCCCCTTTTCAGGGCTGTCCACAAAGATCTGTTCCACCCCACACCAGGTCCTCCCCACTGCCTTTAGCCTCTGCAGTTCCTCTTGACCACCTCAACTGTGTCTTTTCTTTTCAATTTGTCACCTTCCAGTATACTGCCTTAGTTCTCTAGGGCTGTTGTAACAAAGCACCACAGACTGGAGGTGCTTAAAGGATGGAAATGCATGTCTCATAGATTTGGAGGCTGGGAGTCTGAGATCAAGGTGTCACCAGGGCTGGTTCCTTCCAAAGGCTATGGAGGAGAAGCTGTTCCTGGTCTCTGTCCCAGCTTCTGGCCGTTGCTGGAAATTTTGGGCCTTCCTTGGCTTTTAGATGCGTCACTCTGACCTCCATCTTCATCTTCACGTGGCGTTTTCCTGCTGTGTGTGTCTGTGTTTCAATTTCCCACTTTTATAAGGACACTAGTCATGTTAGATCACGTGCCCATACTACTCCAATAGGACTTCATCTTTACTCAAGTGATTCTATCTGCAATGACCTTGTTTCCAAATAAGGTTGCATTCAGAGGTCCTGGGGAATTAGGACTTCAGCCTATGAATTTTGGAAGACACCATTCAACCCTTAACAGACACCATGTGGTGCTAGTTTCCTAGGGCTGCCTGATAAAGTGCCAACAAACTGAGCAGCTTCAACAACAGAAATTTTTGTCTCACAGATTTGGAGGCTCGAAGTCTAAAATGAAAGCCGGTTTCTTCTGAGGCTGCGAGGAAGAATCTGTTCTGGGCCCCTTTCCTCAGCTCCTGGGGGTCACCCAGCAATCCTTGGCTTGCACATGGCATTTTTCCTGTGTCTTCATGTTGTCCTCCCTCAATACACATCTGTGTCTGCGTCCAAATGTCCCTTTTTATAAGGACACCAAATATATTGCGTGAGGATCCACACTAATGATTTCATTTTAACTTGATTACCTCTGCAAAGACCCCATTTCAAAAAAGGAGCTATGTTATATGTATATGTTAGCACATCAACATTTCTCTCTTTAGGGAACAAAATCCAACCCATAACATAGACAATATGTTCATTTAATGTAGGTTTTTTTTCATTGTCTGTTTTTCATTGCTGGAAAGTAAGTTCTAGGAGGCAGAGACCTATGCGTGCTTTTTGTTTTTATCTTACTGGTATAAACTAAGCATTTAAAATAGTGATTAGAACATAGCAGATGCCAATAAACATTTGTTAACTAAAAGAATGAATGACATTTATTACCATTTTGCAGACAAGCTCTGTGCCTTAGTCATAGGGGCATTTAATCAGGGACCCTCGGCCAAGATCTCAGGGCCCTCGGCTGAACACGTAGGATTAAGATAAACCTCCGATTACCTGGTGGTAATTAGAGATGATGAGATGATTTTCAGATGGAATCTAGGCAGCTCTGAGGCAAACTTCTCCAGGCTCTGGTTTAAGACAGTCAACTGGAGCACCTGGGAACCTTAAACTCTGGTTTAAGACTGTCACCTGGAGCACCAATGCATCCAGCGTCGTGCTCCCTTCATTCATCAACTGCACAATAGTTGCTTGGATACCCTGCTCATCTCATCAGCCACGGTGGCCTGTTACCAATTCTCAGAAAATGAAACGAGACCCCTGAGGACTGTAATTTGGGGAGTGCAGTCATTTAGGAATGTTTAGAGGGATCTGGAAAACCTGCCCAGCCAGTTCGTTCCCAGGCACAAATGGCAGGAGGCCCAGGGTGCGAGGGAAAATACCAGGTTCTGTGCTTGGCCTTCTTTATCAGCCTCAGAACCAGGGACCTTTTGTTTGTTTACTAGCTTAGATAAACTCCCAAATCCTTGGGAATATTCCAGTAAATCTGTTTTCCCAAATACTTCACTCTTGTTTATAGAACACCTTCAAAATATGACAGCTTGTTGCAGATGGAAAACAACGCCTCCCTCTTAGCAAACCCGCCTTCTTCCCTTGCCCCAAAGTGCTTCTTGAGAATTTTCAAGCTCTCTATGTCATGATCTCAAGTTTGAGCCTCAGTGGAAAAACCCTGTTGGAATTCCTTTCAGTGCGATTTGCATATTCTGTGTTAACTCAGGACAGTGGCATGGAAGCTAAGCTCACTTCTCTAATTACATTTGGATTGCTTAACATATTTCATGTATAGCCATAAGACAATGATTATCATTTCTGAAAGCAAATAACATTTTTATTTTTCACTGTTATAAAAATGATCCAATAGAAAATTTTGATCTTTCTGCTTTAACAGAAGCAGAGTTTTAGCAACTTGCATGGATGTGTTTTTCCCAGTCTCAATTAGTTCAGTGTCAAACCCAGTTCCTGCACATGGTTTTTTATAGTTCCCAGGCAGTTGGGTGTAATTCCAACAGCCTTTCCTTTATTATCTATCTAATAGATTATCCTGCTTCATATCTCCGTGGCACCAGATGGCATTATCTCCTTAGACTGGCTGTTGCCTTGTTAATACAGAGTTACATAGAAACATTAAAGGTCAGGAGGAAACCATATGGTCTATCCTGTCCTGCCCTTTTATGCCCGGGAAAGGCCAAATCATCATCGTAATGTTCCCCTCTACCCGGAGTGCAGCCAATAGCTGCATATATTTGATTCTCTTTTTGACTCATGATTCCATTTCTATTGAAATACTATAATCAATAATTCCTTCAACTTCTACAACCTGGTCGTTGCTTTTATATTCCAAGCACGTCATTTTACTGAAAACTAAGTGATAAAACAAATTTTACTTGGTTTCTTAAAATAATACTGCTATTTGTTTTTATATATTTTGTTATTTTTCTAACAACTCTAAAATGAATGTCTGAAGTTTTTAGTTATGGTTGATACACTGGATCAACAGCACCACTGATTTGTAATTGCTATTTGAAATCTAGATTTATTTGTGCAATCTATCTTTTTCTGTCAAGAATATCTGGTTCTGCATCTTGCTGGTTGGGTTTTAGTCCTTATTTCATCTTTAAATGCGTCCCTCAAATGTCTCCCATTCCAACTTAGAGGACTTTGCTTTTCTCTAATAAATACCAGTTCTAACAGGATAAAAACTATTGAACTGTTGGCTTCGGGGGAAGAGCTTCTAAATGAGAAACATCCTAGCTTGGAACCAATGGAGTGATCAGTCCGGGAAGAATTGGCATAGGGCCCTCTTTCAGGAGCTGGAGCAAAACCAGAGTCATGAAATCAAAACTTCTAATACTGAGCCTTTTCATTTTTAAATGACCTTATGCACATCCATGGTTAATTCTTAAAACACCTTGCCTTTTAATCCTCTTACACGCATTCTCTCTCTCTTCCTTCCCCCATTTTTCTAAGCTCAAGAAATTTGAATGAAAAAAATAACACTTTAAAAAAACTCTTTAGGTTAAATTTACCTTTTAGAACAATGTGTTATGACTGTTGACATTTCTCACTTTAAATTCCCCTTATTGATAACTTATCAGCACCCTCTTGAATTGGAAACATTTTTGCCTATTCACCTTGATTTAGATTAAGGTTTTCTTTCCTCTTTTTTACCATTGGCCTTAAAGTTCAGATCATTGTTGAATTTTCATGAGGTATAATTAATAAAATAACTCTTCTAAAAAACAAGGATATTGATCAGTTGTTTACCTCAGTTCTCAATATCTTTATCTACATATCTCACTCTCAAACAGTTCAGCAATTGCTTATACGCTCAGATAGTTTCCTTTATCCTTAAAGTCATGCAGTAGCCCCATTTTTCTTTTTACACAAGTAACTGGGCCCTGTTCCTGCTATTTCGCAGGCTACAGGGTCACGAGGCAAGTTTTAGGCCTGAATTTAGACAATTGTAAGCTGCATACTCTTTTGCAGCATTGCCTTGTCATCCATATGCTATAATTGGGGTTAAGAGTCATTTGTTAATCAAGGCACTTAAAGATTTTTTTTTGCAATATGATACAAAGAGACTCAAAGATTATAGGAGAAAATACTTCAAGAATACAGGACTTGCAAAGGAATTACATGGAAAACAGAAGACCCAAAGTACTCTAACTGTATTCCCACATTGTCTGGGGGTGATAGTAACAACGGTACCTACCTGTCTGGACTGTCACATGATATAACTGATGGTGCACAGGAAACATGTTCTCATTGATTGGAGAGTAATAAGGGCTCAATAAATATTATCATTGCATGAGTTCCAACAGTGACTACGAGGTGATTGCTGTTATTCCTATTTGACAGATAGATAAACTAAGGCACAGAGAGATGAAAAGACTCAATTTGATGCAAACCCTGAGTCTGTGAAAAAGGCAAGACAGAAGCCCAGAAATTCTAAACTTTATCTGATATATCCACAATACAACCCACACTATAATACAATATCCATTACAGACAGCAGTGAGTTGCCCAGTCACCATTTTCCCAAAGAAATGGAAATAGAAGTCACTCAACCCTGAAACCCATGCAAGTGCAGGTAGATGAAAGCCTTTCCTCTTAGACACAGTCAAGGAGGATGGAATCTTGGATCCAGGCTAGGAGAGGATTCAGACGGACATAGGCCAGGCAACATTGATTGAAGGGTGTGGGATCCCTAAAGAGGGTGGGTTAGGACTAAGGCTGCGATGTTTTGGATTATTGAAATAAACATCTGATGTCCTTAACACTTATCTGGATTAAGCTTCACTCCTGAACCCCTGAGTTCATCTCTCTCTAATAGCATGTCAGTAATGGTGACCAGTGAATTAACCCTGGAAAACACTTATTGATCTCTACCTCAGATTGCTGACTTCAAAAAAAATGTCATTGCTTCATCACATACACTGTTCTGCCTCATTAGCCACTGTCACTTTGTTCCTGGGCACCAAGGGACTCATTATTCCTGACATAGTAACTCGATGTGAACCTGCCACAGATTGTTATGAGGCCCTGACAACAAGTGGTTCTCCCATCTTACCAGAGTTTCCTCCCGTTTGAGGGAGGAAGGAGCCCCCAGTCCTGGTTAGAGACCAGTGGACAAAGAGCCTGAAACATCTAAGGAGGATCTAAAACATGTGTTCTCCTCTTTACAGCCTAGTTAAGTACGTGAGCTTATGTTTTCATGATGCCTCAAATGCTACTTTCAGGGCCTAATAAAGCTTCTTTTCATATAATAATTGGCATCTCCTAGGCTCCTGGTGATGACCCCAGTGCACCCCAGGACCTTTTTATCGTAGAAGTTGCTGAGTTCCACTAGATGATTCTTAATTAGGTAAGAACCATCCAGACATCTGAAATGCAAATTAGAAGGCCATAAGAAGTGGAAATCAGACCAGATCATTAAGAAAACAGGCTGGAAAATAGCATAAGTTTGTAAAAATAGGCAAAAAAGGAAATTCAACCTTCAGGGGCATTGCAGGCAATGGAAAAACATTTTTAAATTCTAATATCTAAAGGGTTTATCATTTATTTGTATACGACAAGGCAAGTAATAGAGGAGAATTGAAATTTTACTTCCCTTTTTCTCGAAATAGCACATGGAACTGAAATAATATACTTTTTGTGATAGATTAAAAATCAAGCAGGAGTAAGTAAAAATGTGAGAGAATAGAAACTTAAATTATGGGCCTGGATAAAAAGTGTTTCCAGGGCAGGTGTTTTTTGTTTGTTTGTTTTGTTGTTTTAGTTGTTGTTGTTGCTGTTTTGAGATGGAGTCTCACCCTGTTGCCCAGACTTGACGCAATGGCACGATCTCGGCTCACTGCAGCCTCCTCCTCCTGGGTTCAATCGACTCTCCTGCCTCAGCCTCCCAAATAGTCAGGATTACAGGCATGCACCACCACACCTGGCTAATTTTTGTATTTTTTAGTATAGTTGGGGTTTCACCATGTTGACCAGGCGGGTCTCAAACTTCTCACCTCAAGTGATCCGCCTGCCTTGGCCTCCCAAAGTGCTGGGATTATAGGTGTAAGCCACCGCGCCTGGCCAAGGGCAGATGTTACTTTGAAGCCTAGGCTTGAGAAACAAAAGCAAACACCTGCAAAGCAAATAGTGGCCCAAATAAATAGCAGCCCCTTTGAACATTCACTCAGGAAGTCATATGTGATAGCTTAAGTGCTTCTGATACTTCTGTTTTAGATCAAACCTCTGCCATATTCTTTTGGTGATTAGTGGCAATAAATGCTTGTCCTTAGAGGTTTGATTCAGTTCTACAAACACCCAAGAGTCTTTCTAAATCAATATTTATGAATAGTATAGGTGACTAAGTTTGATAACACCGTCGAGTTTTATTTGGTGGGGAGGTAGCTTCCTGCTATAGTCCATTTTAGCATACCTTTTTCAGAAGGACAATTTCTAATTTCATTTTATCCTATTTGATTCCCATAGAAAAATTTGAGAGACATTTGAGAGGAACTAATCAAACTTGTCAAAGTTTTTGAAAATAGGACTCATGAGAAAAGGTTAAGAAGATGGGCTTAGTTTAAATGAGAATATGCTCCAAATGTTCATTAGTGACCCATGGTATGCAGACCTCGGTGGGGATGCGGGAGGTGTAGGAAGGGATTGGCTATAATTCTCCATTTTCACTTATTGAGCACAGAATAACAGCATTATGTATGAACAGAAATGACAGCCATAAAAAATTGCTGTCCTGTGAGGAAAGTCGTTTCTGTCTTTGGAAACACCTAGTTGTCTCCTGAGGCCCTGGATGGGTTTGGGATAAGCCCGTGTAACCCTCAGGTGGCTTGAAGGTGACAACTGACATAAGATTGTGTGGCGCAGAACTGTAAGTTGTTTTGGCAGCAAAGAGGAACCAGAGGACACAAGGGAGGGAGCCACATGGGATGAGGTGGGATTCCCAGTTAACAGGATGGTGGGGACACTTTGAAGAACAGAAATGCCTATCATAAAATGTTAAGATTTTGTTGTTATTATTTCCAAAATACTAAGCTGCATTATTCATCTGTTGTTATGTAACAGATTGTTCCAAATACAGCAGCATAAAACGACAAACATGTATTACCTCATGCAGTATCCACAGGTTAGGAGTCCAGGAGTGGCTTGGCTGAGTGCTTCTGGCTTGGGCTGTCTCCTGAAATTGCAGTCAAGCTATCTGCAGGGAGGGCAGACTCATCTGAAAGTGTGACTGGGGCTGGAGGGGCTGCTTCCAAGATAGTGCACACACAGCTGTTGTTGAGAGGCCTTGGTACTTCCTCCAGAGGACCTCACCCTAGAAAGTTTGAGCATGCTCCAGACATGAGGGCTGGCATCTCACAGAGCAAGCAACCTGAGAGATGGAGCAAGGCCCAGCCTTTGACCTAGATTTGGGAGTCCCAGGCCATTACTTCAGCTGGATTCTCTTGGTCACACAGCCTAACACTCACTCATTATTGGAGGAGCCTAAATAAGAGTTTGAATTCCCAAGGGCAGGAATCCCTGGAGACTGTCTTAGTCTGGGACATGACATCAGCCTTTCATGTCCCCATGCTTCAGCCACAGCTGTTTCCTACAGATGCCTTATTTGTTTCTGAGTTGGGGGTGGAAAATTTTTAAAAAGGGACTCTATCCCACCATCCACATTAAAGAAGTATGACAAACTAGAAGAAGAGAGAAAAGATCAATAAAGCTGGTTATCATTTATTAAGCATACATTAGAACCTGAAACCAGGTGCACCACCCAAAGTGGACAACCCCAGAAATGTTGGAAAGTTTTCTATCATTCTTCAAATGTTAATGTCTTAGTTGTCCACAAATTACCATAAATATAGCTGCTGAAACAATACCCATTTGTTATCTCAAGTTCTGTAGTCGAGTTTGGACAGGAGACTAGGCTCAAAATCAAGAGAACAGCAGGGCTGCGTTCCTCACTGGAGGACCTTGGGGCAGCTTCTGCTTCCGTTTCATTCAGGAGTTTTGGTCAAATTCAGCTCCTTATGATTGTAGGGCTGAAGTCCCCTCTTCCTTCCTGTCCCTGGTCTCTGCTCCCGGAGGCGATCCTTGTTTCTTTTCCTCCTTTCAGTGAGTTCCTGTCTCTGGCCATCATACATATGTCCCTAATACTCAGAACCAGCAAAAGTGCATTGAATCTTTTTGCTGCTTCAAATCTGTCCTGCTTCTGTGTTACTTCTAGCCAGGGAATGTTCTCTGCTTTTAAGTGCTTCTGTGATTATATTGGGCCCAATATATTATTATTGGGTAATCCAGGATAGTCTGCTTATTAATATATTTTTCTTTTTTTTTTGAGATGGAGTGTTACTTTGTCACCCAGGCTGGAGTGCAGTGGCGCAATCTTGGATCACTGCAGCCTCTGCCTCTGTGGCTCAAGAGATCCTCCTACCTCAGCATCCCAAGTAGCTGGGAGTACAAGCATGTGCCATCATGCCCAGGTAGTTTTGTTTTTAACTTTTTTGAAGAGATGGGATGTCACACTATATTGCCTAGGCTGGTCTTAAACTCCTGGGCTCAAGTGATGCTCCCACCTCAGCCTCCTAAAATGTTGGGATTATAAGCATGAGCCACTGTGCCTGGCCTACCTATTAATGTTTCTAATAATATTGATGAAATATCAATTACACCTTCAAAGTCCCTTTGCCATGAAAGAATCATATCCCAGGTCCTGGGGTTAGTGTGCGGGCATCTTTGGGAGGTCATTCCTCCTACCACGAGGCTCAGATCTTCTTAACAATCGATTGCACCTGGAAAGGTATCTGATTAGGCCATGGCAGAAGAAGGAGGTGATGGGAAGTAGTGCCAAAAAGCTGAAAGGAAAGGAGGGCAGGAAAGGTTCCTGGAGCAGCTGGCAAACAAGGCCAGCCAAGCTCTCCATGGCTGTAAGCGTGATCCACTCACCTGTAGCACAGGTACCACTGCTGGAAGCACAGTTATTTGTGGGATGGAGGCTTGGATGTGGGCAGAAAGGGGAGTTTTTTATTTTGTTATTTGACTTTCTCAATTCAAATTGTGGACATTGCCCCCTCTTTGAATCCCATAAATCTCTGCACACACACATTCACTCCTGCTGTGAAATCTATTTGCCACATTTTAGTGCTCAGCAAGTTTATGGTGGAGTGATAAACTCTAGAAACAGAGAGTTGCAATGTAAATTCACAAGACCTCTAACTACGCTATAAGTGTTAATATGACAAATAGGGTTGAGATAAGAATACATTTTTCTTTCAACCGTATGGAGTTTACCTTACATTTATTTTCACGTAATTTTGCAGTATTCTTTTACATGGTTATTTTTGTGTGTGTCCAGAAGGTTTTCCTCATGTTTGGCTGTAATTTTCATATTTGCTGGATCATTCTTTTGAGAGTAGTGTGGGCTGAAGGCCAATGTCAAAGACCACTAGGAAAGTTCAGCTCAATCAGCATAGGTCTCTAATTTTCTAATCTCTTCTTATGCTCTGGACAGAATTCTTTGAATTCTTTCTTCTCCTTCCTTGGCTAAAGCTAAGCTTGAAGAACCAATCTTAATTCTTAATCCCGTTATGAATTCCTGTGAAGGCTTTGATTGACCTAATTCTTCCTTTAGATAATGTTTCCTTGTTTTTTTCTAACTTTTCAAAATGAGGGGCTGGTGGATATTTGTTGGTGGGTTGCCTGTCCAAAGAGTAATTCACAATTAATATAAAATTGATATGTTCCAAACTCTCAAACACAATGTTCCATAAGCGAATGTGTATCTTTCTAGGTCTGGGCATATATGCATAGCTAATTCCACTATTTTAAATTAATTGATAGAACATATTAGCTTAAAAAGATTTCATATGTTTCTTTTTTTAATGGTGTTGGCATGACTCGCCAATTCTATCAAAATAATTAAAAGTCATCATGGACATATTAGACTCCGTGGTTAAATTTTAGCCATATTCTCAGATGTTTAAATGTTTTCTAAAAGTCCTCCTTGTTTTAATTTCAGGCGAAAAATGTTCTTCAGGAAAGGTATATAAATTTTAGTACAGTATTATAATAAAAACTTTTTCGTATGCAGATCCAGTTTAACATTTTGCATTTAAAAGGATTAACGCTTTCCACATTCTTTTTTAGTTGGTGCTCAGATAAATATGTGTATTTACAAACATATCAAATATTCTTTGCAGGTTTGTTACCAACACCTGCTATTTATGATAGCCTAAGAAGCCCTAATTAGCAACTTTGGAATACACATCTCAGAAGAACATAGTGATACATTTGGAGTACTGGGTTCTGGAGATAACCTTCTTAAACTCCACTAAAGAGCAACCAAACTCATCACTCTGAGCAAGAAGGAAGATTGAGGCAAACACCCTATTGTGCATAGTGTTAGCACAAATAAACAACTGGTACGATCATCAAAAACTCTAGTTCCCAGCAACACATCTGAAATGGTCAGTTATCAATTTCCTGGGTAATATGCCCATTAAATAGCAAAAGGACACAAAAAACAGTTGGAAACATCAGCAGAAAGCTTAACTCCTGGCACCAGAATATCCATGTCCAGCCGTGCCTGCCCACAGCAATGCCAGCTGCCTGGCAATCATTAAAGGAACATGGTAGCTAGGGAAATCAGAGTTTCTTTTAACTCTATTGGAGAGGCTGTAGCAGAACTGAAACTACTAGGGAAACCCCAGAGCATGGCAACCCCACAATCAGGAGCAAACCCCACGATTCTCCATGTCATGTGCATTTAGAAGCAGGAGAAAATCAGAAAGAAGCAATTCAAATCTGCTAAGAATGTTTGTAAGTGTAATCATGCTCTTGGGAACTCAAAGAAGTCTGTCTAATCTCCCCAATAGATCTGTTCATCTCTGTTACCAACATGGGTGATTTATTCATCTATTCTCAGAAATTTCTGTGAATAAGCTAGTTTGGTAACGGGCATTTATGAAACCTTTTCATTAATATGAAAATTCATCCCTAAAACACGAAACAAAGATGTCAATTGGGAGACAGTATTGTTTCTGGAGTAGGCAGAATGACTCCCCAAGGTCGCCCACACCCTCATCTGCACCTGTGAATATGTTACATTACACAGCAAAAGCGACTTAGCAAATGTGATTCAGGTTATGGACTTTCATATAGGAAGATTATGTTGGATTCTTCAAGGTAACTCAATCTAATCACATGAACTTTTAAAAGCAGAGAACTTTCTCCGGCTGAAGACAGACGAGATAGGGCAGAAGGAAAAGTCAGATTGGAAAGTTAGGAGGGATCTTGCCATGTTGTTGCCAGTTTGAAGGGGAGGCCAGGTAATACATGGGGCTGGCCCCTAGGGATAGATAGCTGCCTACTGGCCAGCCAGCAAGAAAAGTGGGATCTCTGCTCTGCAGCTCCAAGCAGCTAAGTTCAGTCAGCAACCTGAATGAGCTTGGAAGTGGGCGCTCCCCCAAGCCTCTAGCTAAGAGCCCAGGCTGGACAATATCTAGTAAGACCCTAAGCAGAGAAACCAGTCAAGCCCCCTGGACATCTGAGCTACAGAACAGTGAGGCAATACATAGGTGTTGTTTTTAGCAGTTACATTTGTAGTACATTTTTATGGCAGCAATTGAAAACTAATAGAAGTAGTTTTGATCGTATTTTGACATTGTCTTATAAATATACTCTTCCTATGTGCATTAGGATTTCAGCTCACTATCAGGGAAGGCAAGTGAATCTGATTCTGCAAATGATCCAGATCCCAGGTTTTAGGGACAGAAACATTCCCTGGGTGCGCAATGTGTTTCTGCCAGCTGTAGCTAGGCATCATGTCCTGTGGGTGTCCCAACACTCACGAGGAAGACAACAGTGAAGATTCACAACACAGGAGGCACCTCATTGGTAATATTTAAAGGATGTTGGAAAGACTTATCACCCTCCCTCAAAAGTATCCCCCATTACTCTTTCTGCCATTCCTTTAGGGTATTTATGGGATAGTTCCACTGATCAGAGAGTTTTTTGCTTGCTTAATGCAAATTTTCTGTAGGAAAGCAGGGATTTTCTGTTAAATTTTCATACATTTAATCAGCTTCTTTCCTCCAAATATCTAGGATAGTTATCTTCAAGGAAGTAAGGGGGTTCTTTGAGCCTGGAAAAAGATTGTGATGGTTAATATTGAGTGTCAGCTTGATTGGATTGAAGGATGCAAAGTTTTATTCTTGGATGTGTCTGTAAGGGTGTTGCCAAAGGAGATTAACAACTGAGTCAGTGGATTGGGAGAGGCAGACCCACCCTCAATCTGGGTAGGCATCATCTAATCAGCTGCCAGTCTGCTAGAAAAAAAGCAGGCAGAAGAAGGTGGAGTGAGCAGACTTGCTGAGTCTTCCAACCTTCGTCTTTCTTCTGTGCTGGATGCTTCCTGCCCTTGCACAACAGACTCCAAGTTCTTCAGCTTTTGGACTCTTGAACTTACACAAGTGGTTTGCTAGGGACTCTCGGGCCTTCTGCCACAGACTGAAGGCTGCACTGTTGGCTTCCCTACACTACCAACAATTTATACTGTTAATCTTTCTACCACCCTTCCCTAAAGAGATCTCCATCCTTTTACCAGGGTAACTGTGCAATAGGGAAAGAAGGATGATCAGACCTTTTAGGGACTACTGGACACGGCTCCTTGCTGACATTGATTCCAGGGGACCCAAAACGTCATTGTGGTCCTCCAGTTAAAGTAGGGGCTTAGGGAGGTCAAGTACTTAATGGAGTTTTAGCTCAGGTTTGACTTACAGTGGGTCCAGTGGGTTCCTGGACTCTCTTGTGGACATTTCCCCACTGCCGGAATGCATGACTGGCATAGATACACTTAGCAGCTGGCAGAATCCCTACAGTGGCTCTTTGACCAGTAGGGTAAGGGCTATTAAAGGAGCCATTACAACTGCCTGTACCTAGAAAAATAATAAATCAAAAACAATGTCGCATCCCTGGAGGGGTTGCAGAGATTAGTTCCACCATCAAGGACTTGAAAGAGGCAGAAGTGGTGATTCCCACCACATCCCCATTCAACTCTCCAGTTTGGCCCATGCAGAAGACAGATGTGTCTTGGAGAATGACGGTGGATTATCGTAAGCTTAACCAAGTGGTGACTCCAATTGCAGCTGCTCTACCAGATGTGGTTTCATTGCTTGAGCAAATTAACATATCTCCTGGTACCTGGTATGGTACGCAGCCATTGATTTGGCAAATGCCTTTTCCTCCATTCCTGGCCATAAGGCCCACCGGGAGCAATTTGCCTTCAACTGGAAAAGCCAGCAATATACCTTTACTGTCCTACCTCGGGGGTGTATCAACCCTCCGGCTTTGTGCCATAATCTTGTTTGGAGAGAACTTGATCACTTTTCCCTTCCACAAGATATCATACTGGTCAATTACACTGATGACATTATGCTGATTGGACCCAGTGAATGAGATGTAGCAAACACGCTGATCTGATTGGTAAGATATTTGCATGCCACGGGATAAGAAATAAATCCGATTAAAATTCAGAGACCTCTACCTCAGTGAAATTTCTAGGTGTCCAGTGGTGTGAAGCCTGTCGAGATATTCCTTCTAAGGTGAAGGATACATTTTTGCATTCGGCCCCTCCTACAACCAAAAAAGAGGCACAATGCTTACAGGGCCTATTTGGATTTTGGAGGCAACACATTTCTCATTTGAGTGTGTTACTCTGGCCCATTTATCAAGTGACCTGAAAGGCTGCAAGTTTGGGTGGGGTCCAGAACAGGAAAAGGCTCTGCAACAGGTCCAGGATGTTGTGCAAGCTGCTCTGCCACGTGGGCCAAAGGGCCCAGCAGATCCAATGGTGCTTGAGGTTTCAGTGGCAGATAGGGATGCTGTTTGTAGCCTTTGGCAGGCCCCCACAGGTGAATCACAGTGGAGGCCTCTAGGATTTTGGAGCACGGCTCTGCCATATTCTGCAGATAACTACTCTCCTCTTGAGAGACAGCTCTTGGCCTGTTACTGGGCTCTGGTGGAAACTGAATGTCTGACTATAGGTCATCAAGTCGCCATGTGACCTGAATTATCATGAACTGAGTGCTTTCTGACCCATCTAGCCATAAAGTGGGTCATGCACAGCAGCATTCCATCATCAAATGGAAGTGATATATGTGTGATCGGGCTCAAGCAAGTCCTGAAGGCACAAGTAAGTTACGTGAGGAAGTGGCTCAAAGGCCCATGGTCCCCACTCCTGCCACCCTGCCTTCTCTCTTCTGGCCTGCACCAGTGGTTTCATGGAGAGTTCCTTATGATCAGTTGACAGAGAAAGAGAAGACTAGGGCCTGGTTCATAAATGGTTCTGCACGATATGCAGACACCACCCAAAAATGGACAACTGCAGCACTACAGCCGCTTTCTAGGATATCCCTGAAGGACAGTGGCAAAGGGAAATCTTCCCTGTAGGCAGAACTTCAAGCACTGCACCTGGTTGTGCACTTTGCTTAGAAGAAGAAGTGGCCAGATGTGCGATTATATACTGATTCATGCATGCACTATAGCCAATGGTTTGGCTGCGTGGTCAGAGACTTGAAAGACACATGATTGGAAAATTAATGACAAAGACACTTGGGGAAGAGGTATGTGGAGAGACCTCTCTGAGTGGTCAAAAACTGTGAAGATATTTGTATCTCATGTGAATGCTCACCTAAGGGTTACCTCAGCAGAGGAGGATTTTAATAATCAAGTGGATAGGATGACTCATTCTGTGAATGCCACTCAGCATCTTTTTCCAGTCACCCCGTCATCACCCAATGGACCCATGAACAAAGTGGCCATGGTGGCAGGGATGGAGGTTACGCATGGGCTCAGCAACATGGACTTCCACTCACCAAGGCTGACCTGGCTGTGCCACTGCTGAGTGCCCAATTTGCCAGCAGCAGAGACCAACACTAAGCCCTTCATATGGCACCATTCCTCTGGGTGATTGGCCAGCTACTTGGTGGCAGGTTGATTATACTGGACCTCTTCCATCACAGAAAGGGCAGTGGTTTGTCCTCATCTGAATAAATACTTACTCTGGATATGGGTTTGCCTAACCTGCACGCAATGCTTCTGCTGAGACTACCATAGATGAACTCATGAAATGCCTTATCCACCGTCCACACAGCATTGCCTCTGACCAAGACACGTCGTGGCTGAAAAAGTGTGGCAGTGCGCTCATGCTTAGGAAATTTACTGATCTTACCATGTTTCCCATCATTCTGAAGCAGCTGGATTGATAGAATAGTGGAATGGCCTTTTGAAATCACATTTACAATGCCAGCTAGGTGACAATACTTTGCAGGTCTGGGGCAAAGTTCTCCAGAAGACTGTGTATGCTCTGAATCAGCACCCAATATATCGTACTGTTTTCCCATTGCCAGGATTCATGGGTCCAGGAATCAAGGGGTGGAAGTGGAAGTGGCACCACTCACCGTCACCCCTAGTGACCCACTAGCAAACTTTTTTGCTTCCTGTTCCCGTGACATTATGTTCGACAGGCCTAGAGGTTTTAGTTTCAGAGGGAGGAATGCTGCCACCAGGAGACACAACAATGATTCCATTAAACTGGAAGTTAAGATTGCCACCTGGACACTTTGGGCTCCTCCTTCCTTTAAGTGGACAGCTTAGCTAAGAAGGCTACGATGGGAGTTACAGTGTTGGCCAGGGTGGTTGACCTGGACTCTCAAGATGAAATCAGTCTACTACTCCATAATGGAGATAAGAAAGAGAATGTGTGGAATACAGGAGATCCTTTAGGGCATCTCTTAGTATCACCATGCCCTGTGATTAGGGTCAATGAGAAACTACAACAACCCAATCCAGGCAGGACTACAAATGGCCCAGACCCTTCAGGAATGAAGGTTTGGGTCACTCCACCAGGAAAAAAACCATGACCTGCTGAGGTGCTTGCTGAGGGCAAAGGGAATACAGAATGGGTAATAGAAGAAGCTTGTCATCAATACCAGCTACAACCATGTGATCAGTTCCAGAAATGAGGACTGTAATTTTCATGAGTATTTCCTCCTCACTTTCTTAAAAATATGTTTTTGCATGTATACACTTGCACTAAGAAGATATCTTCATTTTACGTCCCCTCTTTTTCCTTTATCATGTGACATAAGATTTATTGCCTTCATATCAGCATTTCAGTGTTGTTAACTTTATGTAATAGCATTTAGGTTAAGGATTAGTGCACTTCTGGTTGTGGGAAGGATAGCTGTATCATGTTAGGTGTAATTATGACCTTATTACTGTCTTTACTTGAAGATTATGTATGATTTTGGGAGATGTATATGAGCTCAAATTTGAAAAGGGGTGGACTTGTGGTGGTTAATATTAAGTGTCAACTTGATTGGATTGAAGGATGCAAAGTTTTGTTCCTGGTTGTGTCTGTGAGGGTATTGCCAAAGGAGATTAACATTTGAGTTGGTAGCCTGGGAGAGACAGACTCACCCTCAATCTGGGTGGGCCCCATCTAATCAGCTGCCAGCACGGATAGAAAAAAGCAGGCGGAAGAAGGCGGAATAGGCAGACCTGCTGAGTCCTCCGGCCTTCTTCTTTCTCCCGTGCTGCATGCTTCCTGCCCTTGCACATCAGACGCCAAGTTCTTCAGCTTTTGGACTCTTAGACTTATACCAGTGATTTGCCAGGGACTCTCGGGCCTTCAACCACAGATTGAAGGCTGCACTGTCAGCTTCCCTACTTTTGAGGTTTTGTGTTCCTTGCTCCTCAGCTTGCCTATTCTGGAACTTCACCTTGTGATCATGTGAGTCAATTCTCCTAATAAACTGCATCTATCCTATTAGTTCTGTCCTTCTAAAGAACCCTGACTAATACAAAGACTTAGAAGAAAGTTAAATGAAAACATGAGGTGCTTTGGGAAAAACAAAGGCTCGTGGAGGTAATACAGACCCTCAGGGAACTCCAAATCAACCTGAAGCCAGTGGATCTCTGAGTAGGAAAAAACAGGAGAGACAAAAGAAAGGTACTGAAAAAAGACAAAAGCCAGCATGCACTCTTCGTAAAATCTTACTTAGGGTGACCCTTCCTCTGGGTTAGGGCCAAAGACCCCAGTGCATTTGGATACCTGCGACCCTTCTCCGAATGGTGTTTGTCAGTGAACACAAGGGGTTGCATAGAGTTATCAAGGAAACCAGTTATGTTGAAATTAAATTTTCACAATGTTAAAAGGATGTGTGGCATCATAATGTTTTTCTTTATTAGCATTTTAAATAAATATAACGAGTTGCAGATCAAATACTCATAACCAAAATATCAAAGTAGTGATGAGCTTAAATTGTATTTCAGGTTATCTGCTACACCTGTGAAATGGTATGAAAATATCTGTGATTTCTATCACTGACAAAATCGCTGTATTGCTATGCTTCTATGGTTTGCAGCCTGTATTCGTCATTGAAAAAAAGATTCTTTTTTTAGTTGGAGGTTCGTGCAGAATTAAGATGCAATTTTTTCCACAGCCAACCATGCTCTCCTCTGAATTCATTCCATGGAACAAACTTCTCCAAGGGGACCCCAGATAGATCCATGACCCCAGATGAGGAAATCTTGCTGCTCTAGGGGACTTTGGGCATCTAGATATCACTTTAAATGTTACAATGCCACGTAAACATTATGAATAAAACATACTGAAATTTTTGAAAAATCATAAAAATGAAAAAGTAATTTAGAAATACAGGATTTAAAACATGAGAAATTTTGAATTCTCCTAAATCACAAGAATAGGTAATTTCTGAGAATATTTTCTATGAAATTATGAATTTTATTTTCATCTGAAGAGTGTTCCATATAAAAAAAACACATAATATGTAGAGGGGGTAAGACACATTTAATTATAGTTTTGTGCCTTATTATTAAGGGGGCGGATGAAACTATTTTGCAAAGTCTTAGGTGAAACCTGTCCATTCAAGTCAAAGAATGTGTACAAGGAATGCTTCCTTAGAATTCCCATTCTCTGGAAATTAATGCTTTTATGGTGCTGATCCAATGATAAAACCTAGGATGAGATTTCCTGCTTTCTGATTTCCACATTAGGATCTGATTCATGGGAACTGAGCCTTCCCCAAAGAATTGCAGTTAAATGAATATCCCCAAGAAGGTGAGCACATTTTCCTGTCCATTCAAAATGTAAAATACCTAGGTTGTTTAAGCATGAGCAACACATAGTCAAGTGGCCCCAGTGAGTTTTTACCCCTGTGGATAATTATGAAACAACCAGGAAGTAATAAAAAATTTCTGCCTCATGAGAAATGTATTCTAGCTCAGACTCCAGAGCAGCTGAGTGACCTCCCTTCAAAGTCAGGCAGGAGGGAGACATCGCGAGGTGTCCACTGGGTCCTAACTGTCGAATTGTCAGGGTTAGGAGAAGGTTCCTTCCCAGATTTTATTCAGACCTGGAGAGCTGTACAGAAGCAAAGAGAAACAGGCATGATTACCATTTAAACTGTTGAAGATGTTACAATTGACAATTATAAAAGAGAAATTTTGGACAGAAATGGATAATTCTCTGTGACTAGCAGGTCACTAGGAGCAGAAAGTGGCAGATATGAGGATCAACGAAATGTGCAGAAACAGGTGCTACCTCCCAATAAGACCGGTGAAGACACCTTCATTCCCTCTAGTTATGGGGTGAGAAGAGGCTTCACCAGCCGCATTACAACCAGGTCTGCATGTTACTTTAAGGTGTTTTTTTGTGACTTTATGCTTAGGTCAATGGTTTAGCCAACTGCATCTTGTCCATTCACAGTTTTTCCACTGCCTATAGAATTCAGTTGAAAATCATTCTTTGGTTGTTTTTGTAGCCATCTGTTGTTTCTGAGTGCCCAGGTACCTTCCTCCCATCTTCTCATAAGAGAACCCCTTTTTAGGGGGATAATTCCCTTCTCTTCATGAGGTCCTGATGAGGCTGCCAATCCAAGTACCTAGATGCCCTGGCCACAGGTGGGAGAGTGAGTCTGTTACATGAGTCTGTCATGTGGGGTGATGTGGGGTCCATCCCCAAGAACATCATCATTATCTCAGGATGGACACAGCATCTGTTAGGTCTATCAGAGTCCTCATCTGGGAAAACAGGAGACAGAAGCGCTGCGTTTACTCTGGGATGACACAAGTCCAGAGTGGTATAAACCCCCCTCACTTTCTTCCTCTCCATCGAGCAAGCCATTGACTATTGGAGGAAATACTGACTGCTCCAGTGGAAGAAAGAAGAGGATGATAGATGGAAAGAGGAAGGAGGGAGACAGAAAAGACAGGGCGGGAGAGGGAGTGAGAGGGGGAAGAAAGTAGAAACAAAGGGAAGGAAAGTGGATAACTGGAGGAAACTAACATTGGTCCAATCCTCGGAGCTCCTGAGGCCACTTCCACTGCTAACTTTGAAGGATCCAGGTCAATAGATGTCCCCTTTAGCTTAAGCTGCCTTTTGTACTCTGTGTCTTCTCCATGTCCAGGGGCACCTAACTAGATTCATTCACCAGTCTCTTTGCAGTTCAGGGTAGCCTGTGACTGGATCTGGTGATTACGATGTTGACACAAGTCGGGCCTGGCTTTGTCCTCTCCCATCTCCCCCATGGTCCCATCTCCCCTATGGTATCCCCCTGGCCCTTTTCTCTTTCTGAGCAGCTGGAATGAAACACCTTGAGGAAGGCCTTGGAAGCCAAGTGTGCAAGAGACAGCAAGTTCTCTGAATGACTACAGCCAAGAGGAAGGCCCCACTGACTGTTCAGCTGACACTGTCTCAGCTATCTCAAAGTTTGGCCATTTTTTAATAGCAGTAAGTAGTTCTGTGACTAATATATTGGGTTTCTGTCACGTGAAACAAATCCTAAGAACATAGGGATTGTTAAGAACATTTTGACACCAAGAATGGCATAAGAATGGTATACATGCATTGACAAAAATGATTTGGGAAGACATTACTCACTACTCAGAAAGCAGCTCCTCCACAGAGCAGAAGGCTTGCTCCACTGGGTAGGGCAGGTGCAACAAAAGAAGCCAGCATGTCTGATATCCTCACCTCTGCCTGACACCACATCCCAGCCCATCCACAGGTGAAGAAAAAAAGGTGAATCTGGTCCTTCTCTCTTTAAGTTGCCCAACTTTGCTGCTGGAGAAACTCCACTCACTGGGGTACCGTACTTAGTTTAGACTGTCATTTTCTAAGTGGCCAGGGTAACCTGACAGTGTTCCCATAAGGTTCAAATTTTATTTAATTTCTAAAATAAAATATGTTCCATCTAGGTGAGCAGGAAGTCAAGTCTGTCCTCAGGAGCTTCCTCATGGAAAATCTCCAAGGGACTCAATGTGATGCACTCTGACCCATGAGCCACGTGCTCCCTGCCTGCCAGGAGGGCAGGAGCCCAGATTCTCTCTGCCTCCACCTCCATAGCCCAGACCTCCAGACAGCCCCGCCCTGGGCTTCGTCCATCCATCCCCACTGGCTGCCCCAGCAGACACCTATAGCTGCAGGGGAACTTGAGAATGAGGGCATCTGGAAGAAAGTCTGCCCCACCTCAACAATGTCCACAGCTTGCATCAGCTGGTCTGAGTATTCTGCAGTTTTTAAATAACAAGATGCCTGATAAAACAGATCCTGGCCACATACTCACTGGGCAAACCAAGCATTCTACACACTTGCTACTTCAGTGGCGACCAAAAAGGAGGTGGTGGTGGTGGCTGCTGCTGTACAAGGGAGGACTACATTGGCTGCTGTCAACACATTGATTGACTGCCATCAAGAATGAGCAGGGGCAGGTGCCAGTTAAGATTAAAATGTCGAGGAGGAGGAGCCAAGATGTCCGAATAGGAACAGCTCCGGTCTACAGCTCCCAGCGTGAGCGACGCAGAAGACGGGTGATTTCTGCATTTCCATCTGAGGTACCGGGTTCATCTCACTAGGGAGTGCCAGACAGTGGGCGCAGGCCAGTGTGTGTGCGCACCGTGCGCGAGCCGAAGCAGGGCGAGGCATTGCCTCACCTGGGAAGCGCAAGGGGTCAGGGAGTTCCCTTTCCGAGTCAAAGAAAGGGGTGACGGACGCACCTGGAAAATCGGGTCACTCCCACGCGAATATTGCGCTTTTCAGACCGGCTTAAGAAACGGCGCACCACGAGACTATATCCCACACCTGGCTCAGAGGGTCCTACGCCCACGGAATCTCGCTGATTGCTAGCACAGCAGTCTGAGATCAAACTGCAAGGCGGCAGCGAGGCTGGGGGAGGGGCGCCCACCATTGCCCAGGCTTGCTTAGGTAAACAAAGCAGCCAGGAAGCTCGAACTGGGTGGAGCCCACCACAGCTCAAGGAGGCCTGCCTGCCTCTGTAGGCTCCACCTCTGGGGGCAGGGCACAGACAAACAAAAAGACAGCAGTAACCTCTGCAGACTTAAGTGTCCCTGTCTGACAGCTTTGAAGAGAGCAGTGGTTCTCCCAGCACGCAGCTGGAGATCTGAGAACGGGCAGACTGCCTCCTCAAGTGGGTCCCTGACCCCTGACCCCCGAGCAGCCTAACTGGGAGGCACCCCCCAGCAGGGGCACACTGACACCTCACACGGCAGGGTATTCCAACAGACCTGCAGCTGAGGGTCCTGTCTGTTAGAAGGAAAACTAACAACCAGAAAGGACATCTACACCGAAAACCCATCTGTACATCACCATCATCAAAGACCAAAAGTAGATAAAACCACAAAGATGGGGAAAAAACAGAACAGAAAAACTGGAAACTCTAAAACGCAGAGCGCCTCTCCTCCTCCAAAGGAACGCAGTTCCTCACCAGCAACAGAACAAAGCTGGATGGAGAATGATTTTGACGAGCTGAGAGAAGAAGGCTTCAGACGATCAAATTACTCTGAGCTATGGGAGGACATTCAAACCAAAGGCAAAGAAGTTGAAAACTTTGAAAAAAATTTAGAAGAATGTATAACTAGAATAACCAATACAGAGAAGTGCTTAAAGGAGCTGATGGAGCTGAAAACCAAGGCTCGAGAACTACGTGAAGAATGCAGAAGCCTCAGGAGCCGATGCGATCAACTGGAAGAAAGGGTATCAGCAATGGAAGATGAAATGAATGAAATGAAGTGAGAAGGGAAGTTTAGAGAAAAAAGAATAAAAAGAAATGAGCAAAGCCTCCAAGAAATATGGGACTATGTGAAAAGACCAAATCTACGTCTGATTGGTGTACCTGAAAGTGATGCGGAGAATGGAACCAAGTTGGAAAACACTCTGCAGGATATTATCCAGGAGAACTTCCCCAATCTAGCAAGGCAGGCCAATGTTCAGATTCAGGAAATACAGAGAACGCCACAAAGATACTCCTCGAGAAGAGCAACTCCAAGACACATAATTGTCAGATTCACCAAAGTTGAAATGAAGGAAAAAATGTTAAGGGCAGCCAGAGAGAAAGGTCGGGTTACCCTCAAAGGAAAGCCCATCAGACTAACAGCGGATCTCTCGGCAGAAACCCTACAAGCCAGAAGAGAGTGGGGGCCAATATTCAACATTCTTAAAGAAAAGAATTTTCAACCCAGAATTTCATATCCAGCCAAACTAAGCTTCATAAGTGAAGGAGAAATAAAATACTTTATAGACAAGCAAATGCTGAGAGATTTTGTCACCACCAGGCCTGCCCTAAAAGAGCTCCTGAAGGAAGTGCTAAACATGGAAAGGAACAACCAGTACCAGCCGCTGCAAAATCATGCCAAAATGTAAAGACCATCGAGACTAGGAAGAAACTGCATCAACTAATGAGCAAAATCACCAGCTAACATCATAATGACAGGATCAAATTCACACATAACAATATTAACTTTAAATATAAATGGACTAAATTCTGCAATTAAAAGACACAGACTGGCAAGTTGGATAAAGAGTCAAGACCCATCAGTGTGCTGTATTCAGGAAACCCATCTCACGTGCAGAGACACACATAGGCTCAAAATAAAAGGATGGAGGAAGATCTACCAAGCAAATGGAAAACAAAAAAAGGCAGGGGTTGCAATCCTAGTCTCTGATAAAACAGACTTTAAACCAACAAAGATCAAAAGAGACAAAGAAGGCCATTACATAATGGTAAAGGGATCAATTCAACAAGAGGAGCTAACTATCCTAAATACTTATGCACCCAATACAGGAGCACCCAGATTCATAAAGCAAGTCCTGAGTGACCTACAAAGAGACTTAGACTCCCACACATTAATAATGGGAGACTTTAACACCCCACTGTCAACATTAGACAGATCAACGAGACAGAAAGTCAACAAGGATACCCAGGAATTGAACTCAGCTCTGCACCAAGCGGACCTAATAGGCATCTACAGAACTCTCCACCCCAAATCAACAGAATATACATTTTTTTCAGCACCACACCACACCTATTCCAAAATTGACCACATAGTTGGAAGTAAAGCTCTCCTCAGCAAATGTAAAAGAACAGAAATTATAACAAACTATCTCTCAGACCACAGTGCAATCAAACTAGAACTCAGGATTAAGAATCTCACTCAAAGCCGCTCAACTACATGGAAACTGAACAACCTGCTCCTGAATGACTACTGGGTACATAACGAAATGAAGGCAGAAATAAAGATGTTCTTTGAAACCAACGAGAACAAAGACACCACATACCAGAATCTCTGGGACGCATTCAAAGCAGTGTGTAGAGGGAAATTTATAGCACTAAATGCCTACAAGAGAAAGCAGGAAAGATCCAAAATTGACACCGTAACATCACAATTAAAAGAACTAGAAAAGCAAGAGCAAACACATTCAAAAGCTAGCAGAAGGCAAGAAATAACTAAAATCAGAGCAGAACTGAAGGAAATAGAGACACAAAAAACCCTTCAAAAAATCAATGAATCCAGGAGCTGGTTTTTTGAAAGGATCAACAAAATTGATAGACCGCTAGCAAGACTAATAAAGAAAAAAAGAGAGAAGAATCAAATAGACACAATAAAAAATGATAAAGGGGATATCACCACCGATCCCACAGGAATACAAACTACCATCAGAGAATACTACAAACACCTCTACGCAAATAAACTAGAAAATCTAGAAGAAATGGATACATTCCTCGACACATACACTCTCCCAAGACTAAACCAGGAAGAAGTTGAATCTCTGAATAGACCAATAACAGGCTCTGAAATTGTGGCAATAATCAATAGTTTACCAACCAAAAAGAGTCCAGGACCAGATGGATTCACAGCCGAATTCTACCAGAGGTACAAGGAGGAACTGGTACCATTCCTTCTGAAACTATTCCAATCAATAGAAAAAGAGGGAATCCTCCCTAACTCATTTTATGAGGCCAGCATCATTCTGATACCAAAGCCGGGCAGAGACACAACCAAAAAAGAGAATTTTAGACCAATATCCTTGATGAACATTGATGCAAAAATCCTCAATAAAATACTGGCAAACCGAATCCAGCAGCACATCAAAAAGCTTATCCACCATGATCAAGTGGGCTTCATCCCTGGGATGCAAGGCTGGTTCAATATACGCAAATCAATAAATGTAATCCAGCATATAAACAGAGCCAAAGACAAAAACCACATGATTATCTCAATAGATGCAGAAAAAGCCTTTGACAAAATTCAACAACCCTTCATGCTAAAAACTCTCAATAAATTAGGTATTGATGGGATGTATTTCAAAATAATAAGAGCTATCTATGACAAACCCACAGCCAATATCATACTGAATGGGCAAAAACTGGAAGCATTCCCTTTGAAAACTGGCACAAGACAGGGATGCCCTCTCTCACCGCTCCTATTCAACATAGTGTTGGAAGTTCTGGCCAGGGCAATCAGGCAGGAGAAGGAAATAAAGGGTATTCAATTAGGAAAAGAGGAAGTCAAATTGTCCCTGTTTGCAGACGACATGATTGTTTATCTAGAAAACCCCATCGTCTCAGCCCAAAATCTCCTTAAGCTGATAAGCAACTTCAGCAAAGTCTCAGGATACAAAATCAATGTACAAAAATCACAAGCATTCTTATACACCAACAACAGACAAACAGAGAGCCAAATCATGGGTGAACTCCCATTCACAATTGCTTCAAAGAGAATAAAATACCTAGGAATCCAACTTACAAGGGATGTGAAGGACCTCTTCAAGGAGAACTACAAACCACTGCTCAAGGAAATAAAAGAGGACACAAACAAATGGAAGAACATTCCATGCCCATGGGTAGGAAGAATCAATATCGTGAAAATGGCCATACTGCCCAAGGTAATTTACAGATTCAATGCCATCCCCATCAAGCTACCAATGACTTTCTTCACAGAATTGGAAAAAACTACTTTAAAGTTCATATGGAACCAAAAAAGAGCCCGCATCGCCAAGTCAATCCTAAGCCAAAAGAACAAAGCTGGAGGCATCACACTACCTGACTTCAAACTATACTACAAGGCTACAGTAACCAAAACAGCATGGTACTGGTACCAAAACAGAGATATAGATCAATGGCACAGAACAGAGCCCTCAGAAATAATGCCGCATATCTACAACTATCTGATCTTTGACAAACCTGAGAAAAACAAGCAATGGGGAAAGGATTCCCTATTTAATAAATGGTGCTGGGAAAACTGGCTAGCCATATGTAGAAAGCTGAAACTGGATCCCTTCCTTACACCTTATACAAAAATCAATTCAAGATGGATTAAAGATTTAAACGTTAAACCTAAAACCATAAAAACCCTAGAAGAAAACCTAGGCATTACCATTCAGGACATAGGCGTGGGCAAGGACTTCATGTCCAAAACACCAAAAGCAATGGCAACAAAAGACAAAATTGACAAATGGGATCTAATTAAACTAAAGAGCTTCTGCACAGCAAAAGAAACTACCATCAGAGTGAACAGGCAACCTACAACATGGGAGAAAATTTTCGCAACCTACTCGTCTGACAAAGGGCTAATATCCAGAATCTACAATGAACTCAAACAAATTTACAAGAAAAAAACAAACAACCCCATCAAAAAGTGGGTGAAGGACATGAACAGACACTTCTCAAAAGAAGACATTTATGCAGCCAAAAAACACATGAAGAAATGCTCATCATCACTGGCCATCAGAGAAATGCAAATCAAAACCACTATGAGATATCATCTCACACCAGTTAGAATGGCAATCATTAAAAAGTCAGGAAACAACAGGTGCTGGAGAGGATGCGGAGAAATAGGAACACTTTTACACTGTTGGTGGGACTGTAAACTAGTTCAACCATTGTGGAAGTCAGTGTGGCGATTCCTCAGGGATCTAGAACTAGAAATACCATTTGACCCAGCCATCCCATTACTGGGTATATACCCAAAGGACTATAAATCATGCTGCTATAAAGACACATGCACACGTATGTTTATTGCGGCACTATTCACAATAGCAAAGACTTGGAACCAACCCAAATGTCCAACAATGATAGACTGGATTAAGAAAATGTGGCACATATACACCATGGAATACTATGCAGCCATAAAAAATGATGAGTTCATATCCTTTGTAGGGACATGGATGAAATTGGAAACCATCATTCTCAGTAAACTATCGCAAGAACAAAAAACCAAACACCGCATATTCTCACTCATAGGTGGGAATTGAACAATGAGATCACATGGACACAGGAAGGGGAATATCACACTCTGGGGACTGTGGTGGGGTCGGGGGAGGGGGGAGGGATAGCATTGGGAGATATACCTAATGCTAGATGATACATTAGTGGGTGCAGTGCACCAGCATGGCACATGTATACATATGTAACTAACCTGCACAATGTGCACATGTACCCTAAAACTTAGAGTATAATTAAAAAAAAAAAAAAAAAGAAAAAGGAAAAACTTGGAATCAACCTAAATGTCCCATCAATAGATGCATGAATAAAGAAAATGTGGCAAATACACAAAATAAAACACTATTCAGCATTTAAAAAGAAGAAAATTCTGACATTTGTGACAACATGGAGGAACCTGGAGAACATTGTCACTGAAGTAAGCCAAGCACAGAAGACAATTATCACTTACATACGGAATCTGAAATAATTGAACTCACACAAGTAGAGAATACAATGGTGGTTACCAGGGACTGGAGGAGAGGAGGTGTATTGGGGTGATGTGGATACAAAATTTCAGTGAATACAAAAATACAAAATTTTCAGTGGATACAAAATTTCAATTAGATAGGAGGAATAAGTTCAAGAGGTCTATTGCAAAACATTGTGACTATGGGGAATAACAATGTTTTTTTTTAATTACTAAGAAAAATTTCTAAGTGTTCTCACCACAAAATCATAAATATGTGAGTAATGCATATATTAATTGGCTAGATTTAGCCTTTTCACAATGTATACATATTTCAAAGTAACATGTTGTACACAATAATGTATATAATTTTTGTCATTGTAAAAATAGATAAATCAATATTTTTAAAATAAAAAAAAAAAAAAGATTAAAGTGTCATTTGAACAACACAAGAGGCCCAGCAGAACAATGCCCCACAGAGCTCTGTTATCTGTCTTTTGCTGAGACATATCCTCCAAATATCTTGCACAGAGAGCAAAGCCATTTCATTAGTTTCAAAAGTGCATTCTTAACAAGTGTGGTGTAGAGGCTGAGCATGGAGGTGCTAAATATTTAAAACAGAGTAAAACAGCCTTGTTGGTTTCCATGTTTGTTTTTTTTTCTTTTAGCACACCTGGATCTTCTTCTTTTTCCTCCTTCTCCTCTTCTTTTTCCTATGGAAATGTACTATTTGTGTGATAATAACATAGGCTTTATTAAGAAGCAGTAAACAATCAAAAACTAACCAAATCGAAAATCAAATCAAAACGAATGAAGTCTGGGTTACAGCAAGCTTTGCTAAGGGCTTTACTACCTTCCAATGGAAACGTGCTCCTCCCACACCCACACTGCAAGGACCATCCTTACAAAAACAGAAACCAAGAAACTCAGTTTGATGAGGTTAGGCGTAATCTCCACTTTCAACAAATCACTTAGAATTAAAATAATTTTTTTATTATGGAAATTTGTCAAACATAAAAGTGAAAAAAAAAAATAGCATCATAAGCCCCATGGATGCCTCTCCCAGTTTTAACAATTATCCAATCATTGCCAATATCGTTTCAACTGTGTCCCCAGCCGGCTCCTCTCCCCTTTCTATAGCCTCGTTGTGAATTCCAGAGAATATCCATACAGATTTCAGGCTGTATTGTATCAAGAATTATTATTTTTTTAAATCAACCTAGGCTTTGCTTCATGAAACAGAGATGACCTAAACCAAGGTAAGAGGGCAGTTGACTCAGCAGCGCCCCCTGGAGAGCAGCATGCTCCTTTAGGCCAAGCTATTGAAAAGACCCCATGTGTGCTTGCTGTTGCTCTTACCAAGAGGTAGTGTCTATCTTCCCTCCTCTTCAATCTAGGCAACCTTGTGAGTTGCTTTGACCAAAAAAGGCAGCAGGGATGTGCTGATTTTAGATCCCTAGGGGCTGGAAGCTTCCATTTCACTCTCAGGCTCTTAGAAGCCAGCCACCATAAAACATAAAATATTCATGTTGGCCCCTGCGTTATGAGAAACTCTGCTGGGAGCATGGGGGTGTCCCGTTGGAGCCCACGAAGCCTCTGCCCTACCTTCCTACTTAGGTCTTTCCCAGCTATTTCTGAAGAGCCCAGGGAATCCACACAACAGTGAGAAGAAGACATCGTTGCTGTTAAATCACTAAATGTATGGTCTTAGGAAAATATTTTCAAATGGCAGAAATACAAATGTTGTATGAAATTTTAACATGACTCGGTCAAGATTCCACAAAGAAAGTGGAGATCAAAAGAAATGTAAATATACAAGGAGCAGAATGGACATAATCGTGCAACATGGCGCAACCGCAAGCAGCATAGATCCAGGTGTCACCTTGGCCGGTTCCGTCCTGGCCCCGCAGCTCGCCACTGCCGGGAGGATGGAAAGTTGACCTCAGTTTTCTCATCTGTAAAATGCAAATTATCCTGCATACCATGTAGGCCTGTCATGAGTATCGAATAAAATAATGAATAATAGACATTTCAAATGAGAAGAGTGGAACTGATGATAACATGAAAGGAAAAGGAGAGATTAAGGTAAGAAAATGGGAGGAGACAAAGCAGAGAAATACAAATAATAAACATTACAAACAAAAAAGGTAATATCATTACAGAAGTAAAGAAAAATTAGCCTAAGAAAATATTATGTAAACCTCTGAACAAATAAATTTGAAAATCTTGAAGAAATAACTGTTTTCTGATCATCAGTTTTAACCCAAGAAAAAAATAGAAATCCTGAATAGACAAACTAGAAGGTATCAAAAATATTGTCAAAGCACCACTTTCAACAAAGACACAAAAACAAATTATTTAACTTTTTTTTTCCTTTTTATCATTCAAATAGCTGATACTTTTTGCAACAGTTTTAAAACACAGAGCATGAAATCAGTGGATATTGGTTTCTATTTATTAATTCTGCTTTGAGATTATTTCTGTTCCTTGTTTTATTTCCTTAGTTTCATAATATTCCTTTTAAATTCGATTTTGTTGTTTTATCTTAGAAGCGTGATCTCTTGCTTTATTGAGTTTATGTTCTCATAAAAGTATCCTATAGAAAGATAAGTATTTATTATAGTTTGTGGAAATTTCTTCTGATCTTGAATTATTAGTTTCCCAGACTAGTTTTTACTTAAATGATGTATAATAGATTGTGCACCTCTTTTACAATCTATAAGAACAAAAACAGTTTGGAAAACGAGTATACTGACAGGAAATGTATGATGTGAAACACATATTTAAAATGTATGATAATTAAAATTATATTTTGCAGGCATAAGAATAAACAGCTGATTGGTTGAAAAATTTCTTTGCAGTATTTGCTGTGTGTACCCATCAATCCCGCCATCCATCTGTCTGCCCATCCATCTATAACTTATCTCTTAAATGTTTTATGTAACGTCTAAATACCATACTGCTACCTTATTTCCTTCTGGGAATCCCTTTCTGCCTGAACTCTCACTCCTGTGATATTTTCTGAGTCTCTATAGAGAGTAACTTTTGCTTTTCCCTGGTAGATCTGAAATGGAAAGGAGGTTAGCTGTGGAGTTGCTCTGGGGAGCCTACAGCTCCCAGGCACCACCATGTAGAGCCATTTTGGAGGACAGCAGAGCTGTGAGTTGGAGCATGAAAGGATCTTGGTGTTTAGATTCTGAGTTCGGGTGTGCCTGGAGCCAACCCTGTCCCTTAGCTTTCCAATTAGATTGAACAATACAAGTTTTTTGAAAAAATTATGTATTTTTTTTTTTACTTAAGGCAGTTTGAGTTACCTTGGTTCTAACTGCTATAGTTTTATTTTCTGAACTTATCTTGAAAAAAACAGCTTTATTGAGATATAATCTGCAGACCACTTATGTAAAGTGCTTTTAGCTTTTAGTGTAGCCACGTTCTTGTGCATCCATCATCGCAATTGTAGAATATCTTCACGATACTGTATTCCTAAGCTATGGTCCTCCCAGTCTCCAGCCCTGAACCACTCCTATTCCCATCCCTAGGGAACCACTAACCAACTTTCTGTTTCTATAGATTTGGAGCCATACGGTATGTGGTTTCTTGTAGGGTGTACTTCATTCTTTTATATTGCCAATTAATATTCTATTGTATCAATGTATCACATTTCATTTATGCATTCATCAGTTGATAGACATTTGAAGAAGAGTGAAAAGACCCACAAATGAGAACTTTGCTAGTGCTCTACTTCTTATATCTTCTTTTTATGCTAAGCTGCCCCTCTGGTGCTCAAACTAACCAGGTCTACAGTGAACATCTATCATTTGGATGCAAAGTTCTTACCTGGGTCCCTCTTTGACTGCCAAGAACAGAGGAGGTGTCAGAGACGACCTTATCAGCTTCTGTGGAAGCAAAGCTCCACCTTTTGAAGATTTAGACCCCAGAGTTCACAATTCTAAAATATTAATGATAGGTTTTGAGGACCATGCTGTTGGTGCTCTTTCCAAAAAGCAGACTCTGCTTAACTAGTAATGGCCATGTGTCCATTTGGAAGACACCACCCATCCAAACCTAAACACAAACAGATTACTAATCAGGCAGTCCTAAATATTTTAATTCATTTATCAATTCTTATATATTTTTTCCATTCCCACTCTACCCTCAACACCTGGGATCGTTGACAGTTGTATGGGAAAATAATAATGCAAGAATACTAACGTTTCCCATTCACATCTCATTCACACCTCTGCTGAGGTGTGAGCAATCATTCAAGCTTGACCACCAAATGCTGTGAAACACGTTAGGGGAGAGGCAGGTAAGGTGAACTGCTCCAAAGAACCCTGCTCAACAGACAAAGGCGGTAATCAGAGAAGAAGTTCACATGATAACCCTTTTTCTCTTCCAGAATGCTCTGGTGGGTTACAATTTATTGAGGCAAAACACCCCTCGTGAGCTTCCTCTCGGTTTTAAACATCAGTTTCTCAAAATAGTGTAGGCATATTAACTATCAATAAATACTTCTTAGGTTTTTTGATCCCTTCTAACACATCTAACATTTGTCCGCCTTTGGAGCTCGGATCTGTTGTTTGTCTGGCACAAGTCAGCTTCTGGGTAAGGCATGCACATTTTATGGCACCTTATATAGACCAGTGAAATAAATACACGAGATGCAAAGCTCAAAGTGATATATTCCAGATCTGACATCTTACCATGGCTTTGAGCTTCAGGCACTGACAAATATTCCACACGTACCAACTCTCCCAGAGGAGGAAATATAATGATGTTTATGTTATGCAATATGTAAAATATTTATACGTTGACTTCAACACAAACTGACTATCATTTAAATCAGGAGGTGCCGCTCACAATAAAGGCAAGTGACATTATCTGCACCACTCTGTGTAGGCAAAGGGGAACTCAGTACAGCAAATGATCCATTTATGTACAGAATAAGATTCCACCAATGTCAGTGTTTTAAAGAATAACAGTTAGGCCGGGCGCGGTGGCTCACGCCTGTAATCCCAGCACTTTGGGAGGCCGAGGCGAGTGGATCATGAGGTCAGGAGATCGAGACCATCCTGGCTAACAAGGTGAAACCCCGTCTCTACTAAAAATACAAAAAATTAGCCGGGCGCGGTGGCGGGCGCCTGTAGTCCCAGCTACTCGGGAGGCTGAGGCAGGAGAATGGCGTGAACCCGGGAAGCGGAGCTTGCAGTGAGCCGAGATTGCGCCACTGCAGTCCGCAGTCCGGCCTGGGCGACAGAGCGAGACTCCGTCTCAAAAAAAAAAAAAAAAAAAAAAAAAGAATAACAGTTATGGGAAAGGTTTTTAATGTGCTTGCTTCTTCTAGAATTGTTAAATTACCAAGAAGGGCAAAATGTATGCCTTCCTGACTATTGCCCTTATCTTTAGAATGGGAAAGTCTTTTCTTCTGACAAACCATTTTTTCATGAATAACCTCTTCAATAGCATTTAGTTATCATTATTAATAAATTGTTACAGTAATAAATTATATTTTAAACATTTTATTAAATGCAGTTCTCATGTACTTAAAATAAATTGCAAAGCCGGCTTTTTTCATGGTATTTAATATATATAGTATGACACAATGTGCTTTTAATATATTTAATGTTATATACTTTAAAATCTAAGTGTGTTGTACTTTTATGGAACTTACTTTATATTCCTTTCTATATGGAAAATGTATTACTTTTTAATATGGGTTCATTGTGCAGTGCCATTAGGAAATAGAGCACGGTTCTTAAAAGTGGTAACTTTCAGAATTTAAGTACATTAAGTGTGGGGGAGGGGAAGAAACTGCATTATGGTAACATCAAGCATCTAATTGAAACTGACAAAAGCAAGGGGAGAAATCTCACACTGACATTGTAATGGCATTCACATTTGCATTGACATCATAACAGTTCTAATGCAAGCACATGAGACACTTCCACGGGCAAAAAAAGACTTCCCCTGACACTCCACCACTTTTGCACTTTCTTTGGACATGCTATCACTGTCATTCAAGATAAAGATAAAAATATTGTGAAAAACATCTTCAGTTCATGCTTATTAGATACTCTCCACAACTGAAATATGGTGTCCATTTTTAAGAGCTTCTTATTTTTAAGCCTCAAAAACACATTGTTTGACTCTCCAGGAAGAATGCATCACCAAATTCTCAATCACTTAAAATTGTTTGGTGAAAAAGAAATTGAAAATTGATTTTGCAGAATTTTTTTTTCCTTTGGCATAGCTCCCTAGGGCAAAAAAAAAAGGGGACTGCTTCCTTTGAAGCTGTGGTCAATCTTTCTGGTCAGAAGGTATGAAATGGTGAAATCAGATATAGGTGAAAAGTGCCCAGATGAGGCAAATAATTGATTAATTTAAAGTGAGCCACTGCATCTCATGATTATAATTACTAACCAAATTACTAACCAATCCCTGACCAAATAAGCTAGGGAATCATATTTCCAGGCTGAAATTCTGGATCTCAGTCTTCACTCTCTTGCCAGCCTAGATGGTTACCAGGTTCCTCCCCTGGCGCCTGTCTTAGAATGCGGTCAGCAATCCTCCCCTCCCAGCTGGGGCCCCCTGCCTGGTCAGCCACGCTCCCTACCTGCTGATCTCTGCCACTAGCCCCTGGTCTGGCCCCTGCTGGCTACTCCTTGACTCCCCTGGTGCCCCATTTGGCTGCAGGACCAGACGTTTCTCCAACACCAGAAAGTGGGTCTGACCTCCTAATGTCTGTCCCTTTCCTGAATCTACCTCTCAATCTAGACCCCATCTCCTCTCCCATGTCACCTATCACAAATAGGACACCAGGCTTTGTTTGGTCGTCTCCTCTCAAATGACACAAGCAGGGTCATCTAGGCCTTCAGGACATTTTCATGTCAACAGGTCAGCTCCCTGTAGAGAAGGTGAATTTTTCTCTCATTTGTTGATTCCACATCCATTCAAAGATACGTGGTGAGCACCAGCTCCGAGTCTGACTCTACTGCCCAATTCATCAGCAAATAAGGACCCACCCCCTGCAATCAAGGAGTCCAACCATGAGCAAGTAACCAACCTGCGAGTCAATGATCTCCAATGCTAATAACACCATGAAAAGGACAGAATGGAGAAATGGGGTTAAGTCAGAAAGAAGGACACTTTCTTCACTCATCAGAGAAAGTTCCTCTCAGGTCAAAGAGACGCCGGGAGACTGAAGAAGACGTCAGGTGGGGATGCCTGAGGAAGTGGGAATCCAGTTTGGTTATGGCAGGGATGGCCAGGCAGGACCTTGGGGAGAGCCTGACAAGGCCTATGGGTCACGTTCCGGAGTGTGGAAGTCACCAAAGGATTTAAATAGCAAATCCCAGCTGGGGGTGGTGGCTCACACCTGGAATCCCAAGCACTTTGGGACGTCGAAGTGGGTGGATCACTTGAGGCCAGGAGTTCAAGACCAGCCTAGCCAACATGGCAAAACCCCACCTCTACTAAAAATACAAAAATTAGCCAGGTCTGGTAGCGTGCACCTGTAATTCCACTACTCAGGAGGCTGAGGCAGGAGAATTGCTTGAATCCGGGAGGCAGAGGTTGCAGTGAGCATGCCACTGCACTCCAGGCTGGGCGACAGAGTGAAACACTGTCTCAGATAAATAAATAAGTAAATAAATAAATAAACAGTGCATCCCCTGTTCTGATGGGGTCTGGCTGCTGAATGAAGAGCAGCTTGAAAGGGGCCAAGAGTGGAATTTGCAGGAACAATGAAGGTGGCAACGCAGCCATCAGGGAGAGAGAGAGGAAGCCCTAGACAAGACTTGTCAAAAAGAAGGAGGAGTTGAAGATGACACCAAGATTCCTGTCTGAGTCTGGGTCGGATGACACACCACGGAGATGAGAGAGCCTGAGCCTGGCTGAGGTGGGGGGCACAGCACGCACAGAGGTTACGGAGGCACAGCACGTGTATGCACATGTGTTTATGCATGTGTGCCTGTGAGAGAGGAGGGCAGGGATCATGCTCTCCTTTTGGGAAGTGCTATATTTGAGATGTTTCTGCAAACTCCAAGTACAGATGTCAAATAGACAATGGGATGAATAAGTCTGAAGCTTAGAGGGAAGGTTTGTGAAAGATCATCATGGCAGAGCCATCAGCATATGGACGATGCTTAAAACCCAGTTAAAAAAAAAATCCTAAGAGAGAGAGAGCACACACAAACAGGCAAGCGCATAGAGTAAGAACACAGGTCCCAAGACCTAAATCTCAGAAACTCTAAAATGTGGATATCAGGCTGAAGAGGAAGAGTCCAAAAACAGAGTAGCAAGGAAGAAGAGAATGAGAAAATCTTGGCCAGGCGCAGTGGCTCATGCCTGTAATCCCAGCATTTTGGGAGGCCAAGGCGGGAGGATCACTTGAGGTCAGGAGTTTGAGGCCAGCCTGGCCAACATGTTGAAACCCTGTCTATACTAAAAATACAAAAATTAGCCAGGTATGGTCATGGGCACCTGTAATCCCAGCTACTCAGGAAGTCAAGGCAAGAGAATCGCTTGAACCCAGGAGACAGAGGCTGCAGTGAGCCAAGGTCTTGCCACTGCACACCAGCCTGGGTGACAGAGTGAGACTCCATCTCAAAAAACCCAAATAACATAAAGTAAGAAAATCTCAAGGAGTTTTTCAAGTAAAAAGGCCAACGGTATGAAATGCAGAGGAAAGGCCCAGGGTAATGAGTCAGAGGTGGGGCTTCTCAGAGTGGAGCACAGGATTCATCTACGGCCTTCATAAGTCTTTGACTGGTGTTGAGAGCTGGGGAGGGATGCCCCAAACTGCAGAAGGCTGAGGGGTCATGGGGAGGGGAGCGGTGGAGTTCTCGTGTGTGGAAATCTCTTGAGGAGGTGAGTTCAGGAGGGGAGTGGAGAAACAGGACTGTAGCCGAGGGAAAATATGGCATCTAGAAGCTTTTGTCTGATTTTAGTGACTTATGGGTTTTGGTACATTTGAATTGCATTGAACGTTGCAGGGCTTTCTCATACAGCACCCAAGTTGGCTCCGTGAACACCCCTGTGGTAGATAAGGCATGCATTCGTCCCAGTTTACTGAAGAGAAAACTGAAACGTGGAGAGAGGAAGAAGCACTAGCACGCATGAAACATCGGACGGGACCCCCAAAGACAGACCCACATCCCGACATCCAGAACCTCGGAACATGACCTGATGTGGAAAAGTGGTTTTCACAGATGTGATTGAGCATTTTGCGATAAGATCATCCCGGATGATCCAGGTGGGGGCTAAATCCAATGATAAGTGTCCTTAGAAGAAATAGAAAAGAAGAAAAAAAAAAAGAAGAAGAAAGGAGAAACAGAGAAGAACACCATTGGATCACAGAACCAGAGGGTGGAGCAATATGGCCACAAGCCCAGGAAAGCCTGGAGCCCCCAAAGGTAAGAGGTAAGGCAGGATCCTCCCACAGAGCCTTTGGGGAAGCATGGCTCGGCCATACTTTCATTTCAAACTGCATTGATGTGTCTGGTGTTGCAAAGGTCTTAGCAAATAAAGGCTTACACCATAGCTACCCTGCCTCTGATCCCTGGAACAACACCCTTTCTAATGACTATTTCTCAAGCCCCCTGCATGGGGTGTCATGGCAGGGCACAGCCATTGCCTCTGTTCTTCAGAAAGGAAGTTTGTGGACAATGGGAAGATGAACGGCAGCGTTGTCAGGCGCTTGTCAGCACAATGGGCAGGGAGAACGCAGAATCCAGTAGGCAGCAGGAGAATCACCACCTTATTCTAGTGGGAAAACTTACCAAGAATAAGGACATGGTTCATAATCTACCTTGAAACTTTAAAAAAATAGTAATTTTACATGTTTAAAAAGTTGACATAGTTTTTAGTTCTCCCACACTCATAGTTTAATAAAAAGATGGTCTATGTACCAAATAAATAAAAATAGAGGTTGAGTTAATCCATTTATTTATTTTATTTTCTTTCATTCTCTCACTCAATGAAGACCAATTGGGTACAAAATGTTTCAAGTATCCAATTAGGCACTAGGAATAAAAGCAAAGAAGGATAAAAGACAATTCCTGTCATTTGAAACCCTACGTAGAAAGAGAAAGACATATGAAGTGGAAATATTCCTTCAAGTTTTTAAATTCATGTGTTTCAGTTTCATAGATAATGATAAAAGATGTACTAAACAAAATATGTAAAATAGAGCATTATGGCTTTAGCCAATCAAGGTAGAGACTAGTAAACTCATTTAGTGAAAATGAGTCAAGGGAAATATATTGTCATTAGTGTGTATTTCTTGTGATAGTTTGGATTTCCAGATAATTCTGGTCTGATGTCATTCTATGACAGGAAGAGTGAGTCTTAATGGCAAGAATAAAGGACAGGAATGTGGGCCAGGAATTGATCCATCATAAGAGGAAGGGCTAAGGAAGAGGTCGGGCCCCCAGAGAAAGGAGTGGAAGGAAGGGAAGTCATTTCCAGGCTGCTCGGGTGTTTGCCCTCTGCAAAGACCAAGGCCCTGCCTTCAGTCTTCCACCAAAACAGCAGCTCAGAGAGGGCTCGGACGGGCAACACTGCCAGGTGCTCTGTGTCACAGGGCACAGTGCAGGGTCAGCCTCGCCATGGTCACCCCCGTCACCATCGCCATCCCTGCCACCATCAAACCCTTCCCAGACACTGACGTGCAAAATGAAAGAAAATCTTTTTAAACCTCTGACTTAAATGTTTATCTTCTAGGAAGATAGAACTAAAATGGTGCACGTGTCTGTAGCATTGCCTTGAAAATCATGTTTTGTGGTCTCTCCAGCAGATGGCAAGCCTGTGGTTGATACACTATATCCAATTTATTTTGAAATCCTCACAGAAACCAGCCAGCCTTGTTTGTAGCACAAATGTGTTCAGACATAAGAAGTGGAGTGAATCTAAGATGAAAAGCTGATGATCTGTGGGTTGGGATGACCGTGGGTCATTGATTACTGTATGGACATGGAGGGAGGGTGGTAGGCTTCTGATGGGAAAGAAAATTGTCTTACAAAGGTGGACATGAAGTCGTTTTTGAATCCAAATAAATAAACAACAAAGACCTCAAAAAGCAAGGGTGGGTTGGGGGATATGGAAATAATCTTGAGCATCCCCAAGCTTGTCATGAACTTTTTACAAGTTATTTGGAAAAAAATTAAGCATATTAATTTGAAACTAGAAACCAACTTCTCACTTTTCCATAATCTGAGTAAACTGTTTGAACTTTGAGAGTTGATTTAGCCTTTTGATGTCAAAAATAAACGTCATACTATAAAACATGATATCTATCCATACAACACTCTCAACTATTGCTTTCAGCGTCTCTGCAGCTACCGACCCATCTGCCCATTGATTCCTCCCTCCATCATGCATTTGTTCTCATCCAAAGAACACTTTGCCTTCTGCTCGTTAAGCATGGCACCAGAAGATCTGGTGCAAGATAGATAAGCCACGATCTCTGAGGGCCTCAGACCCATTGAACACTGAACCGT
This sequence comes from Homo sapiens, assembly GCF_000001405.40. Classification (NCBI taxonomy): domain Eukaryota; kingdom Metazoa; phylum Chordata; class Mammalia; order Primates; family Hominidae; genus Homo; species Homo sapiens. Next base: position 75,864,580 of record NC_000018.10, read on the forward strand.
AAATGATTTAGGAAAGCTGCGAGAAGTTATACTATGGGGTTCTTTAAAGGGTCTGAGGCATCATAAACAAGGGAGTGATTGTCTTTGTAATGTGTCAGGGAAATGTTTCGGATTTTCCTGGGATAGAATGTGTGGGCTGGATCTCACAAAAGGAGAGAACAGCATATGCATCAAAGAGCAGAGGGTCTGCCAGGCAGCATTTATCCAGAGAAGCAGAAATGCCTACACATAGTCATAGACAGATGCAGATACATACACACACATACACACATGCATATACACACAGAGGCACAGGCACACAGATGCATACACACAGACACATAGACATGCATGCACAGACATGCACACAGAGACACATAGATGTGCACACACAGATATACACACAGATGCATACATGCATGTACAAATATGTATACACACAGATGCACAGATACACGGACAGGCATACACACATATGTATACACACATACACATATGCACAGAGGCATAGACACAGACACATAGTCATGTTCATACATGCAGACACACACAGAGATGCATACACACATACACATATACACATACATACACACACAGATGCATGCACACAGAGAGGCATATGCACAGACATACACAGATATGCATACACACATACACATATGCACAGAAACACAGATGCACAGCCATACAAAGACACATAGCCATGCTCATACACACAGACACAGATGCATACACACACATACACATATGCATATACACACAGATGCACAAACACACACAGATGCATACACACAGACACATAGACATGCACACATAGACATACACACACAGATGCATACAAACACAGACACACACACATAAACATGCACACACTGATGCATAGAAACACGTATACGTACATTCACGAACATGCATGTGTGTATGTAATTCTTATTAGATGCCTCATACACACACACATTTTTAAGGAGTTGTTATAGGGATTTGGCCATATGTCATTCTGGAGGCTGGTGGAGCAGTATCTGTAGCCTGTTGGCATAGCTGACGCTGAGCTGTAGTCCACGAAGCAGGCAGTGGGGATACGGCTTTCATGGGGACAGCAAGAGCATGTGGAGCCCACAGGCATGAGCCAGGAGACCACAAGACTGGCTGCGGTAGGGTCCTTGTTGCCTCTGCTGTTTATGTGGGTGCTGCAGAAGCCAGAGTTCTCTACCGCAGAGCTAGACACACATACAAGTGTACATGGGCATACATATGTGTGTGTGCCTGTGTCCCACCTGGCCCAGGAGTCAGAGCCTCCCAAGAACGCAGGAGGATCCACAGCTGAGCAGCAGCCTGCAGCTACCTCCCTCCCCGCCCCTACTCCTACCCCATGGGAAACGCAGAAGAAAGGGAATGCGCTACACAGTTGAGCCTGGGCAGGTTGACACATTTCACAGCCACCACTGTGGGTGAAGAGAAGGTGGCTACTGGGTGAGAACTGGCCACTGTGTTGCAGGGATAGTTGGGTTAAACAGATCAGGAAGGGCCTGTGTGCTTGGCAGAGGATCTGGAGGTCAGCCCGGAGCTGTTCACAGGCTCCTAGAAGAGTTTTAAGACATCACCGAGCATGGTCATTTTATAAGTTTTAGAAACGTAAAGTGTTTAGCAATATGGAGGAAGCAATGGAGAGACAGGGGCTGGTGTAGGGAGAGAACTAGATGCTTAATGTGATGGTCAAGGTGAGAAGTTCAAAGGGCTGAATGCGGCTCCGACAGCGGAGATGGACTGGCCGAGCTGCCAGGTCCTCCTTGCAGACAAGCGGCCTTGGGCAAGTTACTGATGCTCCCTCCGCCTCCGTCACCTTGCGGTTAAAAATGGGGAAAACGATAATATTTACACCTGAAGGTTACTGTGAGCATTAAAGGAGATGATCCCTGCAAAGCGTCTTGGCAAGCAGCATTAGACAAATGCTACCCATTTTTGTTTGAACAGACATCAAGCTCCAAACCTTTTGTCTTAGTTGCAATCCTCCTTTCTTCCTCCTGCTAAAAGCCTAGGCATTTGAGACTCTCGGGTCTTTCACCTCAACTAAATCAATACTCAGAGAACAGCCTCGCTGGTGGAGAAGGGAAAGACAAAGTGAGAACTTGAAGTATTGGGGAGAGAGATCTGCTACTGTTTCAAAATATTCCCCCATTGCCTGTCATCTGTGAGATACTGAAGGATCCTAGGAAGGCTTCTGTATTATCACATACATTGATTTTAATTTATTGTATTTTAATTTGTTCACATTCATTATCTATTAATGATCTATAGGGCAATCTTCTATTAAACATCATATTGAGTGAATATCACTTCCCTAAGTAGGTCCTATGATGACAATTCACCAAGGTTTCCAGAAAGCAAAAAAATCTAATTTTGGAAGTATAAATTACTGAAAATATGGAAGTATTAATAGAACCTATTTGTGTGAAATTTTCCATAGTCTACTTTTCCTTAGTTTGTTAAATGTCTGGGCATTTTGAAAGTCATAATGCTTTCTGCCCACTAAATTGTTTTGTATGTCATGGATCTAGATATTTTGGGTGGGCCAGTACAAAAACACTGAAAGTGAATATGAGTATTTTTTTCAAATGTGGTAAATAAGGGATTGTGTTGCCATTCAGAACACCTGGCTTCTAGTACCACCAGGATGGGACACTAGGCAAGTTCCTTAACCCTCCTGGAATTTGCATAGATTTTTCCTGAGATTCTTTGCATCTGTATATTATGCAACTGAGTCAATTCTCAATGTGTACAATGTCAAGGAAAGAGAAGGCATATCCAGGCTTCAGCCCATGCAACCTGTGAGCAGGGACACAGGAGCCATCGCCCAGGTCTGTGTCTTATTAGTGAACCCCTGAGCAAGTTACTTACTCTCTGTAGACCTCACCTTTCCATCAAAAAGAATGAGCATGATAGTCATACACACTTCATAGGGCTGTTATGCTAGCAAATGCTAACTCATAAATGCTTATTGATGTTATTATTTTTGCTTCCCATCTAAGGAAAGATTAACTTTATCGGAATCACTCACTCTCAAGAAGACTGAGTTTATGCTACCTGTAGATAGCAAAAAGGAAGAAAAATTAAGATAACAGTTTTGGGACACCCTGTAGTTTACGAAGATGCCTAACTACTAGTCTATAGCTTAGTCACAGGAGGAAAATGATTTGATTATAATTGGCAAGTATTTTTCCATTTCTTACCTGATCTTTAGTTGGCTAGATATTCCAACATATTAGGTAAAAGCCTAATTGTATAGTAAAATTGTAGAGTAAACTGTACTAACCTTCTTTAAATTAAGCGTTGGCATTTTCTCTCTTTGTCTTCCCGTCTTCCTCATTTAGCTCATTCTTTTTATCAAACATTTTCTAAGTTCTGCATAGCTCTCCAGAACAACAACAAAAAATCTTTATGTTTGGAAAGATCCACCATAGGTTTACAAGGGCTGTAGGAAGCTCTTAAACCACAACATAAGTCCTCCTACAGCCCCAGCTGTGGAAAATTTCACCACTGAGAATGTCGTGCACTGCATTAGTGCATCCGAGTGTGAGGCAGTCTCTCCAAACATGCGAATGTCGCGGTGGCGGTCTCAGCCTTCCCGTGGATCCTTCTACTCTTAGGTCCCTGAGAGTGCAAGCACTTTCAGGAATAGCAGAGGAAGGAGCAATCTGAAAAGTTGGTCTCCTGAGCAGCACAGGCCCCAAAAGGACACAGCAGGGGGAAATTCCAGAAAGCAGGAGAGTTTGTGCAGGAGAGGAGGTCAGCTTTTGAAGGACAGGGTTGGAGGCAAACTACATGCGGTTGAATAATGTCCTTCACATTCACGCTCACCTGGAACCTGTGAATATGACTTTATTTGGAAATAGGGTCTTTGCAGATGTAATCAAATTAAAATGAGATCACACTGGGTTCCAGTGGGCCCAACTCCAATATGAGCGATGTCCTTGCAAGAAGACGAGAGACACAAGTCTGGAGACACAGGGGGGTTTGCCATAGAAAGAGGAGAAAGAAGGACACCAAATTCAGACTTTGAACACTGATTCTCAATGCTGGCATTGACTATTTCTAAACATTATGAATTTCCACAGGATCAGCATTAATTCTATCATCTAGTCCAAACATTACAATTCGCGGAATATACTTTTCCTTTATTGATGAGATATATTAGGATAATAATGTGGTGTATTTTTCACATAAACTATATTTTGAGGCTAATATTATTTAGCAGATGATAAAAGATATGAAAACAGAAAATGCTCAAATAAATCACCCAGTTTTTGAAAAATAAATCATCACTCTTAACTTGTTTTCCATGTTGCAGCCATATCCCATAGCTACACTTTCTCTAAAGCAATCTTGATAGGCATGTAAGGAATGAAAAAAAGTTATTTTGATTCTCCTGTCCCCCTGGTGATTCATGTTTCTTTGTAAACTGAAATGTTGAGAGTCAAATAGATTGTATCAGAAAGAACAAAGTGGTTAAAGAAACAGAAGAGATAGAAAGATCTTGAAAGGTCTGAGGGACTGTTTGTAATGGATGCTATAGAGAGAACACTCTTCTTTAGAAATGTTTCTTTCCTAACACAAAAGAAATAAGAAAAACAGTTTTCAGTGGCCTGCATGACAAGATATAATGTCCCATCATGTCTATTAAGATCTCAGTGGTAATATGGGAGCATTGGCATTTAATAGAAACAGATTCTAGGTCAGGTGGTTTTTTAAAAATAGTTCTTTCCTTGCTTGGAAAGGAATGTGAGTTAGAGAGTAATCCATCAATCTTTTAGAGTGGTTTTAAACTTCTACCAGCCTGGAAAATTTCCCCCATACTTACCAGAAGTAAGACAATGACGTATCTGATGGCACTGAGCTTTAGTCATGAGTTTTATTTGGAAATGCTTTTCAAAGCTTTACTTGCCCTGTCTCAATTCTTTAAAATAGGGCTCATTTTATTGCATCTCTTGTTCTGAAGCTTATATCAATTTGTGTGTCTTGGATATGTGCAATTTTACTACAATTGACATAGATCTTTCTCTCACTGATTTACGGTGTGATAAGCACCATGGAACAGTGTGCTCCTCCTTCCAAGTTTCCAGCATATCCTAGGCCCAAGGCTGGTGGACGTGTGAGAATCTACGGCTTGAAAAATAGCTGTCAGGTTGCCATTCAGATTCGCTGCTGCTTTGACAGACAGGAAAAGTGGGAGTCAATGAAGTCTCAACAAATTCAAATACTTTATTCTACCTTTATTATAGCTTCTTAATTGCTCCAAGGGCCAGAATGCCAAAGGTAAAACTAAGTTAATAATAATGGTAGTAGTTAAAATAGATTGAGTTTTTTTTTAATAATTAAACTTGGAGTGGTAAGAACTTTCCTGGACCCTGTATTGTTCTGTCTTCCCTAATATATGTGGAGGAGGAAGGGCTGAGCAACCAAAGAGAGGGTGCGCAGGTGAGAAGTATTGAACAACTCTTCTTGCAATCAATCCTCCAGTGCTGACCTGCTTGCCTGTCAGCCCGTCATCTTAGCCGTGACCTTCCTGAAACTTCCCACCACCCCATCAGGGAAGGAAGAGAATAGTGGTTTTTCCAGCTGTGAGTGACTTGGGGAATTATGTTCACCAAGCCACTGGATTTGTGTTTCCTCACTGAGTCCAAGGAGCAAAGAGGCTCTCAAAGACAGGTCAGCCTTGAATTTGAGTCAGGTTTTCCTTGCCTTCTCCTTTTTTGGTATTCCCCTTTCTGGGGTACAGAGGCGTACTGAAATGTCTACGAGCTGGTAAACAAAAGAGAGGAACATGCAAACGGAAGAGGTGAGGTGAGAAGCATGGCTAGCCCCCCGTTTGAAGCATCGTCTCGTCGCTGGCTGAACCCTGGCTTTCCAGAAGGCACGCTGCCCTGCGTGCTCTTCTCCGCTGTCTGCAAGTCTTACATTTCTCTTTGAACGCTGCCCCTCAGTAAAGTGAATCTTGGTGTGAAAACAGTGTCTGCCTCTCCCTCTCTACTTTACTGAAAATTTAAAAGAACGTTACTCCCCAATGCAACTTCTCAGTTGGCAAATACGGTGAAGTATATTTTCATCATTTACTCACCTTTGGATTTTATCTATCTATCAAATTTAGTCTGTGAATAAGCCAGGCAAAGCCTGTGCCTCATTCTTATTTCTGTATGGTGCTTAGAAGACAGATCACACCGCACGTATGAAAATAATAACGGCATGACCAGACATGGTGGCTCATGCCTGTAATCCCAGCACTTTGGGAGGCCGAGGTGGGCAGATCACAAGTTCAGGAATTGGAGAACAGCCTGGCCAGCAGTGAGCCGAGATCACTTCACTGCACTCCACCCGGGGTGACAGTGCAAGACTCCGTCAAAAAAAAAAAAGAAGAAGAAGAAGAAAGAAACAAAGATAGAGAGAAAGAAAGAAAGAGAAAGAAAGAAGAGAGAAAGAAAGAAAGAGAGAGAAAGAAAGAAAGAAAGAAAGAAAGAAAGAAAGAAAGAAAGAAAAGAAAAGAAGGGAGAAAAGAAAGAAAGAGAAAAGAAAGGAAGGGAAAAAAGAAAGAAAGAGAGAAAAGAAAGAAAGATAGAGAAAAAAGAAAGAGAGAAAAGAAAGAAGGAGAAAGAAAGAAAATAAAAGAAAGTAATAACAGCACACACATGAGGAGGTCATGAAGACACACTGCCGAGGCTAATGCTGAGAGGAATTCTGCGAAAGAAACTCAGTTCTTTACCCTTTCTTGATTCTTGCTAATATGAGGTGGGTGCTCGGGCTACTGGCACGAGGATGCACAGGGCTCTATAGGACGACTGAATTCAGCTGCCTGCACCCACCTGACTTCCTGGCTCGACTGAAGGTGAAGGAGACAGCATTACTTTGGTTTCTGTGTTTGCCCAGTTATTGCTTGCAGACAGAGCACTGAAGTTCTGCTTTGGATTAAAAGCAAGGGGATGATTTCTCCCAGCCCACCCTCATTGTAAGGTGAAAGAACAAGGGTATTGGTACTTTCAGACAACCTCTCCCACGACCATCATATGCTAAAGTTTTTCAGAGCCTAAAGAGTTAGTTGATGTTTGTTGACTCATTGAAAACACAAACTAGATATGCTATGTGTAAGTCAACCTGAAGGGCCTTCCAAGATGGCAGATTTCCAGTGATATGAAACACAGTGTATTAGTCCTGCATGTCATCACCGCCCAGCCTCATCCAGATGTAAACTGTCACTAGGAGTGGCAATTAGCCACACTTCAAGTTCTATATTTCTAGATGTCTAGATGGCTTATTAAGCAGTTTTCTCCCCCAACATTAAATGTCCTATACATGCAACACATCGGCAGGAATTTATCTGTGGTGACTTTATTTCTTCTTTTATTTGCCTTCTTCCAAAAGGAATCTAAGCCAACCTACAAAAACATAAACAACATAACAAAATGACAGAAAATAAGTGGGTGAGGAAATTCTAGGAAAGAAAAATAAGGGTAAGTAAAATTAGTAACATGAGGTGCCGCAGCCTGCCTGATATCTGCGCCTTTTGGGGTTGGCTACAAATATGGCCGTAAGTGCGGTGGCCGCCAATCCAAAGAAAGGAATGTCACCACGTACATGACTTGTTGTGTTTTTTAAAAAAGAAATATTTGCTTGTAAGAAGCATAATCATCTCTGCTACTACAATGAGTGAGAACTGTTTTTCATGCATGTACAGAAAAAAAGACACTGGGCAGTATGAGCCTCAGTTGCTTCCTAACATTACACCTTACAATGTGTTTACGGGGCACATTTCTTAGAATATTCTTTCTGGGAAGATGGCTTTCTACATCCCCATGAGGAGCATCTGAGCAGGTAGGGCAGATAGACCACCTTGGCCTAACAGCAAGAAGACACATTTGTCATAGATGCTGCTATTACCTGCCTAAGGAAATGCACCGAGTCTCATCCTGTGATGAGGGCTATCTGAAGACAAAACATCAACTTGTTATTCAGTTAAAGCAATTCTACAGGGGCAGAAAAAAATGAGGTCGGGGTATGTGGGTCCCTGCTGGTCTAATTAATCCAGAGGTAGATTTTAAAGTACCAAAAAGTTTGGATGACATGTCTTTCAGACCAGGCTCTTGGTGAGCCCGTAGCAGCAACGAGTTTGAAGTTATGCTTCTTGGGCAATACCTAATATGTGATTACTCTGTGTGGCTGATAAGGGCACAGCCACATGCTTTACTAGTCAGCTTCACTGGGAGGAGAATTAGGATCCTGTTAAAGCAGTCAAGGAGCCTGATGAGAACATGTGCCTGGCAATCTTGAAAGATGACTTTCTACATCCCCATGAGGAGCTTCTGAGCAAGTAGACCAGTGGACCACCTTGGCCTAATGGAGAGAAGACACTTATGTCATCGATGCTGATATTACCCACCTGAGGAAATGCATGGAGTTTCATCTTGCTAGAATAGCGTCATGAAGGAGCTAAGATTTATTGCTCCTCTGGAGATGAATCATACAAGGAAGACTCAGCACTGATGCTAGAATGGAGTTCCTCAAAGACATTCTGCTTTATTTACCCAGCGTTGTTGCATAGGTGCATGCCTTGGAATTTGGTGACACCTTCCAGTCTTCACTGAGGGTGTCTCGAACATCTTACCAGCATCAACTAGGAAGTAGACTTGTTATTAAGTGCAAATCTGCACCTCCAATGATGAGGTAAAAAGACTGCAGCTGAGTCACTGGTGTGGAGGTGAGCACACACGGGAAGGCCTTTCATGGCGAGAGAGAGTCACAGGCAACGCAGTGTACGCAGCCTCAGGACCAGGGATGCAGACGGGCTGGACCAATCGGGCAAACAACCTTTGTACAAATTTGTCACATAGCGAATGAGACAAGGAGAGCCAGCTAAAATGCACTGTGGTCTCTTAGGGATGATTTGAGACTGGAAATCAAAGCCCTTCCAGCCCCCATGTGGTTATTTTAGCCACAAACATAGAGGTGTTTTACACACACACACACACACATTATTAATGGGACACATTGAAAGAACGCTAAGAGCCAGGAGACACAGATTCCACTCTTCACTTCACCATGATCTCACCATGGAATTTTAAATAAGTGCATTAACATCTTTGTGTTTCAGATGCCTTGTCATGAAAATAAGTAACATTGAATTTGGCAATTTCTGAGATATCTTAGAACTCAGTGAGCCTTTGCAGATGGGCACAAAATCTGTCACTTAAGGTGATATTTCTTTCCTAAAGTAAGAAGTCAAAACCAGAAAATATTTCACCTGATAACAAATACAACTGGTATGGTCATATCTCAAAGGATAGTCATTTAGAAGACAGGTAATGTCTGATGACAGTTTTATAACTTAACATTGTTACATACAGAAAAAATAAAGTGTGTTTTTGCCTTTTAAAATCAAGTTTAAAAAAATTGGCATGATTCTCGTTAATAAGTTCCAAAGCGTCTTACTGCAGTGAACCTATCTTACTATGCTATCTCATTGAAGGAGCAGGAAAATATCACCAATTTACTGCAATAAGGTAATTACTGTAATAAGATAAATGTTAACTTTTTAATGAAAACCACTGTCCTTGAGTAATTGCTCTTCCGAGGACTGCTCCATATATGATTTCTTTGCAATTATTAAGATTAATTCACTTTTTTACTAGGAGCGGACCAAAATACCAAGCCAAATGATCATTTTTATAAGCACATTTTCAAGTGTCCTAGAACTTAAGGAGAGAGAGAGAAATGGATTTAAGTCTTGTTTCCAAATCTATTTTATTAAGTCACAAGCTGTCAAGTTTCTGGGTTCAGTTAAATGCAAATAAAAGCAACAAAAGCCTAGTAAAAATAGATGAGATGAAAAGCAGGAGTGTGCATTGACCATCAGCTACAGAGCAGCAAAGTGAAGATTTAATGAGAACTTTCTTTGTTCACAAATCCACTGGCTTTTCATAAATGACTCATTGCGTGAACGTCCTAAATGCACAGATGTGTGACAGCACTGCACCTTCAGCGTGCCTGTGGATTCAGGACGCCTCCAGGACGCTATTTAAGGAGGATTATAGCTATATCAGCTTAACATTAACAGCAGCACAGTTAATGGAATAGCGGAATCCAACCAAAGCAGGGCCTGAGAGCATATGTTTCCCTTCAAGATGCCTCATGTCCACATTTGTTTTGATTATTGGTTTGCTCAGCCTGGTATCGTGGATTTGAGTGTCCAAGAAAAAAAAAACCAAAACCAAAAAACGCTGGGCTCTCTCCTCAGCGTTCCTTCCTGGCCTCCTGACATCACTTCTATTTTTAACCAGGAAAGGAGCCTGAGAGAAAAGGTAATCCTTTCTTGTTTCATCAGCTTCGTGGGCTGAAGCATTGCTTTCTGGAAAGCATCACGACATTAGTACAAGTTAATTCCCAGTGGGATTTGCTATGGGTCTCACAGACTCCAGCAAACACAAGGCCAAAGGGAGCATGCTCTTATAGGCTCTTGTCCCAGTGCTTCCCTGGCACTGACTCTTCTCCATTTTCAGAGTGACTCAGAAAAATACAAGAGAAGAAATGTTCAGTAACTCTCATCCATGTTTGTCTGTCTGTCATCTATCCATCATCTTTCCATTGATTGTACTATTTTAATTGTTCTCACATTTAAAAAGAGCAAGAAATTCTTGGCTGGGTGAAGTGAGCAGATCACTTGAGGTCAGGAGTTTGAGATCAGCTTGGCCAACAGGGTGAAACCCTACTAAAAATACAAAAATTAGACAGGCATGGTGGTGCACCCCTGTAATCCCAGCTGCTCAGGAGGCTGAGGCAGGAAAATTGCTTGAACCTGGGAGGTGGAGGTTGCAGTGAGCCAAGATTATGTCGCTGCACTCCAGCCTGGGTGACAGACTAAGACTCCATCTCAAAATAAATAAATAAACTAATTACATTAATTAAAATTTAAAAAGCAAGAAGACAAACCTATCCTTCATCTATTGAGTCTGTTCTATTCCCACCACCTTCTGCCAGTTAGAATGAAACCACCCAATCACCTGCTAACGCCTTTCTGCATCTTGATTGTCCCGTGGCCCCATCCAGATGGAAGGCGGGTTTAGAGAGAGTATGGTGTAGAGAAAAGCTAAGGTGGATTCCCCCGGCGTCAGCACACAGGCTGTGCCCAGAGCTCAGTGGAGAGGAGCCCCGTGTGGTGTGGGCAGGAAGACAGAGGCGGAGCCAGACTGCTCCGCAACATGACGCTGTCTGATCTGAGCCAAAAACCGGACTCCACTGTGCAACAGTTTCCTCATTAATCAAATGAGAAACACAGAGCTCACTTCATGGAGTTCCTGTGAATGGTGCCTGGCTCATTGTAAGCACAATGTAAGTACTAGCTACTGTTATTATGAAGTTAAGATATAGGATAGTTAGCATAAGTGGCAGTGAGAATTTTAAAGATGGTCCCAAAGGCCCTGACCCCTGGCTATTCAAGGACACACTGCTGTGGGCACTGCTGTGAAGGGTGGATGTGCAGAAGATCCCGGTGGGCCTGATCCATGCCATCAGGTGAGCCCTTTCACAGCAGAGTTTATTCAGCTGGAGGTGGAAGTAGAGGCTGACGGGATTGAAATCATGAGAAGGAGGCAACACACACAGGTGACCTTGAGTAAAGAAATGTGGCAGTCTGTAGCAGCAGAGGTGGCCTTGACCAACAGCCACCAAAGAAATGAGACAGTCCCACAGCAGCAAGGACTTGGATCCTTCCAACCACCTGGATGAGCTTGGAAGCAGCATCTCCCTCAGAGCCTCCAGATAAAAGGTCAGCCCAGCTGGCACCTTAACTTGGGGCTTGTGAGACCCTAAGCAGAGAATGCAGATGAGTCTATCTGGATTTTCAACCTACAGAACAGTGAGCTAATAAATGGATGTCCTTGTAAGCTGCTAAATTTGAGGTTCTTTGTTATGTAGCAACAGATAGTGAGTAGAACTTAGAACTTAACACTCCCTTTGAGGAAAGTAATGAGATCCATACTTCTTTTATGATATTTGGCTTGAGCTCTCACAATAGTTGAAGTCATAAATGAGGGTTAAATTATGGAAAAGAAGACTTGGAGCGAGGTGGGCACCATGGCTGCTGTAGACCAGATGGTGATTCCTGTAAGCCATGTTATACATCACCGACTGATATGGTTTGGCTGCATCCCCACCCAAATCTCATCTTGAATTCCCATGTGTTGTTGGAGGGACCTGGTGGGAGATAATTGAATCATGGGAGCAGGTTGTTCCTGTGCTGTGAATAAGTCTCATGAGATCTGGTGGTTTTAAAAATGGGAGTTTCCCTGCACAAGCTCTCTTCTCCTGTCAGCTCCCATGTAAAATGTGCCTTTCACCTTCTTCCATGATTGTGAGGCCTCCCCAGCCATGTGGAACTGTAAGTCCATTAAAACCTCTTTTTCTTCCCAGTCTCAGGTATGTCCTTATCAGCAACATGAAAATGGACTAATACAGTAAATAGGTACCAGTAGAGTGGGGCACTGCTGAAAAGATACCCAAAAATGTGGAAGCGACTTTGGAACTGGGTAACTGGCAGAGGCTGGAACATTTTGGAGGGCTCAGAATAAGACAGGAAAATGTGGGAAAGTTTGGAACTTTCTAAAGACTTGTTGAATGGCTTTGACCAAAATGCTGATAATGATATGGAACATGAAATCCAGGCTGAGGTGGTCTTAGATGGAGATGAGGAACTTGTTGGGAACTGGAGCAAAGGTGACTCTTGTTATGTTTTAGCAAAGAGACTGGTGGCATTTTTCCCCTGCTCTAGAGATTTGTGTAACTTTAAACTTGAGAGAGATGATTTAAGGAATCTGGCAGAATACATTTCTAAGCAGCAAAATATTCAAGAGGTGACTTGGGTGCTGTTAAAGGCATTCAGTTTTATAAGGAAAGTAGAGTATAAAAGTTTGGAAAATTTGCAGCATGACAATGCAATAGAAAAGAAAATCCCATTTTCTGAGGAGAAATCCAAGCCTGCTGCAAAAATTTGCATAAATAATGAGGAGCCAAATGTTATTCCCAAAGAAAATGGGGAAAATGTCTCCAGGGCATATCAGAGGTCTTCATGGCAGCCCCTCCCATCACGGACTGGGAGTCCTAGGAGGAAAATGAGGTTTTGTGGGCCAGACCTAGGGTCCCTGTGCTGTGAGCAGCCTAGAGACTTGGTGCCCTCTGTCCTAGCTGCTCCAGCCATGGCTGAAAGGGGGCCAATGTAGAGCTCAGGCCATGGCTTCAGAAGGTGCAAGCCTCAAGCCTTGGCAGCTTCCACATGGTGTTGAGCCAGCAAATGCACATAAGTAAAGAATTGAGGTTTGGGAACCTCCATCTAGATTTCAGAAGATGTGTGAAAACACCTGGATGTCCTGACAGAAGTTTGCTGCAGGGGAAGGGCCCTCATAGAGAACCTCTGCTAGGGTAGTGTGGAAGGGAAATGTGGGGTTGGCATCCCCACACAGACTCCCTACTGGGGTACCGCCTAGTGGAGCTGTGAGAAGAGGGCCACTGTCCTCCAGAGCCCAGAATGGTAGATCCACCAACAGTTTGCTCCATGAGCCTGGAAAAGTTGCAGGCACTCAACACCAGCCCATGGAAAGCCACAGGGTCAGAGCTATGCAAGACCATGGGAACCCATGTCTTACATCAGTGTGACCTGATGTGAGACATGGAGTCAAAGGAGATCATTTTAGAGCTCTAAGATTTAACTGCCTCTCTGGATTTTGGACTTACATGTGGCCTGTAGCCCCTTTGTATTGGCCAATTTCTCCCATTTGGAATGGCTGTATTTACCTAATGCCTGTACCCCCATTGTATCTAGGATGTAACTAACTTGCTTTTGATTTTACAGGTTATAGGAGGAAGGGATTTTCCTTGTCTTGGATGGGACTTTGGACTGTGGACTTTTAAGTTAATGCTGAAATGAGTTAAGACTTTGGAGGACTGTTGGGAAGGCATGATTGGTTTTGAAATGTGAGAACATGAGATTTTGGAGGGACCAGGGGTGCAATGATGTGGTTTAGCTGTGTCCCCATCCAAATCTCATCTTGAATTCCCACATGTGTGGGAGGCACCTGGTGGGAAGTAATTGAATCACAGGGGCAGGTATTTCCCTTGCTATTCTCCTGATAGTGAATAAATCTCACGAGAGCTGATGGTTTTAAAAATGGAAGTTTCCCTGCGCAAGCTCTCTTCTGTGGTCTGACGCCATGTAAGACATGCCTTTCACCTTCCACCACGATTACATGGCCTCCCCAGCCACATGGACCCGTAAGTCTATTAAAACCTCTTTTTCTTCCCAGTCTCAGGTATGCCTTTATTAGCGGCATGAAAATGGACTAATACACCGATCGACTGGGCTGTCACATCCTTCTGTCTTCCTTACATTCCAGAATACCTCATATGGAAGACAGAATAGTGTCGTCCTGTATAACCCCAAAGGGAAATGCTGCAGACCAATGTGCCATATGAAGCAGAACTGGCTGCCATTCAGAACTGTCGACAATGAGAAGAGTAAATTCAGGAAACTGTGGGACAAAGCACAGGCTGAATCACTAGTATGAAGGAGAGCGTGCCCTGTGTTCACTAAATCCAGCTCACTTTTTCCTCCCTGGGAACACTTTCCCAGTCATACTTTCCACCATCCCACCCTTACATGGGTCATAAGATTATCTGCAGGCAATGAAATGTGAGCTGAGATGATGGTGTTACTTCCAGGCTGAAGCAGTGTAAAACCTGGTGATTCTCTGCTCTCTCTGCCCATGGCCTATCAACCAAGGAGGGCTTGTGTTAATTGAGTAGGTCTAGGCCGCCAGTGCACCCGGGATCTCTGAGTCACTACATGGACTGCAGCTGCCTTGGAAAGCTGCCTGCACCCCCACTGGATGTTTAATGAGTAAAAAACAAACTTTGCTGTATTTTGTGGCTGTTCGTCTTTCTCTCTGCTCCCTGTAACCTAGCCTATCCAGCTACTCAACAGAACCATTGTAAAGCCAGATTTAAAAATCAAGCAGACTGGAATAAGTAAATTCTAAGATCATGGCATTTAAGAGCCTTGATTTTCTGATTTAGCTAGTTGTACCAACAAATCAACGGTGATAACAGAAACATGAGAATAATTATGATTAATATTTAGTGTGGATCTATTCTGTGACAAGCACTATGCTGGACACAACATATCTATTGCCTCCCTTTGTCCTCCGGGAGCTCTATGACATAGGCACTAGTCTCATTCCTGTTTCAAAGAAGAGAAAAACAAAGGCAAGAGGGTTTAGTTAATTAACCCAGTATTGCACAGCTAGCAAATAGCAGATCTGGGAAGGGGAGTCTTTGGCCTTCCAATATAAAACTCTTTCCACAGCAAGTTGAGCAAATGGAGCAAATTGCATATAGAATTCTAAAAGAATCTGTTCCATAATTTTGTTAAATAGAAGATGGTGTTTTCTGTCTTATTTCTGATGCTTTTCCTGCTAAAGCCACTTAGTTGCTTGCATTAGCATCGTGCAAGTCCTTCAAGGAACTGTCGGCTTTTTTATAGAGTATTACCTACTATCTCAGGATCCGTGATCATAATGAATTAGAATAAAAGTGTGAGAGGTTATAAATGGCCACACGTTATTTGAAGCTTCTCTCAGTAGAATGTAGAGTCTGTTCATCTACCCCTTGATTCTTTGCTGGCCCTGTGACCAGCTTTGACCAACACAATGTAGCAGAAATGACACCGAGTGACTCCCAACCTCTGCTTCCAAGATATCCTGCAGCCTCTGCTCTTGAAAAGCCTCTCGCACACTGGGTGGAAGCTGCAATAAAATCCCATGTGTAAGGAGAGAGGCTCAGCCTCCCGGGCCCACCCTGCTAAGGCTCCACCGGTGTGAGAGCAACCCCGCTCAACCACCCAGCCCCGGCCCAGCCACCAGCTGACTGAAGCCACAAGAACCGGTCAACCCAAGGACGCCTGAGAAATACGGAATCGCCATTGCTTTAAGTGGTCATTTATTTTGTGGTGATTTGTTTTGCAGCAATACCGATAAAACAAAGTTAAACTCTTTTATAAAACCGAATAAAACCCTGGAAAATTCAGATCAGGGAAATCTCCTAGCTTAACTATAGAAGATAGAACTGGTGACTTTAAAGGGCTTTTTTTCCCCCACTTTTAAAAAAAATCCATTTGCTAAATCTAATTATGTCATCATTGATTTTAGAAATAAGAGGTAATTTTTCCATCAACTGGTCAAAACTCAATTTCATTTATCACTGGGAGATAAAAAGGAGTCTATTCTCTTCCTTGACTCTATTTTGTTCATTTTCTGAATAGTTGAATAGCATTACATGCAAAGTATCTATTGGGAAATAATTCTATACTTAATGTTAGAGCCAGTGAGACCTCACACGCTCAGGCAGGTCGCACAGGGTCAATTATCGGTCATTTCTGAGAACTGTCTTCTTATGCTGCTGGAAGTGTCACGGGAGATTTACTATTGTCATATCCAGCCAATAACCTGGCATGGAGGAGCTCTGTCTTTTGGAAAGGATATAAAAGTAAAGAACAGAGCACTCAGGGACATGAAAGAGCTCGTGGCATTTTGAGTTGATCCTAACGTCCTGGATAAATTCCAATCACAGTAATGGCATTCACTTATGCTTTTGTTATAAGCAATTAAGGCATGCACTGTTTTGCTCCATCTCATTCCCTTCTAACTAATCTCCTCTGCATCTGGTCAACTGATCCTTATATTGCTGAGTGACCAGATGCTGCTTAGACTGGGGGGCCACAAGCTTTGTTCTGTAAAGGGCAGAGTAAATATTTCAGATTTTGCAGGCCAAATGGCAAAGTTGTAGACATTATGCTGGTATTTATATAACAAAAGAAAAAACACATTTCCACAGATTTTGATGAAATTAAAAATACAAGAACAAGGATTGAGTACAATGTTTTCGCTCTACTGCTCATGAAAAAACTGTCTTTCTTTTGCAGCATAACCTTCGTTTAGTCGAGGTTCAAAGTTAGTGTTTTTAATCATCAAATCAATTGCCAATGTTCATCTGTAAAATCATTCTTAGCTGAAAAAGTGAGGGGGCTGGATTTGCTCCTCGGGTTTTACTTTGCCCAGTTTAGGAGACAGCTCTGTCTATACCTCGGTGGCAAATAGGCTTCCTCCTATGCCAGATGGGGGCCACGAGTGTGGGGTCCAGTGGGCTTGCGAGTAGAGCTGGATCTTGGGAGGAAAGATGTGCTGTCTGGAGGCCAATGGCTGCCGCAGGAAATGACAACCTTCATTTCCTATACACTCTTTTCTTTATACACTCAGTCTATGCATTGCTTCACCTGGGTGTGTGGAGTTTCCTTTTATGAAAGTTCTCTAACTGTGAGGCTCTTGGAAGGAAGAGGCCCTTTCTCATGAGACACTTATCCTCACTCCAGGGTGGACAGTGCCCACTGCTCATCCCACTGAGTGAGGGGCTGACCAGCCAGCTTGAGAGAGGCGGGGCTCAGGTGGGGTCCCCACTCTCCATGCTGGCACCCAGTGCTCTCTCTTGTTCTTTGATAGCCTTGCCAGGTTTACTTTGAGCTTTTTGTTTGTTGGCCCTTTATTGGTAGAAAGCCTTGGGAAGATTGTCTTAAAAACAAACAATTTTAGAAAGTCACTCTTCATTAGAATGGATTGCTAAAAATCTGAATATTTTAGATTGATATTTCAGTCTGCTCGAAACTCATTTAAATTACTTGATAGTTAAATACATGTAGACTGTATTATAATTTTATCAAACCACTGCTCCAGGTTAACCTAATTGTTTTGAAACTGGTGCTTTGAACATTCAATCAGGACAAAATTTATATTAGGCTAACCTATGAAAAGAAGAAATGATTTGTCTCTGGAAATTACCAATTTATTCTCACTAAACATATCCAGACACAGTGTAGCCAACCTAGACAACCAATTGGCGTGCATTTTGCTAGGAGTGAGTATTTGGACTCTGATCTTCAAACATTTCAGTCCCATGATTCAATGAGTCTGAGGCAAAATCACATGAATTTGGGTATTACATGACAACAGATTGCATCTCCCTTCTGACCCAGCTAGTTAAAAATACAGTTATCCTGTGTCTGTGCAGATGCTTCTGTAAACAAACCCACTGCACTGTCAGTCGTATAAAAGTATAGCACATATAATTATGCACAGTGCACAACACAGGCACACCTTGGAGATATTGTGGGCTTGGTTCCGTACCACTACAATAAAGCAAATACCACAAATTTTTCATTTCTCAGTGCATATAAAAGTTAAGTTTAAACTATACTGTAGTCTATTAAGTGTGTAATAGCATTATGTCTAAAAAATGTACATGCCTTAATTTAAAATGTTTTCTTGCTAAAAATTGCTAGCAATCATCTGAGCTTTTAGCAAACCATAATCCTTTTGCTGGTAAAGGGTCTTACCTCAATATTGATGGCTGCTGACTGATCAGGATAGTGGTTGTTGAAGGTCAGGGTGGCTGTGGCAATGTCTTAAATAAGACAACAGTTAAGTTTGCCACATCAATCGACTCTTCCTTTCACGAAAGACTTCTCTGTGGCACGCAATGTTGTTTGATAGCATTTTACCCACAGTAGAACTTCTTTCAAAATTGGAGTCAATCCTCTCAAACCCTGCAGCGACTTTGTCATCTAAGTTTATGTCCTATCATAAACCCTTCATTGTCATTTCAAAAATGCTCACAGCATTCTCATAAGGAGTAGATTCCATCTCAAGAAACCACTTTCCTTGCTCATCTATAAGAAGCAACTCCTCATCCATTCAGGTTTTATCAAGAGATTGCAGAAATTCAGCCACATCTTCGGGCTCCACTTCTAATTCTTGTTCTCCACCACATCTGCAGTGACTTCCTCCGCTGAAGTCTTGAATGTCTCAAAGTCATCCATGAGAGGTGGAATCAAACTCTTCAAAACTCCTGTTAATGTTGATATTTTAACTTCCTCCTACAAATCATGAATGTTCCTAATGATGTCTAGGATGGTGAATCCTTTTCAGAAGGTTTTCCATTTACTTTGCCCAGATCCAACAGAGGAATCACTCTCTGTGGCAGCTATAGCCTTACAAAGTGCCTTTCTTAAATAGTAAGACCTAAAAGCCAAAATTACTTCTTAATCTATGGGCTGAAGACTGAATGTTGTGCTAGCAGGCATGAAAACAACATTCATCTTGTACATCTCCATCAGAGCTCTTGGATGACCAGGTGCATTGTCAATGAGCAGTAAATCTCAACAATGGGCTTAAAATATTCACTATACTGTACAGTATAAACTAAACTCTAGTGTAAACAGAAGTGCTGTCATCCAGGCTATGTAAACCCATTTCTAGAGCACAGGAAGGATAGATTTAGCATCATTCTGAAGGGTTCTAGGATTTTCAAAATGATAAATGACCATTGGCTTCAACTTAAGGTCACCAGCTGCATTATCTCCTAATAAAAGAGTCATCCTATCCTTTGAAGCTTTGAAGCCGACACTGACTTCTCCTCTCTGGCTATGAAAGTCCTACATGGCATCTTCTTTCAATACAAAGCTGTTTTGTCTACACTGAAAAAGCTATTGTTTAGTGGAATGACCTTTGTCAATGTTCTTAGTGAGATCTTCTGGAGAACTTGCTGCAGCTTCTCCATCAGCACTTGCTGCTTCATCTTGCATTTTTATGTTATGGAGGTGGCTTTTCTCCATCGACCTCATGAACCAACCTCTGCTGGTTTCCAAAGTTTCTTCTGCAGCGTCCTCACCTCTCTCAGGCTTCACAGAATCGAAGAGAGTTAGGGCTTTGCTCTGGATTAGGCTTTGGCTTAAGGGAATGTTGTGACTGGTTTGATCTTCTATCCAGATCACTCAAACTTCCTCCATATCTGTAATAAGGCTGTTTTGCTTTCTTAGCATTCATGTGTTCACTGGAGTAGCACTTTTACTTTCCTTCAAGAACTTTTTTCTTTTTTTCAGAGAGAGTCTTGCTCTGTCGCCCAGGCTGGAGTGCAGAGGCATGATCTCTGCCCACTGCAACTGCCGCCTCCCAGATTCAAGCAATTCTCCTTCCTCAGCCTCCCGAGTAGCTGGCATTACAAGAACTTTTTATTTGTATGCACCCGAGGCCCGGGTTTCAGCCTCTCTCAGCTTTCCACATGCTTTCTTCACCAAGCTTCATCATTCCCAGCTTTTATTTTAAAGTGAGAGTTGTGCAACACTTCCTCTTATTTGAACCCTTGGAGGTCATTATAGAGGCATTAATTGGCCTAAATTCAATCTTGTTGCATCTTGGGGAATAGGGAGGTCCAAGGAGAGGGTGGGCCAGCAGGTGGAGCAGTGAGAACACACACACAACAATTATCCATTAAGTTTACCGTCTTCTACGGGCCCGGTTCGTGGTACTTCAAGACAATTGTAATAGTGACATCAAAGATCACTGATCACAGGTATCCACAACAGATATAATAATGATGGAAATTTCTGAAATATTTTGAGAATTACCAAATATGGCACAGAGGTATGAAGTAAGCATGTGCTGTTGAAAAAATGAAACCAACAGACTTGCTCCACGCAGGGTTGACACAAACCTTCAATTTGTAAAAAACCCAATATCCATGAAGCACAATAAAATGAGGTATGCCTGTACTTGACAACAATCATAAACTACTTTGTTATTGGTTTATGTGTTTACCATAATATATTTTTAATCTTTATTTTGGGGTGTACCCCTTCTACTTTTTTTTTTAAGCTGACTTAAAACAATTTCAGGAAGTCTTTCAGGAGGTTTTCTAGAAGAAGGCACTGTTATCACAGGACACAAAAGCTCCAGGCATGTTATTGGCCCTGAAGACCTTCCTGTGGGACAAGATATGGAAGTGGAAGGCAGCGATATTGATCATCCTGATCCTGTGCTGGCCTAGGCTAATGTGGATTTTGTGTTTTAAGTATTATTATAAAAGACTCAAAAAGTTAAAAAAAAAAAGGCTATAAAATAAAAATGTTACAGCAAGCTAATATTAATGTATCATTGAAGAAAATGTTTGTGTATATTAGTATAGCCTAAGCGTCCAGTGTTTATAAAGTTTACAGTAGTGTAGAATAATGTCCTAGGCCTTCACATTCACTCACCACTCACTCACTGACTCACCCAGAGAGCTGCTACTCCTGCAAGCTCCATTCACGGTAAGTATTCTATACAGGGCCACTATTTTTTTTTATCTTGTATACCATATTTTTATTCTACCTATTCTGTTTAGATATATTTAGATACACAAATACCTACCATCGTGTTACAGTTCCTCACAGTATTCAGTAGAGTAACATGCTATACAGGTTTGTAGCCTAGGAGAAATAGGCTACGCTATATAGCCTGGGTATATAGTAGGCTATATCATCTAGGCCTATATAAATGCACTCTAGGATGCTTACACAACAACAGAATCATCTGACAATACATTTCTCAGAACATATTGCTGTTGCTAAGCCATGCGTGATTGTATGTACTTACATAGGAGACAAGACAATAGGTACAAAGTTATCTCTACTACTAGAAAGCACAGTGCAGCACACTCATAGTCTCTGGATGACTTCTAAATCTCTCTAATGAATATTACATATGCACGTATGTAGCTATTATGTGCATTTGATAACATATAAGGACCTTGCTCATAGCATGAAGTTACCAGCTGTAAAATATATTTTATCAACTTGACCGAGTTTCAGGTATTGCCACACCATGGTCTAATAACTGGATAAACGCTACTCTGAGACCTACCTTGTAGAAGAATAGGAATTTGCCACTGTTTTCAACAGTGCTCACGGCATGGGCTAGAATTCGGAACATCCAATGGGAATTCCTCATTTGTGTAAAATATTATTTTACCACAAGTACCTACTATCCCTGGGTTTAAAACACCAGAAGCCCTCCAGCTGCACAATGTCTGGCTTAAAAGCCAAGTGCATTAAAAGTCAGATGCTGTCGGTCCTTAGGTCTTGAAGCACAAAAGAACTCAGGAGAGAGCTGCCCTGAACCATACCTGTGCCTGCAGGCACATGACTTCAGGTGACTGCCTCCAGGCGCTCGCCTGGAGGAAGTTGCTGGAAGTCAGTGCAAATGAGAACTGCTTCCTGGGAGCAGAAAGAAACATTCAGGATCCTCAAAGGCAGGGATGCATTTGTGGACAACATTTGCACTGGGTCAGGCCAATATTATTCCAAAACACTTTAATCCATTGCCTAGAAACTTGGACTTCCGTTTGCAACCTGTGCACCACCATGAGAAGAAAATAGAAAAAAAACCCAGCTGCTTGTACATCTGTGTTAGTTTTAAAACAATATTTTAAAATTTGGCGGTTTGAGTTTTCTAAGGAAAAGGATAGTTCAGTAATAGATCCTAGATTGATGCTGCTCTTTTTTCAAAACAAAACAAAACAAAAACAGAAGCATAATTTGCAGAGTAAAATTCACTTTTTTAGTGTATTAATGTATAAGTGTTAACAAATGCATAGACCTATATCCGCTAGCACAATCAGGACATTCTAGAACATTTCTGTACCCTCACCTGGGGAGTCATAGCTCCTCCTGCTCCCAGCCCCAACAGCCAGGGATCTGTTTTCTGTCCCCATTGCTTTGCATTTTCCAGAATGTTGTATAAATAGAATCCTCCAGCACACAGGCTTTTGAAACTGGCTTTTTTCACTTAGCCCGTGATTCACTAGAGATCCATCCATGCTGCATGTGCTGTGATGTCTTCCTTTTCATAGCTGAGTGCTATTCCTTCGTATGGTTATACCACAGTTTGTTTGTCCATGCACCAGCTGAAAGGCATTTGGGTGGTTTCTTGCTTGGTGAAATTATGAATACAGCAGCTGTATGTTTTGTGAGAACATGCATTTTCATGTCTCTTGGGTAAATGCCAAGGAAGGGATTGCTGGATCATGTGGCAAAGACATGTTTAACTTTTTGAGAAATGATGCAGATTACTTTCCAGCCAATGTGGACTAAAGATATATCACCTTCCCTTCAAGAGGAATGGATAAACATTCTTTCTGTTAGGAAATTCCTCTTCATAGAAACAATGAATGGAAACAATGCATGGAAAATTAGATCAGAAAAATTGTAAAATGGGCTTGGTCCAATCTCTGAATATTTTAGAATGAGGAAACTGAAGCCCAGAGAAATGGAGCACATCCGAGCTCATGCAGGAGCAAGTGATGGATTTGGATTGGGTCTCCTCCCCTAGGCTCAGCTCCTCTCTGCCTTCCACTGGCTTCCTGCTCTGTGTAGTCTCCTGTGAATTAGAGAGCTTGGAGGAAAATCTATTTAAGGAAAACACGTCCTATATTTTAAGGAATAAGTAGGGTGTAGGAGTGGAAGCATCCAGGTAAATTATTTACATTAATCAAATTCATTGAGAAATGACTCAGCCCCTATTTCCTTTGTCCCAGTTACATACATCTCTAACCTACTGGATGTCAGACCATCTCTCCTTCTGGAGAGCAGCTAATATGAGCATTAGTACATGTGTGTTTACCTTAATTATTATTAAATGCCTACATATAAAAATACAACATTTGTGGCAAACAAAGCTCATTGTAGTAGCCCATAGAGCAGGCTCCATGCCACATGAAGACATAATCTTAATTTTGTTCCAAGTCCATTTATTTGATTCAAGTCCCTCTTCTTAGATAAATTCATAGTTAGTGCAGAGAAATTTTCTAATAAACATCTGAGATTAAAATACTATCTCTGACAGCAAAATTAAATTTGTAGTCGCGACATGCATTCAATTATGATCACTCAGAGAAGGGAAAAATAAGGTGAAGAAAAAAAACTACATATGCCAAGAAAAAGAAAGGTATTCGAAAGTCATTCAAATCTTAATCCAATAATCTGTTTTTAATTACCCGCATTATGATCATTTACAGGGTGATCATTTCAGAGTCTCAAATATCCTATACTTCGGCCTAAAGCTGTGGGGGTAATTTCTTTATAACTGAGTAAGAATATGTCATCTATGTCTGGTCTAGACTCAGCAACGGTGTTTGCAAGCGATATCTAAAGTCTCATATCTGGATTGGGTTCAATCTGCATGAAGACATCCTACTAATATTGCTTATTTTGTCTAATACCTTCACAAAGTGTTTAAAATATTTTTATCCCTTATACACATACTTCTCTTTTCTAGTTCTATAATCTGGTTTTGTGTGGTTTTGTGGGGGAATCTAGCTAAGAGCCAAGGCATCTGCTGCTGTCAACCTTCAAGGAATTCCAAATGTCAAATGCTGTGGAAAGAAATATTTGCTTTTCTGGTTAGAGTAAGACCCTAACCCCAAGTGGAAAGAAGCCCTCTTGATCCTACCTTCTGCCTTTCATCTTCATCCTTCTTCTTGCTGCGAGCGCTGTGCTGGCCTCAGATGCGTTCTGGAATATTCTGCCCTAGCATTCAGAAGCCAAGGGCTGAAAACCGTTGTTTGCCTCCGTGCAGATGAGACAGGCTGGGCCCTCCACAAAGGCTTTATTAAAAAGTAAAAGAGGTCGGGCACCATGGCTCAGGCCTGTAATCCTAGCATTGTGGGAGGCCAAGGCAGGCGAGTCACTTGAGGTCAGAAGTTCGAGACCAGCCTGGCCAGCATAGTGAAACTCCATCTCTACCAAAAAATACAAAAAAGTTAGCTGGATGCGGTGGCACGCGCCTGTAATCCCAGCTACTCCAAAGGCCAATGCACAAGAATTGCTTGAACCCGGGAGGCGGAGGTTGCAGTGAGCTGAGATTGTGTCACTGCACTCCAGCCTGGGTGACAGGGTGAGACTCTGTCTCAAAAAAAAAAAAAAAAAAAAAAGTAAAGGAGCACAGAGAATGGCTCACCATGTATACAAACTGAACAATTGGCAAGCCTTCCACACTCAGCTGACTTCCTGAGCCAGCAGGGTTTGTTTCATTTCACAAGGCTTCCTAAAGTGTAAAGAGGTTGCACCTCGGTCATTTCTGTTATGTTTTTCTCTCAAACCCAAATACCCTTTAATTTTCCTGTTTGTATTAGCAATCTGCTAACCTATTTGTTACCCAGACATCAGAAATCACGCATGCTCTCTTCAGGGAAGGCCTGACCCTCTCTCCTTCTTTGGCAGACTGGCCTTGCCCTCAATCAGTTCTGTTTCTTACCAGTTCTTGAGCTTTTCAACCACAGTGAGATGCACCCTAGAGAGGGCAGACTCTCAGAACCAGCGGGTCCAGCTAGGAGAGGAAGCCACATGTCCGTCCCAGAAGAGGCAGGAGCATGGTCAGCCTGTGCCCTTTCTCTCAACCTTTGCAGACCCGTGTTACCTCCTCCAGGATGGGCACTCAGGGGAGAGGAATCAGCCCCAGGTGCTCTGCTGGCAGAGCCTCCCCTCCTTGGCATGAAAGGCTTTGGAAGTCACTCATCCACATGGCAGGTGAATTTGTCAGCTTTTGTTGGTTGCTCAGCCCAGGCCAGCTGGTGTGGTGCGCTGTGCTGCAGAGCATCCTGTCCTTCTCAGCTCTGAACTCTCAGCTCAAGGGTCGACACAAACCAAACACATCACCAGGAGAAGCCACCCTCTCAGACCCTAGCAGTCCACCTTTCTTTTGTTATTGTTTCTGTTGCTGTTGTTTTTGAGATGGAGTCTCACTCTGTCGCCCAGACTGGAGTACAGTGGTGCAATCTCAGCTCACTGCAACCTCCACTTCCCAGGTTCAAGTGATTCTCCTGCCTGAGCCTCCCGAGTAGCTGGGATTAGGGGCACGTGCCACCACGCCCAGCTAATTTTTGTATTTTTAGTAGGGACTGGATTTCACCATGTTGGTCAGGCTGGTCTCGAACTCCTGACCTAGTGATTGGCCTCTCAAAGTGCAGGGATTACAGGTGTGAGCCACCATGACCGGCCAGTGGTCCACCTTTCTAAGACACACACAGGATATTTGGGGGGAATTTGGAGGCTGCTGCTCTCCATGGAGATGGGTCCTGAGCCTGTATCTTGTGGGTGGTGATATAGATGCCAGGTGCCCCAATGTATGCAACAGTGGCATTGCTGCCCTCACTGTCTTTCCCTGCACCCCATTTTCTGTCTTTGGTCCTGTCTGTTATTGGTTTATAAAGTCACCCAAAGGCATGCAGAGGGCCTCACGTAGATGCCAGTGGAGGTCACACAGGGTGGCATGTGCCTGCCAGTGCCGGCAAGACAAGGACACTGAGCACCCCCATCCCTGAAGTTTAATGTTCCATCACAAAGCCAGGTTCAGGAGGAAACAGCATTCAGAAGCCCAGACACATATGAGACTACAAGGCAACCTTATTTCCAGAGTGCTGCTGTGAGCAGGGCTCTCTGTACAATTGCGCGCCCGAGCCTTTGGAAGTGCCTGGTGACACAACTCAGAATATGCAACAACCAAGTGTTCTTTATGGTCATTAAGCTAAGAATAAGTGCTTCCAAACTCTAGCAAATATGACATTGTGATACCCATTGCCTTGCATCTGATAATTCAAGCTTGATCACAATGCACTACTTCCAGTGGGAAATAATGGAGCGGAACTCTCAACTGAGAACTTTCTCCTCCATATGGTTCACAAGTTCCCTGGGATGTGCAATCCTACTGGGAGCGCCATCTGTATAAACTCCACGCAGGCCCACGTGGAGGCAAGCTCTTCACGCTAACTCAGCTGCAGATTTCATTCTTCTGCAAATATATTCAGACAAAAGGTGAGATTTCCTTCTACCTTTCTTCTTGGCCATTCTCTCTTGCAAGGTGCAGCTTATGCAAGGTGTCTTTTTTCTGGGTAATGAGCCAAACTTGCAAACCTAAAAGGATGAATTGGAGAATTTCCTACCTCATTGAGGACCCACTGCAAGCAGTTTTCTCTCCAGGCACGGATAAGTTTTACTGGTGGAATAATCAGATTCACCATCACACTAACAGTGAACTTGTCTTATCTTCATGACCAGAGTGTCAAGTCCAAAAGGGCCAAGAGGGGTTTTCCAAATGTCTGGGTTTCTTCCAGTGTCTAGGCACAGAAGATGAGCTAGGATTCTTAGTGGCAAGCAAAAGATTAACATAAACAGAAGGAAATTCATTGAAAGGAAATTAGGAGATGCAGGGAAACATTGGGGAGACTAGAGAAGGAGGCTCAAGGCTAAGTTTTAAGAAACACTTCCCCAGATAAGCTGCCTGCTGTATTAATTAATCGTCTCCATTGCCCCAGTTGGCAGTACTGCACCAGCAAGCCACAGTCATGAGCCTGGACTGGTCTTTGCGCAGGTGGCGCGACCTTGCACCCCCTCTCCTGGTGCCCTTTGTCTAGGATCTCTAGTTCTTGAGTCAATGTCTGGCATCAGAGAGTTTGATTGGCAGTGAGTAGGTTACACATTGGAGCCTCAGGGACAGGGGAGGCTGGGAAAGTCACTGTCTATAATTTTCTGCTTCTAAAGAGGAGATTGTCTTTGTACAACATCACAACTTATGAAATAGGATTCAGGCATTGGACAGAGAAAAGGAATCCCAAATATCCAGCCCACACAGTATGCATTTTATTACTATTTATACTTAAAAATGGAATAAACCATGTCAGTAGAGAGGAATCAGTAATGAATATATCCATGTCTTGGCTGGTTTTTCAAAGATGTCAATTCATTCATGTTCTCTCTCCAGATGAAATTATCTTCCTAATTAACCATTTGAAGAGTTCTAAATATATTGACAGACTTTCCAGGCCTGAAGACCCACACCAGGGCTGTAACTCCTTATCCTTTGGAAATAGGACAACCTTGGATGTTCTGTTTCCTGCCAGACAGTCTTAAAATTATCACCATACATGAGCTGATAGGTGCTGTATTATATATTCTTTTAGACCTGCATGTTGTACTTTTAACAAGATTTAGAACCCTTTAAAAACTATATTGAAGGAATCATCCTGGGAATGAGGATCATGGAGACAATAGATACCAGGAAGAGAAGGTGGATTCATTGTCCACTTTCTAACTATGTGAGTCTATGTGCGTGTGTCCTTGTGCACACTGGGGAAAGAAAACATCATGTTTCTAATCTAGAAGAACTAAGAATCCAACTGTACCAGTTACATGGACCTTCTGTTTGCTTGAATGTTCTTTAGCTGGATCCAAACTCCCCAGATAATTTATACAATCATCTGCTCAGCTTTGACTGTATAGACCAACCCTATACAAATACTGACAGAAGCCTGCCCAACTCTTTCTTGCTAGAGCCGAATTGGCAATAGAGGCAGCAGCATTTTCCTAGTCATAAAGGCTACACACTTTTAGAGAATTCCATTTTTAGAACCTTGAGAATTTTGTAAATGTATGCCATGTGCACGGAACGGTTTTGGAGCTTGTGAGAATGATTAAGACACAAACTCTACTCTAGAAAAGCTCACTACCTAGTAGTGAATAAAAATAGGGCACGTTGTACAGCACTGCTCCTGAAGGTAACATTGAATACTATCTCAGTAGTATCAGAAACATGGTGACAGCAATTTTACAAGACACCCAAGGAAACGCCCTGGAATTTATGTGTAGATTCTAAAGTGCAAAAATACTTACCCAAACATTGAAATAAAGAAACAGACTATCTGTAACACATAAAAGAACTATAAAATAATCTAATGATATCTGAAAAGCAAAGAAAAAGGGCATTGACTCTAGACTTTCTATACAACTCTCACTCTTATCTCCATCAAGTATCCAATAGCTATTTCACTTAACTGAAGTGGTCAGTAACAATGGTATGAGATTAGCATAAATCATCACACTCCTCTTAGCGTTTAAAACAATTCATCACTCCATCATTCAGAGGTGAGAGCACGAGAACTCTTGTTCCTGCTTTCAGTTAAGGGTTTTCCAGTAACGCGTTCAACATGACATAATCAAGTGAAAGAAAATAAAGCAATGGTAAAACTGAAACTGGTCATATAACCTCAATTACCATTCTGGTATTTGGGTCATCTTGCAACAGGTTCCATGCTGAGTTGGAGTTGGGTGGGGGTCAGGAGCAGTGGTGGAAAAATCGAAAGAAAAACAGCAAAGTTCAAGTAGAGAAGTTTCCTTGGCTATCTAAAAGTGTTTTATTACTCTGCTTAAAAAAAGCAGAGTAGAAAGTGCTGCTATCTACAGCAGTTGGCCAGACTGGTAAACTGAAGTTAGTTTCTGGAGCTTTAATTAAATGGCAAGAGTTTCTTAGTTGGCGCAATGCTAGTCTGAGAAGGAACTCAAGAAAAAGAGGAGTCACGGGATGTCAGCATCAAAACGTGTATCAGAGAGTTCCCCTTCTCATGCAAAGATGTGTGTTCTTGTTCAAGAATTAAAGTTTCTTTATTTGGAATATCATTTTTGGCCTCTTTCTTCTCTTGTGAAGAAGTCGTATACATTCTTTGAAACCCAAATCAGACATCCCCTTTCATACAGTGTCTTCCAGGAGCCTGTGCATGGTGCCAGGTCATCCTCCAGCACTCGCCATGGCTCACCGCTCTCTTAACATGACACAGAACGCACGTGCCCAGCTCTGCCTCTGGACCTGCCTTTCATCTCTGAGCCCCAGTGCCTTGCATGAAGGAGCTAGCCAGTATACGTCACTGAACGAATGAATTGATGAACCAATCATGAAGGTAACAAGACAAAAATGCCACACATCTGCCATACTCCTACCTCTAGACGCTGAAAGAACATATGGAGAGAAGAGTGAGATGCGTGTTCAATACAAGAAAATGTAAAGGTAGAAGGAAACTAACACCTGACCAAATACTGACAAATGCCAGGCACATCTCCACTGTATATTTTCTCATTTATCCCTATGAAAAACCCAATGAAATAAATATGATCAGCCCCTTCCTACAGATGAGGAAACCAAGGCCAGTGTGCTCTACCAGAGGTCAGAATCTCTCTCTGTAACAACGCAGTGTCTCCCTAATTAATGACTTGAATATCCATTAATTTCAAAATGAGGTATTAGGTAAATGTAAATGTAATAGCTTTTCTTCTTTAGTACCTTTGTCAAGTATTATTAGAGCTTACATTAAATGATATTATTTAATTGAGAGGTGATTATAGTGAGACTTTCTCCAAACGTAACTTTTGTAGCTCAGGAGTTCAAGAAAAACAGGAGCCAAAATACCAGACCAAACAGAAGCATAAGAACATGGAAGGTCCTTGAGTGTGTTTGTATAACAGCTTTTACCCAATGCCAGGAGATGCGCTAGACAAATTACTTGTAATGTTGGTCCTATGTAAGTCTGGATTTTTAAAAATTTCTTTGATTTTTGCCTGGGTGTGATGGCTCACACCTGTAATCCCAGCACTTTGGGAGGCCGAGGCAGGCAGATCACTTGAGGTCAGGAGTTCAAGACAAGCCTGGCCAACATGGTGAAACCCTGTCTCTATTAAAATACAAAAATTAGCCTTGTGTGGCGATATGTGCCTATAGTCCAGCTACTTGGGAGACTGAGGCACAAGAATCGCATGAACCCAGCAGGTGGAAGCTGCAGTGAGCTGATATCACGCCACTGTACCCCAGACTGGGCAACAGAGTGAGACTCCATCTCAAAAAAGAACTCTTTGATTTTTGCTCCCAATATAATTTCTGTCACTTAATTCATACAGAAAATATGTCTGTTAAACTTTCCTAGGAATCATGTTTTCTCATGAAATTATTTTCTATTACAGTTCATCGCCTTTGTACTGTCTCCTTACATGCATTTCAAGATGACGCAATATAATCATCATGCTTACGGATCTTGAAGTCAGAAAGAACTGGCTTCTAATCCCTGTTCCACCCCCATTAAATTGCAAATTAGGATAGAGAAACTCTCTAAGCCTCAATTTTGTGGTTAAAAATAGGAAGGATAATACCTACTTTACAAGGTTATTATACGTTTTAAGTAAAATACTGAACATAAATTGGTACCTATTGCTAAGCCTAGCACCAGAAAGGACTCAATAAAAGGTAAGTTTTAACTCAGGCTCTTCTCATTCAAAATCATTTTATAGACAGCTGCCATAGCTAAACTTCTAACACATACAACTAATTATGTTATATTTTTTATTGGAAACATTGTTGGCTTCACACCCAATACAATTC
Organism: Homo sapiens; assembly: GCF_000001405.40. NCBI lineage: Eukaryota > Metazoa > Chordata > Mammalia > Primates > Hominidae > Homo > Homo sapiens. The sequence continues at coordinate 75,895,701 of NC_000018.10, forward strand.
AAAAATCTTAGTCTAAAATTTAAGACCTGATTCATTTTAACTTCCCTTCATATCACCCACATTTCAGTTAAAATGAACAAAGTATTGATTCTCAGCATAATTTAATTTTATGTACCTGCATCTGTGCTCTCGTTTCCTTGTTACCCAAAATATTCAAATTCACATTTTCAAGGTCCAGTTTAGGAGCAATTTTTATGTTAGATTTACATGTACACACGTATCTTATTCCCTCATTATGTTTAGAGACAGGTGACACTGAAGGATACCTGGAACTTCCTATGATTCTGCTGTCTTCCTTCTTCAGAGCAGGAGCAAAGAGTTGTACAGAAAGAGACACTCACTGGGTTACTTCCAAGACCAACGCGCGGTTATTAATTTTCTCTGGCTCTTGGTAAGAGCCTATTAGAATGGAGCTCTTGGGCACCCACCCTTGTTTATCATAAAAGGAAACTAAACACTGCAGTCTAAGTCTCTTAATTAGAAGACACATGAAAATCATCTGGGAAGTTTTTCAAGATACATAAGCTTGGTCCTTCCATAGACATATCCAGTCAGTGCTTCTGAGGTTGGGGACTGGCAGGAGCAAACTGAAAAAGTCCCATAGGTCACTCCGAGGCCCATCTCCGTAGTTCTAGAGCCAAACCACTCTTCCATGGCCCTCCAGGCTAGGAATCTCATGGGATTGCATGTTATAGCAATGTATATCCAATTATGTAATTGACACCCCATTCTACTACATATTTACTCCCAATGCTGGGCAAACATTAGGCTAGATTTTAAGAGGTGGTAGCAGAATAAAGAGCAAATAAAACCATCTCAATTTATTTCATTCCACTATAAATAAAATCTTACCCTAGTTTTTGATTATCGGCCATTTTGGCTTCAGTTAAAATTTACAAATCTTTATAATCACTACTACTTCTCAACATGTGAGAACATTTACAACTTGTGTGAATAATCCTGCGTTTAAACTCACAGAAACATTTTGTATTAAGATTTCTAAAGCCTCAGGCCACGGCACGAGAACTGGCCGCCGCCGGGTTAATAAACCTGCCTTTAAGTTTGGTGAATTGGCACCTGTAAGTCTCCCTTCCTCTTCTTTCCCCTCTTCCCACACCGCTTTATTTACCTTTTCCAACTAGTCCTTTCCATTATTCAAAGGATAAAGTTCACTATATGTATAGAGAAAGCTTACACTGTCACATAGTTACGTTTTGTTTTTAAGAAGCACTTGAAGGTGAGGAGGGACACGTGCATTTGGAAAGCACCGTGGAGACCTATGATGAGATCACCTTGGCAGTTCTGTATCTTTTTCCCACTTCCCTGTGGTCCAGAGAGAGAGCATGCTCAGTGGCACTCTGAGACGTTTTGTGCCACCTGGTGGAATTTTCCTGGAAGAGAATTATCCGGGGTCTGAATTACCACTCAGCTTGATCATCACCTGAGGCATTTTCTCAGTGCTTAATATTACCAGCCTAAGTATAGATTCCCTACTGTGTCAGGCAATTTAACTGCACTAGGCCCATAATAAAGTTTTTTTTTTAATGTGAAAATTAGTCTTTAGTGAAAGAGACCTATTTTGTTAGCTGCTGGGAAAATTCAGGTACAGCAATGCCATCCACACATCGGGTCATTCTATTCTACTCTGGTTAATACGGGGGGATTACTGCCAACCTTCTAGCAGGCAGCGCACAGATGTTAACACTGCTTTCCATTAGTTAGAGACAAAAGTAATTATAATTAACTTTTTTCCTTTACCCTTACCCCCAGGAAGTCAAAACAATCTGATAATGTCATATTTAGCAATTAGTGATGTAACAGTTTACTTGAGCAGAGATTTTTTTGCCAACATGAGAGGGATTTTAACAGCACATGGACTGAAGCGATAACTGATTTGAGTGGTTGAAAGTCTTTCCTGAGAGGCTCAAACTAACGCCAGTGAAAACCAGCTGGGCCGAGGCGCCACATCAATGCCTCCCCCAAATGAGGCCGTCGTGGGAGCTTTGGGTCAGGTATGCACACTGCCTGTCTAATATGTTAGGTTTTCTTCTTTCACATTGCAATTATTAGCCACCCACTGTGTTCTATGATGCAAATAGAGTGACTCAGCATTGACAAAATTCACAGTTCCAACTCTCCTTCACTCACAGTTTTCTTACCTGCTGTGATGGTAAGAAATGCTCTTCAAAGACAGACTGGATAAAGTCAAGGACCCTCTTCGTCTGGCATGGAGTAAAAGCGTCCAACTGACAAAGAAATCCAACATCCAGAGAAATTACCAAACTTCAATTCTAGCAAAAAAAAAAAAAAAAAAAAAAAGCCGGGTGCAGTGGCTCACGCCCGTAATCCCAGCACTTTGGTAAGCCCAAGGCAGGTGGATCACCTGAGGTCAGGAGTTCGAGACCAGCCTCACCAACATGGTGAAACCCTGTCTCTACTAAAAATGCAAAAATTAGCTGGGCATCATGGCGGGTGTCTGTAATCCCAGCTATTAGGGAGGCTGAGGCAGGAGAATTGCTTGAACCTGGGAGGCGGAGGTTGCAGTGAGCAAAGATTGCACCATTACACTCCAGCCTGGGCAGCAAGAGCAAAACTCCATCTCAAAATAAATAAGTAAATAAATAAAATGAAATTAAAAAAAACAAGAAAGAAAGAAAACCCTTTATTGAGATTAGAAACAGACACATAGTCAAAGGCATAAGAGGAGAGCCATCTTTCTGGAAATACAGCTATAGAATTCTAAGGAGCTTGGATATATGCCCTGCCTCCTCAGCTAAAAGGTAAATCTTTGGGGAACAAGGAAGTCTAATGCCACTCAGTAATTCCAGAGTGTTAATACCATAGTCCTTCCTGATCAATAAGGATGCACCTGAAGGTGTTTTTCTGTGGCTGCTACTGTTCTGTGTTAGCTTAGCTTGGTTTAATCCATGTCTGCATATTTGGTGCTCCGAATTCTTTCCACATTAACACAAGTCAAGACTTTTCCTTGGTCGACAACTACAGCCACTATTTGTACTGCTTGTAACTTTTGACATTTCTATCTCTTAGATTCATGTCTGCTGGCTTCTTCTACACTGAAAGAACCACCCAGTTCTGATTGCTCTGTGCCTGGCTGGTCCCAGCAGTGCCCAATCATGCTGCTTTCCATGGGAAGCTGTTCTTCAACAGTCCCGGGAGGGATTCTTTCACTCCACCCTGTTTGCAGCTGTTCTATTGGGCTCGCCACTCAGCAGCTGCTTAGGTGTCCTTTTATCATCTAATATCTATTTTCCATAAATATCCACAGCAACAGCATCACTTCAGTATTTGTAGATGGGCTGTATTCCGTGGCTTGGTTTTATAGACCTGAAAAATAAGGAATAGGAACTGAGGAGCTTAACTCAGGATCACTGCTCTAACTTGATCTGAAAAGTGAGAGATGGCGATATGACTGATAGGACTGAAAAAGTAGCCTATTCCTTCAAGAATTTTAAAACAATGGGCATGGAAAAAAGCATGTGTGGAAGTTGCCATGTACAAAGCTGTGTGATTTCAAGATAGAAACTAAGTTCTCTGAATGTCAGTGTTCCTATTTGGGGAAAAAAACAAAAAAACAAAAAACTAATTTTGCCTACTTTGTAGAATCATTATAAGAATTAGAGCCAAGTTTTACAGGTTAATGCCTGAAACAAAATGAGAGCTCAAAGCAAACCTAGTAAATATTGTTATTATTAAATAATTACAATTAACATTATAAAGCAAAGCAAAGTATCACTTCCTTCAACACCTGAAAAATGGAAAGAAGCTACTGGACCAGAAAAAACTGGAAAAGATAAGAGAAAAAGTAGGCGTTATAATAGAATCTATAATAAGTTGATGATTCTTAGCTACTCCTAAAATTATTACAAATAGAGACACATAGCAGACTGAGTTCACTAAGTTGCTTGAGATGAGACGCAGGCTGGAGTCCAGCTGCATCACTTACAACCCATGCCGGCATGGGTAATTCATGCTCAGGTAAAGCACTTCTACAATGATGGAGTTTGGTTGTTTCTAATGTTTTAGGACTGTGTACACCTCAATAAGACCAGAATAAAGTAAAATACTTCCTCTGGTTATTCATATGAACATCTATTGGTTTGAAGATGGGTCAGCATGCTAGGCATATGGGCCAAATCTGGCCTACTGCCTGGTTTTATAAATAAAGTTTTATTGGAACACAGATACCCTCATTCCTTTACATACTATTTATGGCTACTTCATATTAAGGTGGCAGAAGTGAATCGTTGTGACAGAAATCATACAACCCAGAAAGACTGAAATGTTTACTACCTTGCCCTTTATAGAAAAAGATTGTTGGTAAAAATAAGGTCAACTAACAGAAATGAAACACCAAATGGGGAACCACAGATTGTCAAACAGTTTCTTGAAGTAGTTTGGTGAACAGTTTCTTATGAGAAAAGACAGAGAACTCTTTGGATTTGATCCTTTGTCTATTTGTTTTTCAAAGAAGAACTAGTTGCCAGTATGCAAATCATGTTAGAGGTTATCAAGAGAAAATTAAATTCACAATTTGAAAGACATTAGTAAAGAAAAGGAAAATACATTTCAGAGAAATAAATTTCAACAAGTTGAAGGTATGGCTAAGATGCATTTAATTGGAATAAAATCTCTGAGATGTGAGACAATGGGATGTTGATTGTTTAGCCCATTCTTGTACAGACAGGAAAGCAAACTTAACTCCAGCATTAGGTGTAAATACGGAGTCATGTGTTCTCCAAATATTGAAATTTTGAAGAAAATGGAGCCCTGAGGTGTCTATAAAGATTTCACCAAACATGAAGCTCAGCCAAGACTAAAGATATCCAAAGACAGGGCAAAATTGTAGAGAACGGAAACAAAGACATTCTTTTAACTCAGAAAAAAAAAAAAATCCATAGCCACAGAATTCAATAGAAGTGAAAACGTATCACCCCAAAACGGGACAGGCAGTAATAAACTCTTAAGAAAAAGTGGAGACATTTCAAGAATTTTTTTCATATGGAAAGATTTTTCAAAAGTGCCTGTCCAGGCCTCCTACCATGCTGCTAACCTGCAGTCCTGGAAGAAACCTGCCTTCTCTCCACTCTTAGACCACAAGGTCAGGGTTTCTGCAGCCCCCACTGCCCTCAGGCCTCACTTCTCAATTTAGCCCTAGACTTGTCAAGAGAGGGTGGTCCCAAGCTTGGAGGGGAGAGGAAGAAGCAGAGAAGGAAGGGAAGGGCAAAGGCGTGTCTTCCACTGGCCCACATAGAATTTCCATCCCACAGCCTTCCCATCTTGTCATTCAGCCCAGGATACAAAGGTGGGGCTGGCCTTGCTCATAGGGACCTGTGAGTCCCCACAGCAGCCAGCCTGGAAGGCACAGATGCTGAGGGATACAGGGTCAGCCTCCAGCAGAGGAAGGTGCTGAGACTTCCCGGCCAGGGCGCTCCAGACACCTGAAGAAAACTGCCCTTCATGAACACGGAGGGAGTCGAAGGGAGTCGAAGGTATCTGAAGACCACGGGAGAGGTTTGCTTTTTTTTTGGTAATTACAAACTGCATGTATATTGATTTTTCTTTCTTTTAATAAATCAAAAGGACACAGTGCAGTCATTAAAAACCAGATGGTGAAAGGAATTTCAACGCTGATAGTATATTAGCTCAAAAAAAATACAGAAGCTTGCATAGAAGCGTGATGCACTTAAATGTTAACGGTCCTTATTCCTGAGTGCTGGGATTTAGTTGGTTTTCCCCCTTAATTTTCACCTCTTCTAAGGTGGGTTTCTGCTGCTTTCATTATAAGAAGAAAATGTAATAGATATTGTCAATGCTCAATACAGTCCCCTGATTGGTGGGGCCAGGGGGTCTGGTGTGAGTGAAGCAGCATTAACCTCAGAGGCTCTCCAAGCACAGGGAGCTGTTTTCTCCATCTTGGGTGTAGGGTGTTCTCAGAGGAAGTCTGCCAACCCCACAAAACGTCCAACACTCTTCCTGTCCTGAGCACCTTGCACGGGAGGCGTGTGTAGAGATGGAATTTTCCTTATGTTGCATCTCTGTCTTACTTCCTCATTACAGACCACTCAACATTCTTCTTGGCCAGTAACTCCAATGACTCAAAAATAATGACCGGACTGGGCAACATGGCCCACACCTGTAATTCCCACACTTTGGGAGGCCAAGGCAGGAGGATCACTTGAGTCCAGGACAACCTGGCAAAACCCCATCTCTACAAAAAAAAAAAAAAAAAATTAATTAGCCGGGTGTGGTGGCGTGTGCCTGTAGTCTCAGCTACTTGAGAGGCTTAGGTGGGAGGTTCACTTGAGCCTGGGAGGTTGAGGTTGCACTGAGCCATGTCCATGCCACCACACTCCAGCCTGGGTGACAGATTGAGACCCTGTATCAAAATAAATACATAAATACATACATAAATAAATACTGCATCAATGCACATGTGAAGAATGTTTTATAATATTAATCAAGGGATGTGTTGATTGTTCCGATAGACATGGAGTCTTCAGCCGTTAGCTCCTCGAGGGACCAAGGGTGTTTGTTTCATTTTTTTGGATGCTAGATCATCAATACAAGTTTTGGCGGTCCCGGTAACAAGGAAGAAAGAAACAAAGTCAGAGTGCTAATTTCTCTTCCAGCATCATATGATGTTTTAGCAGGACAAATGAAACTAGGACAAACAGGCTGGAGTCCCCATGGTCAGGCATTTTGGCAAAGTCATTTTGGGGAAATCCCATTTTGAAAGACGAACATCTTATAGTGGACGTGCTGATGAATAATTTATTTGGTTGTCACATCAAGTCACATCCAGCACTTTCTTTTGAATTCTGGGTCTATCGCCTGAGCTCATTCCTGCCCTGACTTACGCCTTCTCAGCTACTCTCTAGACCTCTCTGAGCAGCATCCCACTTTCTTACCCACCAAATGTAGTCCCCTGGCCTGTAAATCTCTCCTGAAACTTTCCCTCGACAATGCAGCCTCTAGGCCTCTGTGCCAGTCATATCTACACAAATGGGATTTTTACGGCCTGCTGCCATTTCCTTTATGTCTGACTTAGGTTGTAAACTCTTCAGGGCTGGGGCCTTGGCTTTTTATGTTCCATGACAGCGTGTGTACACTTGCAGCAGCTATAATGCTAACAAGTGAGAAAGCCCTGTCTCTTACCACCCAGCCTACTCTACCCCAGAAAAGGAACCTTCCTGGCTGCAGGTCCTAAATCCTACATCAGAGTCACCCCTTGCAGAAACCCCTTGGCATAGGTCATTTGGAATTTTGTCTGTGTGTTCTATAAAACCAAAGAATTACCAACAACCAGAAGTTGAAATACATGAATCAATAAGAAGCCAACTTCACACACAATTGAGTGGGACCCCGTGGCCAACAACCCATTCAATGGAAACCAGTGGAGGCCACTGCTGACCCAAAGAGGTGAAAGCCTACTTTAGAACTGAGTGTTTAATTGGTTGCAGTAAGCCTAGACGATAAGATTTAGCAGGGAGAGGTTTGGGAAGAAAATCAACACTGGGAATTAACATAAATTAAACACTTCTGAGAGAGAGAAAGTGAATTAGTTATTCAAAAGTACAGAATTAAATAAAAAGGAATACCTTCTGTGTGGCACGTTCTTGATGGTATGAGCCGCTCGGTCATGACCTGTGCTTTGCTGGAGAGAATCCCACACCTGGGCACCCGTCTTTTACTTATTACCATCGGATGGCTTTTCCTCATCGAGGCTAGGTTCTCGGGTTGTGGTAAGTGTGGAGGCCAAACGTCTGGCTCTGTCATTTCCGCTGCATGATCCGGAGCAACAACCTGCTCAAGGACTGACAGAAGGGAATAGAGGAGATAATGGTCCCAGCACAGCTCTGGCCCCCAAGGATGCCCCCCACATAAGCCTCTCGCTCCCCTGCATGCTTCTGGTGCAAGGGTGCCCTGCTCTGGAGGCTTTGTTAGAGTAGTCTGTAATAGACCCGTATACCATGTGTTATGATCTCATTTGCTAATTGTAACTCTGTCTTACCTCCTCAACAATATTTTAAGCTCCTCACAGGTAGAGAGTCTTATACTACCGTATTTGATTGATCCAACATATTTGAAATACATTTTTCCCCATTGTTTGACTTCATAATAGCATGCTTTGATGTATAAATTGAGCTGCTATGTATCTGAAAACGATATTCTTTCAGCTTTGTCACTTATGATAGTTTATTTTGCAATCCATCAAGCATTCTTGAATATCTACTTGTATGCTATAACTTAGCACTACAAGAGAAAAAATAGAAAACAGTGAACAAAACAAGCCAGCAGAAGGAGTCCTCACAGAGCACCCAGATCTGCTCCCAGGGACTGCTTCCTGCTTCTCCAGTTATCTCTGGGAATCATATCTGGCCACCGGCCCTTCCTACCCTTTCCTGCTAACATGGCCCCAGCAGAAGAAACAACAAAGGACATCCTATTATCCCGAGTGGAGTTTCATGGGGGGAAGAGATGTTCCTGATGGCCCAAGTTGAAAGCCAAAATAAGATTTACAAATATTTCACAAAGGGTCCCATGTGGCAGTGTACCAGAGTCAGGGTCGTGGGTGCAGGAAGCAGAACAGGCCAGGAGTGGGGCAGGAGACTGACCCGTGAGAGGACACAGCACATGGCAGAGGCCAGGCATCTCTAGGTTCAGGGCAGGAAGCCCAGGGGCCACAGGAGGCAGGTGGAAGGGGAGCCGGCCTCAGCACAGGGAAGGTCAAAGGCGGAGAAGCAGATCCAACCTGAGGAGAGGGATGGGGTTCACATTGGAAGACTTTGCCCTGCATCCACATTGAGTGACCCAGAAGGCAGGATCAGAGTCAGGGCAGAGTCAGGGACAAAACACAGGCGTCAGGGCCGCAGGTGAGGCTGGGTTTTCTGCGTGGTGGCAGCAGCACTCGCCCGAGTGCGGGCAGCGCGTGGCCAGGAGTGTGGCCGCCATGGTGATTCCACTTCGCTCCTCTGTCTTAGCTTAACAAAGGTGAGTGGGCTTCAGAATCTTCATGACTTGAGGTCCTTCCCACCTCTGAAACTCCGCGGTTCTATGCGTCAATAAGACATCAGTGTGTCAACTTGTCCAGTGCAAGGGATGCATAGGCAGAAGCCAAGCCTGGTTATGCACCAATTTATCACTGAGGATGCAAGCAAAGGAGAAGGAAACAGGCAGAGCATGAGTCAGGCTTTGTCCCCGGCACCAGGGCCACGGCGCATTCTCCTTACCCCGCCTTCACAGTGCTCCCCTTTCACTGCAGGAAGAGGCCCTGCGGATGAGGGCGGGACTCTGCCGATGAGGGCGGGACTCTGCAGGGCCTGGTTGACGGAAGCAAGATTCCACGCTGGGGACCCCTCTGAACTTGGAGCACCTCACTGCATCTTCTCTGGGGCTGCATCTTCTCTGGGGCTCACGAAAGTTCAGTCGATGACCTTCCTTTTGTGCAGGAGGTGAACACTTCAAAACCATTTTCTGGGCTCAAAGCTCACCCAATTTCCAGCTAGGGAGAGCCCTGGAACTTTCTCAGAGCTCTCAGCTGTGACAAGGGGCACTGTGTTGAAGGTCGGGATGAGAGACCTCACCTGATGCAGCTTTTGAAGGAGAGAAGGCACCTTGAGGATACACAGGCATGGAGGCTGCAGAGTTACAGTAAAAAGTCTGCAGTACCGGTGGCTAAATGTGCCAGCGTGAACCCCACTCCAACGTTTGTTTGTTTATTCTTTCTGGAAACACAGAAGCTTTATATCCTGTGGCCCCACGAGATTCTGAGAGTGTGCCACCTGGACGATTCCCTGTCTATGTGACAGCACTGGGCCTTCTGCAACTGCTGGATCACAATGGCATGCATGTCAGCCTCTTGGTCATTTATGAGCATCCAGTCTCTGGCTCGTCTAATAAGACAGAAACAAAGAAACCAGTGCTCGCAAGACAACAGGTGGCCATGCATCAGCACGAGCAATACAGGTGTCTTTAAACTGTGAGTTGATCAGGAGGCGAGCCAATTCTGCAGTTGCTACCTTCAGAAAGCTCTTGAAAACATAACTCGAAATCTTACTTCTGGATGGCCACTTCTTAGCTGTGCCTACTGAATGATGATGTAGAGTGGGTACCTTGCTCAGGGAGCACCCCTAGGAAGCTCAGGTGACAGGAGACTGCACACCTGCCAGAGAGGCGCAGTGCAGGGCTGAGAAAGAGGCACCTGCAGGGAAGCTGCAAGGCGCTGGTGAATCCAGTGACCACCACGGAGATCATTTGTCCATGAAAAAAGATGGCGCTACACAAAGTGGGGTCATGGTCTGCAGTCAGGGTGGGGGTAGCTTTCAGCAGTTGGCTCAGCCTGTCTGGGCTGCCCACTTCAGTGCTGATCAGCGTTTCTCAAGTGATTCTGACCATCCACTCAGTTGGCCACTCTTCTTGAGCCTTGGTTCTCAAACAATGGTCTGTGCCCAGCTCCAGCAGCATTGCGCACCTGGGAGCTTGGTGGAAATGCAGAGCCTCAGGCCCCACTGCAGGCCTTGGGACTCAGAATCTGCATCTCGACCAGATCATCAGGCAACCCAAATGCACAGGAAAGCTCAAGAAGCACTAATCCGAGTTCTCATCGGGTGGTCCCCGACAAGCTTCATCAGCATAGCCAGGGACTTGTTAGAAGGGACATTCTCAGGTCCCACCTCAAACCTGCTGAGTCTGAAACTCTGGTGGTGGGACCCAATGTTCTGAGATTTAATGAGTTTTCTGCGTGAGTCTGCTGCTCGCTCAGGTGGCAGAACCACTGTTCTAGAGTCAACCCAGCAGCAGCTGCTCCACGTCTTTATCTAAATGAGGAGCTGCTGATGAATCGGCTGTGTGGTCATAGCCTAGAAGACCAGCATACAAGCTGCAGGTTCCTGTGGAAGCCTCTCTGAATTTCATTAGGTGCCAGATACTATCCTAAGGTCCCTGGAATCCCATTATGTATAAGACAATGTTCTTGCCCTCAAGATGATCAAAGTAAGTGACCTACTGAATCTTTCTTTGGGGCCCAGAGATGCTCTCTCCTTCAACAATCTGGGAATGAAACTTCCTCTGATGTGTGTTCTTACAGCATTTCCATTTCTTGTTGCAGAGCTTTGCGTGTTTAAGAGATGAAGTTTTATTATAAGCCGTAGGGTCAAAAAAGGCCAGGCCAATCCCTGTGGGTATTCTGATTCCTCAAAGATAACTTTACCCACCAAATACTACTGGATTCACTTGCCATCGTTCTGTTAGGATAAGACGCAAAGGGCACAGGCTGAGCTGGAGGAAGAAGGATAGGATCCTCACACTGGTTCTCTCACTCCATCAGATGGAAGAGGAAGGCGGGGGTGCTACAGTGAAGGAAGCTTAGAGTTTGTCGAATCATAGCAACTGAAAATAGAAGACACCCAGGGAAGACTCCCGCAGTGGCCCATGCAGCTCATGAATGCTGAGGCTTGGCTTGTGTAAGGCAATGTCAATGACAAATTATAATTTTTAATCCCTTGAAGGTGTAACTCTATGGTGGAAAAATGCATTCCTTATGATTTTATTAGCTTGGTGCAAAAGCAATTGAAGTTTTTGCCCTTAAAAGTAACAGAAAAAAACACAATAACTTCTGCACCATCCTAATAATACAATTCTGGTTTAAACTTTTTTAATGGAAAAATCTTGATACGGTATCAAGTTCAAAAATGCTTTTAATTATGAAGGGCTGGTGGTTTGCCAGCACCCTGTAAACCCAGAGGGCATTACCTGACCTTCAAATCACATGGTCACACATTAGGAATGTAGTCTTTTACTCATCTTAACTATATGCATACCAAAACATAAATCTCTCTCTCTCTGTTAAAAAATTATTTAACCAAAACTCCCCTGAAGCTACCTGAAATAAGAAGAAACAAAAAGACTACTGAACAACCACAAGGGGTAAGGCACAGTGTCAGAGGCTGCAGGAGCCACACGGAGGAAAATGAAGCACACTCCTGAATGTCACGAATGTGACGTCTAATGAAAGGAGGAAAATGAAGCCCACTCCTGAATGTCACGCATGTGACCTCTAATGAAAGGAACCACCACGCACTGAACCTCATTAATAAGGGAGAAATAACGCAGCAGTCCTGTGGGAAGGAGCACAGCTCAGCCTTAGAGATAGAACAGCTCCTGACCTGGGCTTTCTAGAGTGAATAGGGCATGGCATGTGGGGGAAAACGAAATATTCTGGTTGTCTTTGCCATGGACATCAAGAGTAGTGAATGGGAGAAAGGAAACCTGGGGACCAGTTAGGAGTCTCTGGAAATATTTCAGGTGAAGAGTGATGAGTGCAGCAGCAATGGACATAGAGAAGATGGTTTAAGAGGATATTTTGGAGATGGAATCATTGGAAGTTGGCAAATGTGAAGTCCAAAGTAAGTGAAAGCCGATTCAAAATGTGGAAGGCTGAATGAACTGGAGGAGGCGGTGATGGTCCCATCTTCCCCAATGTTGTGTCTTCACCGCAAAGGCTGTATATTACAGGACAAGGCTCCGTAAGTATTTTTTGAAAGAGAAGAAGGTTTTGGAGTGAAGCTATTGAATTGGTTTAGGATACATGTTTGAAAATCAAAAGGCTGCTTCAGAAGCCTAATATGCAATAGGAAAATGTAGATCTGATGAGGTCTAGGGGTCGCTCTGGGAACCCTGTACGTGATGGTGGTGGTTGGACACGTAAAAGTAAGTAAACGCATCTTAGCAAAGCACACAGAGGGTGGAGGAAGAAAGCCAAGAATAGGATATCAGGCATATCTCCATTTAAGCCATAGGAGTTATCAGTGCAATCTGCAATTAAGAGCAGGCAGCGAGGTTTGAGGATGACCCGGAAAGCAGGATTACAGACAGTTCGGGAGGAAACATTTCTGATGAGGAAGATTACCTATCCACACTTCCAAGCTTGTTGGAAGAAACCTCAAAGGAAGTTGATGAATTTAGCAATTAGAAGGTCACTAGTGCCAACCAAAGGCCTACAAAGGAGCATAATTTGGCACATGTATTCAAATGTAAGACAGGTTACTCTTCACCCAATAATTCCATTCCAGGAAATTATCCTAGGGCATGAATTGTCATGAAGAATAAAGATTTGAGTACCAGGAAATACAGCACTACATTGCTTATGGTCAGTTTCCACAGCCAGGATGGGTTAAATATATATAGTAAAATGTGGCACAGCAATTAAAATTCGAATATGACACAACCATTAAAATGACACATACAAGTATAATAATTGTTAGGAAATAAAGATGTGCCTTATATATTGTACAGTGAAAAAGACATGTCATAAAATAATAAGTATATCTTTCCCTTTTTGTTAACATAAATATGGAATAAAACTTAGTTTACCATGTCTGGTAGTGCAGGGTAGGTTTAAAAATAAGGACTGCCTAGGCCGGGCGCGGTGGCTCACGCCTGTAATCCCAGCACTTTGGGAGGCCGAGGCGGGCGGATCACGAGGTCAGGAGATCGAGACCATCCTGGCTAACACGGTGAAACCCCGTCTCTACTAAAAATACAAAAAATTAGCCGGGCGTGGTAGCGGGCGCCTGTAGTCCCAGCTACCCGGGAGGCTGAGGCAGGAGAATGGCGTGAACCCGGGAGGCGGAGCTTGCAGTGAGCCGAGATCGCGCCACTGCACTCCAGCCTGGGCGACAGAGCAAGACTCCGTCTCAAAAAAAAAAAAAAAAAAAAAAAAAAAAAAAAAAAAATAAGGACTGCCTGAATTGAAATCCCATCTTTCCTACAAGTGTACAGCTGCGTGGCCTTCAGTAAGTCATCTGCCCATTTCTGCCTCTGTTTCTTCACCTGTAAAATAGGAGGATAATTGTACTAGGTCAACGTGGTGTTGTAAAAATTAAGTGAATAGATAGGGGTAAGCCACTTACAGGATGAACTGGCATGTAGTAAGCTCTATTACCACAACAGATTCTTTTTATTGAATTTATCTTCTTTTTCTAAAATAAAAGCAAATTTATGTTTTTTTTTGGATTAAGGCCTATTATTGACAGCAAAGAAAATCATTTTTGGTATAAGAGCTACAGAATATCTTTCCCAGCATCATAATCATTCAGAATAACATATTTGCTGGACTTTTAGGGAGTGTTAGCAGGTATTTGATAACTAACCATTCTGAGACACTGATTTGAGAATATCTACTTCAAAACTTACCATCATTCCCTGAATCGTGTGTAATTATTGGCAATTAGATTTTAGGTATTCTGTTTCATTTTGAGATCTATTTATTCAGAAATACAAATATTATTTTTTAAAAGTTTGGCAATGTCCTTGATATGGATTTTAATTCTAGTTTAAAAAGACAATATAATCTGGAATGGGTTTATTAATTCTGGTTGGTTTTTAAGTAATATCTTAGTTTAATTAAAGATTTTTTTCCCTTGGCCGGGCGCAGTGGTTCATGCCTATAATCTCACCAAGGCAGGCAGATCACTTGAGGCCAGGAGTTCGAGATCAGCCTGGCCAACATGGTGAAACCCTGTGTCTACTAAAAATACAAAAATTAGCCAGGTATGATGGCACACACCTCTAATCCCGGCTACTCAGGAGGCCGAGGCAGGACAATCGCTTGAACCCAGGAGGCAGAAGTTGCAGTGAGTTGAGATCGCACCACTGCACTCCAGCCTGGGTGACAGAGTGAGACTCTATCTCAAAAAAAAAGAAAAAGAAAAAAAATTCCCCTCAAAAGATAATGTTTTAATTGTTTAAAATTCAGAATAATCCTGCTGCATTCTGATTCAAGCGTATGCGGTGCCTAGCATAATGTACATGCGTAGAATTTCATCTAGAAATTCGCTGTGTGGTCTACAGCAGTCCGTGTAGCATCTTCAGCCAGAAGTCTCCTGAGGATTTGGACTAAAAGATACTTCAGCTGCTTTCTATGGCCATAATTCAAGGTATCCAAGAATGAATAAATATTAATACTGAGCTGTTACGAAGAGAAGCATGCAGACAGGACGATTTTCTCTGTGGAAAGCTTTCAGAATCTAAATAGAATGCTTCACTTTTTCTGTGCTTCCAGAGCACCTTGTGTGTGCCCTCCCCCACATGATAATACAGTTATCTATTGTCTATCTTTGCTGCTGAACTTCAAGCTGCAGCAAAAGCAAAGATTGTGTCTTAGGTTTTGTGACTTTATCACAGTGCCACACAGGTAAAAAGCATTCAGTAACATTTGTTACATAATACTAAATTCCTGAGGTCTTTTCAGTTGGGTGTTGAAAAGCAAGGCTGGGGGCACTTTGAGTGACTGTTGTGACACACTGCTACTTGGCTCAGCCCAGTGGGTCACCATTCCATCAGCAGCTCCCAGGATTTGCCTTACAATCTGATGCTGGGAACCCCCTCCCCAGGAGACAGTAGCAAATCTTTTCAGAAAGCCATATATTTTGTATAATTTTACATGGAAACAGAATTAGGGGAAATTGAAGACAAAGAAGGCCAAAAAAATAAATTTATCTTTGCATTTTATTTCTCCTATTCTTTGGTTGTTGGTAACTCTTTCAGAATCAAAGTGAGAGAGGCCAATTAAAACATTTCCATTTATGATTAAAAGCAAAAAAGTTCCTGGGTAGAAAAGCTTTCAGTTTGAGTAGAAAGCAAAACGGGTAGGCCGAGGTCACCATTTCACTTTTTCATCAGTGCCATTTTTTTTTATCCTTCCGCACTGATTTTATTTTATCATTTTCAATACCTTTTTAAGTAATTCAGCCCACTCAATTATTCCTTAACAAATTTTTATTGATGACCTCTCTTGAGGATGGGATGTGGGTTGCTGGCTATTAGCTTAATGTCGTACAATTAATATCTTCTCGGTATTCCTTCTTTATTCAACAAGTAGTACTGGTAAGGGCCAACCCATCTTTTAAAGGTAAACCTTGTCCCAGTTAAACACAAGAATGAAATCACTATAGATCTATTATTTCTCGGAACAGAATATTTCCATTTGCATAAAATAATTTTCCTTTGACAAGGTGCCAGGAAGAAACACCTCATGCCCATACTTCACAGTGCTCTTTCTATGGCATTAAGAATAGAAGAAATTGCCACGGTGGCCTTCGTACTATTATTCTCCCCCCTTGAGCCTCCCAACCCCTCCTGATCTATAGCATCCTGGCTCTTCAAGAGGCCTGTCTCTGAAACGCCCAGGATAATGGACAAAAGGGGATTCCCCTCCATGATGTAATTTCACGCTAAGGAGACTGGTTCACAGGTTGCAGTGTTAAGGTCAACTGCAGAGACTATAACCCTTACATTGGTGGAGAAATAATGGCTTGAGTCAAAATTTAAATAAAATTTAAATCTGAACAAGTCAAATGATCTACAAGCCTTAGGGACAAATGGTCTAGCAGACCAACATCATACTTAAATACCAAGAAAAAGAAATAGTTACTACTCTCAGGGGCACACTATAACATTAGAAATAACACAGCTGGTTACAGAGTGGACACCTTCCTTTAAAATTTAGGGAGGCAAGTTAATTCTTCTAAATATGAGTCCTAATCCACAGAGTAATGAGAAAGTAGAATATTTAGGAATGAAGACTTCATCTACCAATAGACAGATATGATGGTGAATTTTTCATGTCAACTTGACTGGCCCACACTGTCCAGATATTTGGTCAAGTACCACTCTGTTGAGTGTTACAGGAAGAATCCGCATTTGAATAGGTAGACTCTACATAGCAGACCCCTCTCCCCAGTGTGGGTGGGCCTGATCCAATCAGTTGGAGGCCTAAATAGAACACAAAGGCCAGCCTCCCCTTAAGTAAGAGGAAGTTTATCCCGCCTGACTGTTTTCTAACTAGGACATTTGTATTTTCCTGGTTCTGTACTTGAACTAAACCATCCGTTCTCCCGGGTCTCAAGTCTGGAACAAAACCATTGGCTGTCCTGGGTCTCCAGCCTACTGCCTCACCCTGCTGATCCTGGACTTGCCCACTTCCATAATCACATAAGCCAACTCCCTTTCTCTCTCTGTGTGTGTGTATATATATATATGTATACACATATGTATACACACATCCTGTTGTTCTGTTTCTCTGAAGAAACCTGACATACAGCACGGTTCAGCAAGAAAGTTCAGGCCAATTTCACACTTAGACTGAGAATCATCCTGCACACTTTGGTGTGAGAGACTTCATCCCTGGAATGTGCTGGGCATCAGCACAATGATCCATCGGAGTCTGCAGTGATCTGACTAGTGGTGCCATTTGCCAGCAAACCACAGGATACCCCCAAGGCTCAGATACTCTTTATTTTCTGAGCCTCTAAATTGATCTAGTAATTTTTCCAATTGCCATTAAACATCTGTGTTTGACACTTTCTATTCTGAAGGGACTGAAGGAGCCTCCCACAGAACCAAGCACCAATATCTGTAATGTCTTTTGCCCCTTGCAGGCACGTGTCCTCATCCTTACTTTAATTTCATAGATTAAAACATTGGATCTACTTGTGCAGTTGGTTTCCTAAAATTAAATCATCATTTTCAATTATTCAGTTGTCATGAGTATTCCTTGTTACAAATATCTGTGTATGTATGTGTGTGTATGTGTATGTATATGTTAATATATGTTAAGCAAATATCTTTGTTTTCCTTCCTTTCTTATTCCTCTATCATGTAACACAATATATATTGACTTAGTATCATAATACTTGAGTATTGCTAATTTTACATCACAGTATATAAGTTATGAGGTATCAAGGAGAAGAGTAGACATCTCTCAAGGACTTTACATCCTTTCTGGTGAATGGTTAGTGCATCTCGGTTGTATGCAGGATAATTGTGTCATGTCAGGTGGAATTATATTGTTGTTATTGTCTTTACTTGGAGAGTAAGTATGGTTTAAAGAGAGGTGTATGAGTGCCAAGTTGACAAGGGGTGGACCTGTGATGGATACTTTCATATGTCAACTTGACTGGGCCATGGGGTGCACAAATATTTGGTTAAACATTATCCTGGGTATGTCTGTGAAGGTGTATCTGGATGAGATTAGCCGACTAATGAATCAGCTGACTTAGTAAAGCAGATTTCTCTCCCCGATGTGCATGGGCACCATTCAAACCAATGGAGGCCCGAATAGAATGAAAGGCCGAGGAAGAGAGGATTTGCTCTCTTTGCTTGCCTATTTTAAGCTGGGACATTGGTCTTGTCCTGCACACAGACTGGAACTTACACCATCCATTCTCCTAAGTCTCCAGCTTGTAAGTGGCAGACTCAGTGACTTCTTAGTATCCATAATAGCATGAGAAAATTCCTTCTAATAAATCTCTCCGTGCGTGCATGCAGGCGTGTTCTATTGTTTCTGTTTCTCTTGAGAATCTTGACTTATACGTCAGTCCTGACAGCTTAAGAAAAGATGAAAAGGAAATTATAGGATGAGACTTTTTGGCATCTGTGCTTTGTTTATGGTAGTTTAGGTAGTTTTCAACTTACAAGCAGGTGAAGAGGACATGTGTGTGCCAGGGCAGAATGGCTTGAAATTCTAGTCCTTATTTATCCCGCATCAGTCCTGTAAACTTGGATAAGTTACACAAAGTCCAAGCCATAGCTTCTTCATCTGTAAATAAGGAACTGTTAGTTTCCCAGGACTGTCATAACAAAGTACCACAAACCGGGTGTCTCAAGCAACAGAAGTGTCTTCTCTCACTGCTTGGAGGCTGGAAAGCTGAGCTCAACGAGTCAGCAGGGTTGTTTTCTTCTGTGGGTCTGAGGCTGTATCTGTCCTGTGCCTCTCTCCTCATTCTGTGGTGTCCAGCAATCCACCGCATTCCCTGGTTTGTAGATGCGTAACCCCAGTCTCCAGCTCCGTTGTCACATGACTGTCTTTCCTTGGTGTCACTATACTTGTGTCTCTTCCTCACTTCCTCTTGTAAGTTACGATAGTGATCTTTATTTTATAGGGATGATAAATGGATGGGTCTCACTCTATTTAGGTCACCTTACTACAGAAGCCTTTTGTGATAAATAAAATATCACCCCCTTGCTTACGACCCTCTCTCACACTTTTTTATTCTTTTTTTTTTTTTTTTGAGATGGAATCTCGCTCTGTCACCCAGGCTGGAGTGCAATGGCATGATCTTGGCTCACTGCAACCTCTGCCTCCCGGGTTCAAGCAATTCTCCTGCCTCAGCCTCCTCAGTAGCTGGGATTACAGATGCATGCCACCACGCCAGGCTAATTTTTGTATTTTTAGTAGAGTCGGGCTTTCACCATGTTGGCCAGACTGGTCTCAAACTCCTGACCTTGTGATCAACCCACCTTGGCCTCCCAAAGTGCTGGTATCACAGGCATAAGCCACTGCACCCGGCCTTTATTCTCCTTAATAGCGTTAATTACACCAGACATGTTGTATATTTGAGTTTAATTGTTTGTGGTTCTTCTCCTGATAGCAGAATAGAAGCTCCATGAGACCAGTTATTTTGTCTGTTTGGCTCACTGCTGTATCCTGTCACCCAGGAGAGGATTAATAAATCACTGGACAAATAAATGAATGAAAGGGTAGATTGGGAAACAGAGAAGCCATGGAAGTTGCCCAGTGCACAGCAGACCTAAGGTTCAAATCCAGGATTTTCTGATATCACTGCCCATGCTCCATGGCCGGCCCTATCATCCTGCAGTAAAGCAGTAAAGCCCACCTGAAGGCCAACAACCACCCAAGGCCTCAGAATTGGAAGCAGAGCAGAGTTGCTTCTGGAATGGGTAAGGCCTTAGGGCTTGACTTTTTCTTCTCTTCACTCACCTGCACCCCTCAGATACTGCTGTAGATAAAACCATCACTTTTCTAGGACAAACATTTCTAGAAGAAAAAAAAAAACCTTTTTTTTTAATCTATGACAGCTGATGCTGTTAATCCAAGTGCTTTGTGGAATGTCAGAAACCATACCTATAATATAATGTCAGGGTTGGAAAATATCTGAGATTTTAGTTCAAAATTCTTATTTAGTTGATACAAATGCATGGTCCTCTGTTGTAGCTAGTTGAAACAAAGATCAACATGTTATGTACACTTTCTTTTATATTTTTTCTCAGATTCATCACATGTTTTTTTGTCGTAAAATTAGAAAACTCCTCTGCATTAGAGATCAGTTTACTCTTCTTTTGTATTTCCCATATCAGTTATTGAAAGCACTAAATTATCCTGCAAACTCCCGGCTGATGCCTAAGGAATTCGAGTTCCAGAAGCAAGCCCCCAGAGGACCCCGGCCCAGGCCCGCTCCTCTGCGCAGCGCTGGCCCCCGCGGCCGTCAGGAGGGGAGGCCTGGAGACCCCAGGAGATCCAGGGCTGTCCGTAGGAGCCTGGAAAGGCCAGTTAGGCCGCGAAGCTTTGCCAAATGTGCGGTTGGAAACGTTCAGATTCTATATCTATTACTCGAAGCTCACCAGCCGTGCCATGCATGCACGTAGGAAATTAGAGATTCCGACAGACGGGAGGGTGGGACGGTCCCTTTGCAAATCTGGCCGTTTTGGCTCCGCGCGGCTGGCACGCCCGCCGGGCCCGCGTCCAGCGCCTGCAGCACCGCCCGGGAGCCCGCGGCGCACAGAGCCCGCAGCGCGGCGCGGCGTGGGGGGCTAAGTCACTGCGAACCCTCGCCCGGAGCTGGGGTTCGGGGTCCCACTCCATTTCGGCAGGAGCGGGGCGCGAGGGTGGCGCGGGTAGTGGCGACCGGGACTGCCAGGGGCTCCGGCAAAGGAGGCCGCGGGTTGGGAGGGGCTCCCGACGTGGCGCGCACGTTACCATGGCGACGCGTTTCCCTGGTTACCTGCGGGGCCGCGTCCCGGAGGAGCCTGAGGGCCAAGAGGGCCGGCGCGCGGTGGGCGCGGCCTGCGGGGATGCCGGGCTCTACGGAGCAGCGCGGGGTCCCGAAGCCCCCTACCGCGAGGCCTCAGAAGGGGATGGCGACCTCTTGCAGCGGGAGCGCCTCCCCCACCTGCGCGAAGGCGAGGAGGTCCCACCTGCCTCAGCTGTCCCACCTGCCCCATCTACCCCACCTGCCCCACCTATCCAACCTGCCCCACCGACCCCACCTGCCCCACCGGCAGGACGACAGGGACGTCCCACCTGCCTCATGCCCCACCTGCCCCACCTGCACCTGCGCGGAGGCCCAGGCGCAGCGGGAGCACCCAGTCAGGCCTGCCCTATGGCCCAGCTCCCAGCTCCCAGAGCCAACCTGACGCCTAGTACCAAAGAAGTCATTCTTTCAAAGGGTGTTTAGTGTAAGGGTAGGTCCTGAGATCCCAGGACTACAGCCATCATAAAGCTGACTCCGAAAGGTCTGCATGAAATGGGGATTATAAAATCCCAGAAATCGCCGGGCGCGGTGGCTCCCGCCTGGAATCCCAGCACTTTGGGAGGCCGAGGCGGGAGGATCCCTTGAGCCCAGGAGTTGGAGACCAGCCTGGATGACATAATAAGAACCCCCGTCTCAAATTTAAAAATAAAAATCTCAGAAAGCCCTTTCCCCAGTGAGGCAGCATGCAATCTGGAGTGTCGAGGTAAGAAGATGAACTTCAGATGAACTTAGATAAACCTTCCCCAGTTCACAGCTTCTCTTGCATCCTTTTTGCCTCTCAATCTCTGATGTGTTCTCTGTTGCTAGCTGGCTCCCTCTCTCTCCTCTGTCTCTCTTCTCTCTCCCTCCCTCCCGTCTCTCCTCTCTCACTTCTCTCTCTCTCTCTTCTCTTTTCTCTTTCCTCTCTCCCTCCCCTCTCTTCTCTCTCGGTCTCTCTCTTTCACTCTCTCTCTTTCTCTCTCCGCGCCCCCCCTCCCCTACCGCCCTGCACAATACTTCCAGGACTTTCCCCTCAGGCAGCCTCAGTTTCCCCCTAACGTAAATGCTGAAGGAAACAGGGAGCCAGTACTTGAAGGTTTGGGGACCATTTTACTATTTTCAAGCTTTGCCAATTTGTTTTGTGTTATTAAAAAAACGAAAACACAAAACAAAACTGCATGGCCTAGAAACACAGAAGCACAGACCACTGGACTCTTCTCTTGGCCAAAGAGCCATCATTTTCTTTCCGATGCCCCAGTTTCCCAGCCTGTCTCAATCGAAAGGGCGTGCTTCTATAGCGCATTGTTTCTAGAGCACATTGGATGGACACTATCGGTGAAATTCAAATACTCATAGATTTCTGTTCCCTCCTCCACCTTCCCCCTTTCACTGCGTAGCGGGGAGACTTCCTTATCCACAACAGCCTCTGGGTCCCCGCCATCTCCCCAGGAGGAAGAGCCTTCTGCCTTTGGGCTCATCATTAGAGGTGGCTCTGGAAGCTGCTCTCTGGCTGGAGGCTGTTTCCTGTGGGAAACACCTTCATAGTGTTGGGCAGGTTACCCAGGGCTTTCACCTCATTACCCACGGAGCAACCTGTGGACCAGGGGCTCTCAAGGTACAAGTGACATAAGCCTTTGGCTCTCTCTGAGACCAGATCCCCATGTGCCACAAAATCTCCTGGCCAGGGTCTGGTGGGGAGAGTGGAGTCCTCTGCCCCCACCGCCATTCTGCGAAGGCCATCAGCTGGGCTGGTCTCACCTCTGCTGCAGTGGCTCTCCCCTGCCTGGAATACAGCTCAAAATGCGAACTCTAGGATTCATGTCAGAGGTGGCAAAAGAAGTGAAAGATAAGAAATACACACTTTGGGACACTAACGAAGCGAGGTGGAATTTGTACACCTTTTCTTTGTGTAGCCGTTGAAGATGTTGGAAGAAATTTGAACGTGCCTTCTGAGCCAAACCCTCTGATTTAGTAAAGTCAAAATAATGAGAATTAGCCTGCACCTAATATAACTCTGACACCACCTACACATCCCTTTCACAGAGGTGCAATGAGGATTAATCAGTTAGTATTTATAAAAAGATCTGGAGACAAAAATCATTACTTATAAATGCTAGATAATATTAAGGATTTGGATTATAATATGATAAAATGTAAAACAAAATAACATGAATTTGTGGCATGTATGAATAACAAGCTTCTAGGTTGCATGTCTGCTAGCACAGCCAGAGCAACCACATTATCTGAGACTTACTTTGGGGCCATTTGAAATGACCTGACACAATTGAATTTAGAAAGTCATTCAAGACCCCTTGTTATCCAGGGACACTGAATTACTCAGGCTTAGTTGGCTTCCATGAGTTTGCTTTATAAGTGTCTTTGAGATGGTCTTATAGGCTATTCAGGCTTCTCGTAAAATAGAGTGGCATTTGACTTTCATATGCCTTACACTTCACATCAGGAAGCTCAGCTTTCTTTATGCTGATAATATTTTTCATATGCTAAGAACTCAAGTCAACGAACATGCACTTAGGTAAACTAACCGCTACTCACTTTCATTAATTTCAGAGTAAGCAAATGGACAAGTCACAAATTTTAAAATCGCTCTCCTCTTTGCAGAACCCAAGTTTTAATATTCCACTAAGTTTTGAAGGCCAACTTCTATCAACCAAGGGGTAATAATCTAGGTATTACTATAGAGTTTATTAAAGAGACATTACTGTAGACTTTATTAAATACAAACAGATCACCCCAAATTGAAGTGAGTTTACAACTGGCAAAATTCTTTAATATAGTATACAATTTATTTAGTATACTAGTCATTATCATCTATCCCATGGGGTAGACGAGTGTTATTATTTATATAGTGTTGATAAAACAACAGAATATCTGGGATGTTAAGTCACTTGTCAAAGACACCAGATCTATCCACTACACTCCATGGCCTACATGTATAGAAATTAGTGGCTCATTGGGAACAAATGCCTTTGACAAGTTGCAAAGCAAACATGCAAAAAAAGAGAAATGAAGAACAGTGAATTCATCTGTACAGCTGTATGTGCTCACATAGAAACAATTTCTAGTTCTAACTCAAAAGCTTATTTTGCTTTGTTTTAAGCCACACTCGTGTGCACAAAATAGAGAACCCAGCCATGAAACACCACATATATGAAGCTAAGATACAGAGGAATCCCCTTGTATGAAGACAGAAGAGGAAAAAACACTACCATTGAATCACAAGTGTGCTCCCATGTTCTTCCTCCGGGAAACAAAGACAAGACACCTTGGGCTGGCTGACATGGATTGAGGATCAGAGTATACTCCGGGGGTATGTAACACAGGATGCAACCCAGCAGAGAGAAAACTGATCCTTAGTCTTCCAAATAGACCAGTTAAAAAATGTGTATATTCCCTAAGAGCTCACAGGCCTAATTAAGATTTTTTGAACCTGATCAAAACATTAATTACTTTGCACAAACTGAGCAAACATATAGATGTCACATCCTATAAATGTTTCTTTCAATTGCTGTCCTGGGAAGATAGATAGAAATTAAAATAGTACATCATTAAGTAGACTACACATCTCTCTTCTCCGTTGTTCTCATGGGTATTAAATCTCTACTGACTATTTTGTTTTTCTTTATAGTAAACCAGAGAGGATATTATAATACCAATTACTAATATTTATTGAACACCTACTCTTGTCAGGCACTTTACCTCTGCCCTGTACTTAATCTATCAATAAAACTACAAGATTGATTTGAGCATTTGCATTTTATGCGCATTTATACTCAGAGAGGCCGAGAATTTGCTCTAAGTTATTCAGTTAAAAAATGGTGGACCTGGATGGATGTGGTGGCTCACGTCTGTAATCCCAGGACTTTGGGAGGCTGAGATGGGCAGATCATGAGGTCAGGAGTTCGAGACCAGCCTGGCCAACATGGTGAAACCCTGTCTCTACTAAAAATACAAAAATTAACTGGGCATGGTGGCACGCACCTGTAATCCCAGCTACTTAGGGGGCTGAGGCAGGAGAATTGCTTGAACCCGGGAGGCAGGGGTTGCAGTGAGCCAAGATCACACCACTGCACTCCAGCCTGGGCGACAGAGTGAGACTCCGTCTCAAACAAACAAACAAAAAAAGTGGACCTTGAGTCAAATCCAAGCTGGTCTGACTCTAAAGGCCGTGCATCCTCTTCCCCCCATGCCACCCCATCTTGTCAATGAAGGAGGCAAACTAGGCAATCCCACTACATCAATACCTGCCCTGACAGACTTTGGAGACCTGGCTGGCTTAACTATGAAAGTGCAGAGAATTCCATTTGTTTCCACCCAATTTAACATTGCTGTGCTAGTCTTCATCTACATTTCTTACCTATAGGTGTTTGTATGTAAGAGTGGGATTGCTAGTGGATCGCATACCATGCTGAGTCCTGGAAATATGCAGAAAGGTGTTCCCAGAAATTGTTCTTGATACCTTTGTCATGAGTTTAATGAATAATTCATCCAGGAGAGGTCTCCTGTGCTAGCCAAAGCGGGGCATATTCTTTGCTTCTGTAACACCATGTTCACAGCCTCAAGGAGCACATGGACTTGTGTCTTGTGTACATGTCTGTCTGCTTTCCTTTTCTCCTCATAAATGAAATTCTCTTCCCATCTTTTTAAGGTCCTTTGAAGGGTATCACCCTTCTCTTCTCTCCTGCATTCAGGAACAATTGCAAACTTTAACATAACCCAGAATTCCAGAATTCATTCTAGAGCAGCCCACACAGTGTCCTGAGGAGTCTCCTATCCAGAATCAGCTGTCCAAGAAACGTGGTCTCTTGTCCTGGGAGCTCCTGGAGAAGCCACAACTAGCATACGGTCTCACTCGGTAATTAACACATTCAGCATATGATGCCTACACTGGATACTTGTTGAATTAATAGATAAACAAAACTCATCTGAGCTACTGATATAGATATCCTGAGAGCTCCACATCAGTTTCGTGCACTGCATTCATCAGCTCCAATGGCAGTCACGTAGAGCTTATTTACTTTTGTTTTATGCACAGTTATAACAAATTTTGTCTCATCCCCATTATCTGAAAAACAACACATTAAAAGGAAGGAGGAGTCATTTTCATTAACAAACATGCAACTATCAGCAAGAAGGGAGCCTGAAAACAGAAGACGAGGCAGAAAATGTAAAAAGAAGCAACCAGCATTCCAAAACCACCTGGGAAAACAACGTGAATCCCTCAGTGGTCTCAGAAGGAGTAAAGCACATGTGATCTAAGAGTTAACATCCCTCACAAGGATCCAAAGTCGTGCAAAGGGTTAAAATTGGTTCCCTAATCTTTGTTTTAAGAGGAGGAAAAGGTAGTGATATTTTTGGGAAAATGCTAAAAGTTTCAAAGTGTTAGCATGGAGAATGGGAGAATGATGTCTGTATTATTCAAAAGTCACCTACGGGAATCATTCCTTACTACACTGTTTTTCTCACCAAAAGAAATGACTCTGAAATCTGTGCTGCTCTGACAGAGCCTGGGAAGGCAAAAACTCAGCCTTCAACGGCTCCTTCCACTCCGGGCTGCCATCCTCTGTAGGCACTTATTAGGAGCGTGAACGCGATCATCACTGGGGACTTCAAACATACCTGCTCACGGTGGTTTGGTTTTCATTATGTGCCACAGGCACTTTCTCTAACCCTCAATGTAAATTATTTATGTGTTTAAAAGGATCACTTCCTTCTCACAGGAAAATAATAAAAGGAAGCGTAAAATTTGTATTTATGTTTGGTAATGCCTGAATCATTCATTCACAGTTACTCTTTGTTTAACAGCGATGCTGAAAATAATAAAGGGTCATAGCTAGCATTTATCCATTTTCATATGCTAGCATTTACACAACCATCTTAGTGAAAAATCACAACCATAGAAAGTGTGGACTATTATCATCACCCCCATTTTACAGATGGGGAAACTGAGGCCCAGAGGTCCATGTGTCCAGAGCCTTCAAGTTATCCAAGACCCTTCATAGACCTTGCCTTATGCATATGGCACTGCTCAGAGAGCTCAAGGCCTCACTGCATTAACGTCTATGGGAGCCTCTCTGTTGACCACATCTGGGTATGAGGGAATTTCCTCTAAAATTACAAACTACCTCTCAGTTTGAATCAGATTAATAGTATCATTTTAATTCCAACACAGTGGCAGACACTATTATAGACAGCAGGGACATAGACATGACTACAAAATGTGGCCTTTGGATATGAGACATTGGCAGTATAGTTGAGGGAGTCACGGAAAAGACAGGCAAGAAGACATCGGTGATGTGGTGAGGCAGACACCTCTGTACATTCACCAGATATGCACAGAAAGGGCCATCTCACTGAGCCCGGGTGGCAGGTGGGCTTCCTGGATGAGATGACAGGTAAGTTCATCTTGGAGGCTAAGTAGGTGTTGTCCCAGTGGGGAGGGGCTGAATGGGAATACCAGGTAGGAAATACAGGATAGGATGCCACACAGAGGATGAGCTCCAAGGCTGATATTCTAAGGGGGAAGGGGGAAGGGAGAGTGGAAATCCTGCTGGGGGGTGAGGGTGGGGTTATGGAGGGTCTTATGCATTGGGAGAGGGGCTGGGACTTTACCCTGTGGCCCAAGGATTCTCCACCTAGGGACTGTAGATGCTTTGGGCCAGATCATTCTTTGTTGTGGGAGGCTGTCCTGTGCATTGTAGGACGTTTGGCAGAGTCCCTGGAATCTTCTCACCAGATGCCAGTAGCAACACCTCTCCCCATTGCCAAATGTCCCCTGGGGTGGGGGAATGTTCCCCATTGATAGCTGCTGCTATAGCTGGCGGGCAGTCTTGACAGGTGACTCAGCAGTGTGGTGTTAGGCCAACTTGGCACCATTGTCACATTCCTTTGGAAGCTTAGAGAACGGATTTCAGCGGGAGAAGTCTAGAGGCAGAGAAGCTAATAGGAGCCTGTTGCAATACATCATAGGAAAAGTGATAATGGCACAAGAGGGGTTGGACATGAGAGAGGTCAAGGAGGGTAATAATGGTAGAACCTCTTGTTGGTTGGGGGTGAACAGGGAGCTGGAAGTGATGTTGTTAGTTACAAGAAAGGAGTCCAGGAGAATATTGAGATGTCTTGGCTGGAGAATTGGGTAGAAGTTATTGACCAAGACAAGGAATGTATGAGATGGAGCAGGTTTGGCGGAACAGTTAGTATATTCTGACCTAGAAATTGGAGCTGGGGAATAATTTTCTGCAGCTACTTCAGAGGGGGGAAGAGGCTTCTGTAACTTAGTGTTAATGCAGGAAACAGCAATTTCTCTTCCCAGAGAGCTTGCCGTTCAGGAAGTGCACCAATGTCTCTACCCCCACGGAAGCAGTGTTTCCCAGAACACACTTTGGAAATCCATGTCATCACTTGAATTTAAAGGTTTAAAAGGAAGTACAATAGGATCCAAGAGACAAAGAAGATGTAATTCCAGAAAGGAGTACTTGAGTTAGATGAAAAGGATAAGTCAGATTTCAAAGGGCAGAGATGGCAGGCAAGGCCGAGCCCTCCTCTCTCCCCACCTTGGTCTGGGGGTGATTCCTACACTGAACTTCCTTCAGAGCCTTAGACAGGCCAAACGTTCCCTTTACCTGAAGAGGTTTCCCAGCCCTTTACCTGAAGAGCCCTCAGTAACACTCTCATTCTCACTCATAGAAAGCTGTTGCTTCTTTTTATTGCCTTTGCTGTGTTTTGTGATTATTTTTCTTTCTTTGCTGTTTGTTAAACTTTGGTCTCAGCCCCAGGTATGGCATTCCCATGAGAGCAGGGATGATGACTTTTATTTTCTTAATTCTATCCCTAGTGCCTAACTCGGTGCCTGTAACAGGTGGTCACTCCATATGTATTTCATAATAATTTGTTGGATATCTTTGTGGAATAAATGAATAAATGATGAATGTGAGCAATGGCACGAGGAACAATTAGAGTGGAAAATCACAGAGACGTTGACCAACGGTCTTTTATGAATGAACTTTGGCCTTTGAGACGGGAGGACAGGAAAATTTGACTGAAAGCCGGCTGGGGTCAGGGCTAGGAGGACCTCTAGCACGATCTGTGGGATCTGGACTTTCATTCATGTGTGGCAAATGTGTAGCCATCCATGAACTTGAACCAAGAGAGGGGTTGTCTTCCTAGCACTTGAACGCCCATTCTTGCTCATAGAAAGCTGTTGTTTCGTTTTATTGCCTTTATCACGCTTTGTGATTATTTTTCTATTTCTTTGCTATTTGTTACACTTTGGTCTAAGCCCCTGGTGTGGCATTCCCATGAGAGCAGGGACGATGACTTTTATTTTTAAAATAAAATTAAAATTCTCCCAAATAGCCTGGAGAAGCATGTGATGCCTGAATAACTAGTACCATCATTCACTTCAGTTGAATCCTCTTAAACAAAGAAGAACATTTCATGTGAAATAGTTTTTGAAAACGAGATGTACTTAGAAGTTGGAAAATAAAAGAAAATGTGAAAATAAGGGTTTTTCTTCTTCTATGTAACACAAATTCAGTTAGAATTAAAACTTAAAGAATTCCTGTTTGTCTTTCTGTGCCTGGCTTATGTTATTTAACATTGTGCTCTTGAAAATGCTAAGAGTTGATGTTAACTGTTCTCACTGCACAGCGAATAACTATGTGAGGTAACGCATTTATTAGCTAGATTTAACTATTCCACAATGTGTATATACTTCAAAACATCATTTCATACATAATGAATACATAAAATTTTTTGTCAATTAAAAAAATAAAAAATAAATCTTAAGATAAAAATTTTTATTAAAAATGATTTTTTCAAGGTACAAATGTTCAGACCAATGTTTATGATAGGTTGCTATAGCATCCCTGTTCTTCATGTTTACTTTTGCTGTATTATCAAAACAATGGTCATATTTACAAATAAATATGTTAGGCCTTCTATAATTTTCCCAAAGATTTGTCTTAATTACTTATATGAATTTTGTATATTTTTATAAGAGCCTATCATATCATCACTGCTATGGAGTTTCTCTGGGGTTAAATTTACAATTAACTGTTAGCTGTGAGATCCTGTTTGTAAATGTCTTTGAGTAAGATTTAAGCCATTCTCCAATATCACTTTTATGGATTTGTGGAAGTTACCTCTATCTTACAATTTTTGCAATTTCTCTTTACAATTCAGTCATATTTCCTTTATATTGTATTGTCTGAGTCTCTATCAATCACTGAGTGAGTTGACTATTGACTCAATGGACATGAATAAAGCATTAAGTTTAAACAGTGGCAACTAAATTATAAGTGGTCAGTTTACTAATGACTATCTTCCTGCTTCGATGGCTGTTGCTTCTTTATTCAGCCTCATGTCTCTGAGGACTAGAGTAGTGAATCTGGACAATGGTTGCACTCCGCACTCTATGCCTCCATCCTGCAAGACCTCCTTCCTCAATCTTACTTTATGCCTCTCTCTCTGTCTTTGTCTTCACTCTGTTTTTCTACTGGGAATGTCCTCACTTATCTCCCAAATGTTATTTATCTCATTGGGTTTTTCCTAATCTGTATAATCAGATTGATATTCACTTTCTTACTCTTCTGAGCTTTTATTTTGTTAGTTTTTATTCACCCTTTAACCTCTGCAACACAGAATCAAACACAAGTGCTTTCCTGTGGTCACAAGAAGGTGTATTTGTTCTAAGGGGCTGACATGTTTCAATCCTTGTCTGATTCTTGATACTCAAATAAAAGGATACGTCTACTTGGAGAGCCTCAAAAAGGGCTGCTACTTGCCTTTAGATCTCGCCCACTTATAGTTTGTCTACCCACAAATTGACAGAGACACACAGAACACCCACACAGACAGCTTGTACCTGTGTGCTTTTGCTTGACTAATCCACACTGTCTTCATGGGTCAGCTGGTTTAATGAGCATCTCCCACCATCATCTGAGTGGGTGATCTAAAATGCACACCTCTGCTACTTACTGCAGCTCCCACACCTACCACTCTACAGCCATTTGCTGAAATAGCTTCTGGTTACCTGCGACATGCTGGTCTCACCAACTGGACTTCAAGTTCCTTGAAGAAAAATATTGACATACCTTTTTCTTTAAATGCCAGATATCTTGTCGAGTATGGCATATAGCACGTACTTAAAAGGATTAGGTAAGTAATGAATGTGTATGGGTTTTTTATTATAATTATGTTGATGTATAAAGTTGCAAATTCCTAAAAGGCAGAGGCCACTCTCAATTAAGATGCAGTTCAGTGACCAATATCACTTGGTTAGGAAACACTTGTGCAAAGTGCCATGCTATCTTCACTTTAGTCGGTGTCTGTCCTACCTGGCGTATACCTTGGGCAGATCACTTAATCAAAGACTGTTCCCATCACCCATAAAGTGAGAGAATTGGACTAGTTTGTCCACAGAGACTCCTGCAGCTTAGTCATTCTGTGAGTCACGGAACAATATATAACTTACCAAACAAGACGTTTCCTTTTAAACCATTTCACAATTGTTACCCATCCATAAAGTGATACGGTTTTTTAAAATCCTGTGTTTTACACTCCCCAGTTGTAATCTGTGAATATGTCAACTTCCTACTAGTCTAGTACTTACTTCGGTAATCATTTTACCTAACCAATGAAGAGGATTCACTATCTAGTGGTGAAAAACGTTTGAGATGTTTAGGGGCCAATGATTTATCAAATAGAACTTTTAGCCTATTTTGGTCAGATAAACCTGAAATGTTAAAGTGCCACTAAAATGCAGAAAACACTGTGGGTTCTCGTTCTGGAGAGAGAAAACCTAAAACATTACAGTTTCAAAACAAAGGTAACATAAAATAGAACATTCATCAGGAGGCCATCAGGAAAGGCCATTTCTTCTTGTTGAGAGATCCAAGGAGAACACTTCTTTTTATTTGTGTATATTTGCAACATGACACTATCAACAATGAAATGGCTTTCACTGTTTAGCTTGTAAAGATGTGGCTTTAGAGTATGTTACGGAAACTTTGACTTGAAGCATCAGTACTCTAATTAATAGAAAGTCAGTTTTGTGCTAGCGCCTGGGGAGAATAGCAGTGTATGGAGTTTCAAGTCAGTGTATTAATCCCTCTCATTATTTAAGACAAAAAACATAATTTTCAGGAAGGTAAAGAGGCCCACAAGTGAGAGAGGTGACATGATAAGAGGCACAATGTCAAGAGCAGAAAGTTTTGGCTTACGGGGAGATTTCAGAGCAGGTAAGAAGCTATCCTGGGTGAGGTACAGTCAGCCTATCATGTAGGGACCAAGGAAAATGTTGAAAAGGTCAGAGATTTGGCTGACTCGAATACATGATTAACTGTGAGAATGATGGCTGAAGAGTTCAGTGTAGACCAAGAGACAGATGCTCACATTCTGAAAGAAAACTTGAGCACGAGGGAAGTTTCCGTGAAGATCGTGCCAAGTGCTTTGAGTGATGAACAGAAACAGAAAAGTCTTGACATTTGTTCTGGTCTTTCAGAGGAAGCCAGATAAAACAGTGCTTTGTGAAGAAACAAGTAACCAGGAATGAACTGCGGAGCAAGAGAACTTCAATTCAAGAGATGGATGGAAACATCAGTATTCTCAGTACCCCCTCCACACACCTTTATTAAAGCATTTTTATTTAATCAGTACTCATTTACTGAGCACATACTAGGTGTACAGAATTATGTTTAGCATTGTGGGAATTATAAACATGAAAAGGACATGGTTTCTTCCCTGTAGCTGTTTATAATATGATGAAAGAAAGTAAGACATTATAAGAGTCATCACTTTCCATCACAAGACCAGGCAATAAATGGAAAGTCCTGAAGATTGATACAACCTAGCACTTTTATGAGATGCCTACAGCTCACTTGAGCATGTACTTTCCATGAAGTCCTTTTTGAGCTGTGTTGCTTTGATAAGCGGATAACACAGGTGTCAAACAAAAACTCAAACCTATGTTTAGAGGGCTAAGATGTCCCATTACTGAGAAGAGTCAAGAAAATGATAAAGGTGCTGAAGGAATTCCCAAAACTGAGTCCATCTATAGCTTCTCCAGTTGATGCTCCTAAATGGAAGGCTGTCCACTGCGTCATTTGCGGATGTGGCATCTTCATTATAAAAATCAGTCTCACCACTGAAGATAATTTATTGTATGCATTTATCCATTCGGAGCACTTGTGTGGAGTTCCTACAGTATGCCCAGCATTCTAGTAGAGCTAGTTTATACATTCATTTTGCCAAAAGTTTATAGACTGCTTAATTTTCATCAACAATCAGCAAATTATTGGGTTCCACGTTGACACTTACATTTGAACTTAAAGGTTTATTTATTTTACCATCCACATTAAGGAAACATTATAATGAGCTTTTAAAGGAAAAACAAATAGCTTTGGAGACATGAGAGTAGAAAGAATCCCAATTTCTCATTTTGGCCAAGTTCAACAAACATTGCACCATGAACCAATAGCTCCTAATGAGGACAGCTGCAATACACTAAATAAATATACCATTATATGTAATTAACTTAGAAATCTTGCAATTTCCTGATCATGGACTTTAGCCCATTTATGGATGGGAATGGTTATGTATGTGTGCATTTGTGACAAACACGAAGGGATATCTTAGATATTAAAGATAAAATGAATAAACTTTACTGTGTGCAACAAAATGGGAACAAATACCATTTTGACACTGCCTTACATTCATTCTATCCAGACTGGAGCACCATTAAGAATGAGACTGTTGCATAGATGCAGCCATATATGCATTTCAGCATTTTTCAAAATGTAGAATGCACCTAGTTTCTAGTGATATGAATTAAAAATTACTAGATGTAGCCAAGAGGAAAGCAATAATGAAGAAATAGAACAGCGACTATATAATTTACTCTGTTAGATACTTTCAAATAAACTGATGTCGAAGCTATCACAGTGGTGATGAGAATCAACTAGCGAAGTATTTGATTTATGATTTGCAAAGAATACCCTCATTATCCTCTGTTCAAATGACTATTTGACGGTCAATGCCTTTAGAAGAAGGAAAATAATTTAAATTTAAAAATCCCAGCAAACCAAGAATTGTGTGGTATTCAGAATAAATAATTTCTATCCTATTGGGCTTTATCATGAATAGTGATATTAAATCCCTTGGTTTTATATGTCTTCAAAAACTTAGCTATGGCCATTTGAATACAGTAAAAATAATTATCTTGGAATGTATCACAATACAGCTTAAACATTCAAATAAATAAATTTATAAAATTCTAAACTTTGAAGCCACCTCTAAAGGTCATTTTTGATCATTGTTTTGTATCCCAGGTTGCTTAGATATTTGAACATAGTTTTTTTTTTTTTTAAGGTAAAATTAAGAAAATTTGACTTCCATATAAATGAAAACCATCACCCACAGCAAGTGCTCTTAGGATCCTAAAATGCTGAAGTTTAGTAAAATGATTCATAGAAGCTATTCATAAACTATTTATTTTGGTTAAGGTAATGATGAGGGCTTTTTTCTTTCCTTTTACCAGGAATCACTATTTTATGGTTGTAACTAATTATCTGAACAAAATTGTCAGCTAAAATTTCTATATTTATATTATAAAAGATGGTGAGGTATTTTTTAAATCAGTCACGACCTTAGTGAATCCAAATGGAACAGGAACTTTTTTAAATGAAGTGCTCAATATCCACACTGATTGTCTTTCTTCCTTCATTAATTTGTTGGTGGTATTCGTGTGGGGTGGATGGGAGATGTTATGACTATAGTTTAAATATTTTAAAATATTCATTTCGGGTGGTTGAGAAGGATGATAAATAGAGAAAACAATAATTTATGTTATATGTATACATACACGTGCACACACACACAGACACAAAGAAAAATAGAAAACATTTGTGTCAAATGTTAGCTTCAAGTTAGGCTCACTTACCACATCTTGAATGTTATGCCATCCAAATATAAATAATATATAGATCTAGATGAAAACTAGTATGTCCTTAGACCAATAAAAATGATTTTTTTTGGTTTAAGAGAAAATAAAAACTATTGCTATGCATTTATTAAACTAGTGTTCCTAAAGTTTTCTGAATAAGCGTCTTCTATCATTATGACCTTTCACATGCATTAGAAGGCAGAAGGCTCTTACATTGTGCAGTTGCTGTTGTATTGGGAGGCTGACACATTCTTATTGCCCCACCTGTTATAATTTCCACAAGGTTAATTCTATACTTCTGTTTACAGTAAACATATCTTTATAATATAGAAAGGAAAAGCACCTTCTTTCAGACACCTACAAGATTGTTCAGAAAAGACAAAATACCCTAGCAACTATATTAAGCTATGGAAGTCTTCTCTTAACAAACTCTGGACAATCAAGTTGATATTTTATTCTGCAGAATATGTTCACTTTTATTCATTACTTCTCTTAACTCTATCTAAATAAGCTCTTTATTATAATAGGTAATAAATATGCCTGTAGATTCTGTATGTTCAAGTTAGAAGGATGTGAGGTAGGGATTTCACACTTAATATGTAGTATTTTATCTTGCTTGCTCAATAAGTACGTGTGTTGATAGCAAGTGTACATTTTTACTCACATTTATGCATTTTGAATACAGCTGTCTTCCATTTAGAAAGAGCACTTCTTACACAATTTGATAAGTATCTGCTGTATCTGCAGTTCTGCCAAATACATTTTCTCAGTGCTTGGAGGCTATAGGCTGTGTATCAGCTACGTAGGAAGTCAGTACCTTTTCCCATTGGTTCAAAACACAATTAAGCTTACAAGAAGTTATGTTGCTCTGCATAACTATAATTAATGTGCAGATCTAAGATTAAACAGTATAAATAAAAAGCTAGAACCATGATCAGTATTCAGAAGCAGGATCAGCAAATTTCAAAGATGAGATAAGCCAATGCAGGTAATTTAACAACTGTTTAAAATACATTAGAATTTTCTAGTTCCATCTAAGTGCAATTTGCTGGACATTTGATATTTGAGTCTCTTGCAGAAAATCTAAATAAATCACTATAAAATCGGATCAACAGGAATTAACAATGATACGATCATAGCAAGCCCAAGTGTACGTTTGCTTTTAAAATACCTCTAAGTTCATTGAGCAGACCAGTTTTTATTTTCATATGTATGTTGATTTGGGAAAAGCTATAAAAAGAATGGCCTTTCTCATTTTTCTGAATTATATTAACATTAAAATACACACATAAGTCCGAGTGGGTGCAGTAGCTCATGACTATAATCCTAACACTTTGGGAGGCTGAGATGGGAAGACATCTTGAGCCCAGGAGTTCGAGATCAGCCTGGGCAGCATGGAAAAACCCCATCTCTAAAAAAAGCACAAAAATTAGCTGGGTGTGGTGGAATGTGCTGTAATCCCAGTTACTTGGGAGGCTGAAGTGGGAGGATCTCTTGAGACTGGGAGGTGGAGGCTGCAGTGAACCACGACTGCATCACTGCACTCAGTCTAGGGGACAGAGCAAGACCCTGTCTCAAGATAAATAAATACATAAATAAAATAAAATACAAACATAATAAAAAGATATAAATTATGTGTATTTGTGAAAAAAATCCTTTTATTTTATAATATGACACATGATTATAAAAGATCAAGAAAATCTTTTGAAAGTAAGTGAATTCTTTCCACAAGAAATTTCACACAATCCTGTCTTTCCAACAGGAAAATAGTCTGTAGTTCTGGAGAATCATTATAACTTAGCTTTGACCATTTTACAAAAAGAAGCATAGAGTCGTGGTGCTGAGCTAGGAGATATGAGCTCTCTCTTCTCTGTGCATGCCATACCCTAGCTGTACCTTAGAATAGTGACTGATACTGCTGGTTTTCTGACCTACTGTAGGATTCGAGAACGGAAAGAATCCTGAGAGTTACACAATGTGTGGCTACAAGCGTACATGGGAGGAGATTACATAAATACATTTAGGGTCTATATCTTCAACTCACTCTTCTGAGAGTGAGGAAATTGCTCTTAAAGCCACCTATAATGTCTTTCTTGTACAACACGTATTAACACAAAGTTTAATTTATACACTCATGCATTAAGTAAAATGCATCAGACAATAAATTTTGAAATTTTAAAATCACCACTGAAGAGCGAAGAGAGCTGATATTTCTCAGGGCCTGTGGAATGTCATAGGAAGAGATTTTTTGCTGACACGATTTCAGACATTCAAGCAGTTGCACATTTCACAGAGAAGGAAACTGAGGCTCAGAGAAGTTAGGTGACTTTGGCCGTCACATTACCTATTCTTTTCTATATGCCACACTGCCATCAGTCAAAAAACACTAGGAAGCCAAGTAAAAGCAGAAAACCAAGATTGTGTCCATCAGAATGAATATTCCCACAGAAAGCTCCATATAATGTGATGATCATCATAGACAAACTTCAGGAACTGTGTTGATATGCAAATTTCCAGCAAAATAGCAATGGCTGTAACTAGTTAAGTATGTTTTTACTGGTAAGGGGAGTATTTTTAGTGTTTTATGAACAAGGCTCATTTTATTGCTTACTTTTTACTTTACAATAAGACAAAAATCAATGAATGCTTCTTTGGTTTTATAAACTCTCATAAACGCAAGAGTATATGTGTACACAGATATTTATACCTTCAGTTTGCATGTATTGTGTTGTGAAATCTCTTCATAATAGTAAAACCTAAGTTATTTTCTCATTGTACCAATCTCAGAGGACTTCTGATTTCACAGTTATCAGTCCATACATTTTCAGCTTTTAGAAACCTGCGGTGGGGATGGTAAATTTTCCTGGTGGGGATGCAGATTGAGAACCAGGGCCCAGAGAGATTGAGTGATTTGCTCAAGGCCACAGAGGGTCTCAGGTATTTACAGGAGGCTGCAGCCATGCCCTTCCCATAGGTAATCTTAGTTTTTGAATAAAAGAAAGGAAAGCACTGAATTAAAAACAAACAAACAAAACAAACAAAAAAAAAAACAAGTAACTGGATATAAATCCTGGGACCTCAGTTGTTTTCCACATGGGTATTGATTACAATTTGAAAGAAAAACTTCCTTATATCGTATGCTTATGTAGCTTGTGGTGCTTACCCCATTAGCACCAGGAAAATGAAACACAGACCCATAAGTCTGCTTTTGTTAATGCTAGATCTTCGGTGAACTCCAAAATACCATAAATAATTGAGATAACTATGGGTGCCCTGGGGTGTTTTTTCTTTTAATCTTCTTTTTCATCAAGTGTGTGTGTGTGTGTGTGTGTGTGTGTGTGTTTTAATCAGAAATGAAGAGTACCAGCATCCACATACATATTCCCCAGCGACCAACCATTGAGGGGAGAGGCTCTGGACACTTTGCCCACACGCCAGCCTCTACTGGAACAAAGCCAGGTCTCTGCAAGGAGGCCGGCTCCTCTAGCCCAGCGGAGAAGGTATTAGGATAGGAAGCAGTGGCCTTCCTCAGCCAACTTCAGGCTTAATGAAAAAGTTGAATTCATGTATTTCAGTAGAGATGTGCACAAAGGTTGATTTTTTTTAAATCAACTTTTCATTTTACAACAGTTTTAGATTTACAGTAAGACAGTGAAGCTAGTACAGAGAGTTCCCATATGCACCAAACCCAGCCTCCTCCATTGGTAACATCTCATGTTAGCACCAGATATTTGTCACGGTCCATGAGCCAATGCTGACCTGTCGTTATCACATTATCACAAACTCGGGAGTTTGTTCAGTTGCCTTTAGTGTTCCCCTAATGTCTGCTTTCTAGTCCAGGATCCCATTCAGGACACCACGTTACATGTCACTGCCAAGTCTCCTTAGACCCTTCCTGGCTATGACAGCTCTCAAATTTCCATTGTTTTGGATGAGTTTGACGTATCTGAGGAGCATTAGTCAGGTATTTTAGAGAATGTCCCTCAGTTTTGGTTTGTATGATTTTTTTCTCTTGGTCAGACAAGGGTGATGGATTTTTGAGAAGGCCACAGAGATAAAGTGCCATTTTTATCACATCCCAGGAGGGGTACCTATGGTCCACATGACTTACCACGGATGATATTGTCCTTGTCACCCGACTAAGATGGTGCCTGTCAGGTTTCTGTACTGGAGAATTCCCCTTTTCCATACTTCCTTCCGTATTTTGGAAGGAACTCACTATGTATGGCCCATAACAGTGGGAAGTTATACTCCACCTTCCTGAGGGAGGAGTAGAGATTGATATTTTTATTTATAATATTTAATACATAACTTTTCAAAATAAAAGGCAAAATAAAATGTTAAAATTAGGGTGTATTTAGTTGTTGATGCACGTAACACAATCTTTACAATGCCCACTCGTGATATTGTGTTGTATGAACACAGAAGTCGGGTGCACCGCTTACCTCGAGTCCAAAGGTGGTACCAATCCATGGTGATATTGGCGCAGGGACTTGAGGAACCACAGGGGCTCAGGGTCAGAAGGCCTGCAGAGGTCTTCAGTTCACCTCTCTGTGGTCCAAACTGAGACCTTATGGGCTTCTGATGAGAAATTCCTACACATGAGTGTGGCAGATACCGCAGTTTCTTTACACACATTCTACCTTCTTCTGATTACCAGAGCTGCAAGTGCGTTTTAAATGGTAATGTGTGTACAAAAAGCATTCACATTTTCCAGATTTTTCTCTTTTGTAGACAGCAACTGCCATGTGACACAGCCCAGCCAGAGGCGATAGATCAGCCAAACCCCACCGTTTTCTGAAAGGCTTTGGCTTTCTTGATAAAGATGCCTTTCTCCTTTTTCTCTATTGTCCCTCGAATGGAGAAGTGAGATCAGGAGGGGAAGCAGTCACTGTATGACCTTGTCACAGTGATAGGGATGACAAATGCCAACTTGTACCAGGTCCTGAATGGGAAGTCACAGGAGCGCCTTCTCCAGGATGGCACTGCTGCCCTAGCCCTGACGTGTCTATCCCAGACTTCCTGATAGGTGAGATGGAAGATAGTTACCCAGGAGTCACTGTGGTCAGGATTTCCATAACATGCAACCACATGAAACCCCGCTCCCTGGACCTTTCCTCCATGTCCATTTCCAACAACGTGAGGACAGCCCACCTTTCAAAGGAGCAAATCTTGTTAAGCATGTTGCTATTTTTACTAATTTCTCTCATGTAATATCTTCCACATAGTTTGGAGTGACTAAATTTCCAAAAATATCCCAATGATTGTTTTTGTTTTCTCCAGGATGTTGCCAAATCCTGTTATTTTACCTTCAATGAATCATGTCTTCTCATATTCAAACAGTTTCTCACTGTATTATAACATTCTCCCTTTTAGATTCTTTACTTTTATGGAACACAGAGGGTAGCACTCAACTCAGACTAGAGCAGCAAGGCCAGCTCTGGGTGTCAGCTATGAAAGCCTTATGTCTACTCTGCTATTGCACTTAAAATGACTCCCAATTTATCCATACATGATTAAGTTCATAACCCTCAGCTTCAGTGCATTGATTGAAACCAACCTATCTGAAAACTTGATGACTATCTATTTTTCCTTCGCTTCTATCCCATAATTGCTACCCAAGTAAATGCACCTTGAAAATATGATGAAAGGACCATAGCGTGATGAAATCTGCCACTAAATATCCTGCATAATTCTGGAATGAGATGAACATCCGGGCTACACACAGCACAAGCCGAACTGCTACGTGTGCTTGGATGGCAATGTGCTTTCTCAATACCATAGTTTAGCGTGAGCAGTATATTCCTAGTGTCCCCATATTCTTAGCCTTGGGCCAGGGATTATTTGATGGAAAAAAAGTTATGATCTCCCCTGCCTTGTTGGATTGTACCCATCAGTAAGCCTCTTTACAAACTCCTTATAGAGGAATACACAGATTGAAGGTCTCTATTAGAAAATCTCAGCACAGGTTCATGAAAGCATTGTGATTAATCTATGGTGGACCACACTGATTCTCATAAAAAATGTCAAGTGGGTCTGTTACTGGAAAGAGGTCCAGACCAAGACCCCAAGAGAGGGTCCTTGGATCTCGGGCAAAAAAGAATTCAGGGCAAGTCCAAAGAGAAAAGTGAAAGCAAATTTATTAAGAAAGTAAAGGAATAAAAGAATGGCTACACCACAGACAGAGCACCCCAAGGGTTACTGGTTGCCCATTTTTATGGTTCTTGATGATATGCTAAACAAGGGGTGGACTATTCATGCCTCCCCTTTTTAGACAACTTTCTGACATTGCCATGGCATTTGTAAACTGCCATGGCGCTGGTATGAGTGTAGCAGTGAGGACAACCAGAGGATACTCTCATCGCCATCTTGGTTTTGGGTGGGTTTTAGGCGGCTTCTTCAACTTGCTTTATCAGCAAGGTCTTTAAGACCTGTATCTTGTGCCAACTTCCTATTTCATCCTGTGACTTAGAATGCCTTAACATCTGGGAATGCAGCCCAGCAGGTTTCAGCCTCATTTTACCCAGCTCCTATTCAAAATGGAGTTGCTCTGGTTCAAAAGCTTCTGAGAGGTCCCCTCAAAAACTCTGGTGTGACTTGTTTGGAAAGGTTGGAATGCCATGTGGAATCACCCACTATGGGTTTAGCTAACAGTAATTTTCCTTCATCAATGGGACCACTTTTCTAAATGCTAATAGTATGTGAGTTATTCACAAAGGCAATTTGCTGAGTCTTGGCAAATTGCAGTTTCATTAAAAGTTTGTTTTCCCTAAGGCTTAACATTAGTCTTCACGGTTTTTGTTTTTATTTTTATTTTTTAAATCTTTTCTAAACCCCAGTGGAAAATAACCTTTTACTGTGAAAAGTAATCCAACCGGGTATCTTCAAAATCTTAATAGGCAAAGTGAATTGACCTTGGCTCATCTTCATGGAGTATAGGACAAATGGATCCATTTTCTTGCTAAATAACTACCATTCGAATGTTGATTCTGCCTGCCTAAGATTAGCACCTTGTAAAATCTGTGTTTGAGAATGTAAATGTAAGGCAGCTAAGCACACAGACCCACATTCCCAAGGAGAAGCAATATCCTCTATCAGCTCCCAACCAGTTCTGAGGAATGATGAAGACATGCTGATTTTTTTGTCCAGAAATTGAGAAACAGTAAGAAACATGCAGAAATAAAAGAATTTTGAAATTTATATTTTATCATACCTATCTGCAAGTGGGAGACAGTGTCCATAATCCACACTAAGCGTCAATCACTGGAGCAGACTTTTAGGGGATCTTAACAGCTGGGCTTGCCTAGGACACGGGGAGTGGGCTATGGATGTGTTGTCATTCAGGGCATCTCCTTTGTCCTCAAAGATCTTCACATCAATACAAAATTACTTAAACATTTCATATTGCTTACTTCAAGTGTTAGTGGAGTGTGCCAATCTGAAGTAAGACCTATTGGGGATGAAAGATGCATAAGACAGTGTCCCCATCTGATAGAAGTTTATAGTCCAGCAAGAGGGAGAAACAGGTGAGCAGTCAGCAAAACATAAGTCACGGAATGAGAAGGACCACAAGAAAGCCACTAGCATCTTCCCAGAGGAGAAAGCACTCACAGCTGTAATGACATGTCAGTCCTAAAATCTCAAGATAGCCACACTTAATAAGCATTACTGTTACTGGGGGGTCCTTGCTCCCAGAGCTCCCAAGATGGTGGTGGGCCGCTTCCAAGATGGTGGTGGGCTGCTTCCAAGATGGTGGCAAGGCTTGTGTTCTCTGACCTGGGGTTCTTGGCCTCACAGATTCCAAGGAATGGAATCTTGGGCCATGAGGTGAGTGTTATAGCTCTTTTAGAAGCCGTAGGTCACAAAAGAGAACTGTGGAACCCAGTGACTAGTGTTCAGCTCGATTAGGACGAACCTGGGCACTTAGCTGTGTAGGAACAATGGCAAGCCTTTAGCCCGATCAGGAGTGGCAATGGTTGCCTCACTGGATCAGCACAGTGGACACCCTGTTGGATCTGGAGGGACAGAAGACAGCAGCAGGTCTGCGACGGCGGCAAACAGCAATGGTGGACGGCAAGCGAAAGCTCAGCTCGAGCCGTAACAAACACAGACCAGAAGAGTGTGCATTTGCAAGATTTAATAGAGTGAAAACAGAACTCCCATAAAATGAGACGGGACCCAAAAGGGGTTGCCATTGCTGGCTCCAATGCCTGGGTTTATATCTCCATCATTGTCCCTCCCACTGTGCTCTTAGGCGATAGATGATTGGCTATTTCTTTACCTCCTGTTTTTGCCTAATTAGCATTTTAGTGAGCTCTCTTTACTAACTGATTGGTTGGGTGTGAGCTAAGTTGCAAGCCCTGTGTTTAAAGGTGGATACAGTCACCTTCCCAGCAGGCTTAGGGATTCTTAGTCAGCCTAGGAAATCCAGCTAGTCCTGTGTTTCATTACCACGTTTCAGGGACTGTGATTCTCCCTGTATTTTTTTTATGCAATACTTTCATCAATCCTAGAGATAAGTTTATTATGCTTATTTGAGAAATCTAAGATAAAAGAGATCAAGTAACTTTTTCAAACTGTTCAACTCCACGGAAGGCCAGTTAGGGTGGAAATGGTAGAAGAGATGAAGGTGGTGGTGGTGTGAAGTGGGTGTATCTATTGGTGCATAATAAATTACCCCCACACTTAGTAGTCTAAAATTATTTCCCACAATTTCTGTAGGTCAGGAATTTGGGATCTGGGTGGTTCTCCGGCCCAGGGTCTTTCATGAGGTCCAGTCGAGATTTTAGCCGGGGATGTGCACCAGAAATTTTGACTAAGGGTGAGGATCAGCTTCCAAGCCTGCTCACTACACAGCAGCCAGGGTGGTGCTACCAGGAGCTGTCAGATCCATCACAGGGCTGCTTGAATGTCCTCCTGACATGGCAGCTGGCTTCTGCAGAGTGAGTGATTGGAAATGTTCCTTTTATGGCATAGCCTGGAATGTTCCTTTTATGGCAGAGTCTGGAAAGTCACATAGCATCATTTATACCACATTCTACTCAGTAGAAGTGATTTTCCAAGTCCAGAGGCGAATTAAGCTGCACCTTTTGAAAAGAGAAATGCTGAAAAGTTTGCAGATTTAAAATACAACAGGGACCAAACATAAGCAAGGCAAAGAAGTCATCTTAAGGCAACTGTGTATAGCAGAAGTTGGCTTGAATAGTGGAAGTCACGGCTGAAATTTTAAGTAACAGGCAGATGGAGTAAACCTTGAATTCCAGGTGTAATATGATTTTACAAGAAAGTTAATACATTTCCACTGAAGATTTTTAAGCAGATAAATAATATAATTAAGATAATTATATAATAAAAGTAATCAGATGATTTCACTTGGAATGGATTAGATGACTGGACATTCTTATAATAATTATAAAAATAATAGGCTGGGTGTTGTGGCTCACTCCTGTAATTGCAGTACTTTGGGAGGCAGAGGCAGGCGGATCACCTGAGGTCAGGAGTTCAAGACCAGCCTGGCCAACATGGCGAAACCCCATCTCTAGTAAAAATACAAAAATTAGCCGGGCGCGGCAGTGCACATCTGTAGTCCCAGCTACTTGGGAGGCTGAGGCAGGAGAATCGCTTGAAACCTGGAGGCACAGGTTGCAGTGAGCAGAGATCGCACCACTGTACTCCAGCCTGGGTGACAGAGTGAGACTCCTTTTCAAAAATAATAATAATAATAATCATCATCATCATCATCATCATCATCATGCAGAGTATACCTGAGTTTGGGAAAGAGA
The DNA here is from genome assembly GCF_000001405.40 of Homo sapiens. Classification (NCBI taxonomy): domain Eukaryota; kingdom Metazoa; phylum Chordata; class Mammalia; order Primates; family Hominidae; genus Homo; species Homo sapiens. The sequence goes on from NC_000018.10 coordinate 75,940,274, forward strand.
AAGAAATTATATTTTTAAAATTCTCTAATGGTGCTTTAGAATAGTCCTCTAGAACTGGCATTGGCAAATGTTTTCTGCAGAGCATCAGATAATATGTATATTTAGCTTTGTGGGCCAACTATTCAATTTTGCCGTATTTAAAATACAAAACAAGCAATTGAAAATAAGTGGGCTATATTTGGCCTATTGACCATGGTTTGCTAATTTCTGCCTCCAAACCTTCCCAGTTATACATTAGAAATCATTAGTTTTATCACATAAACTAGATGGTTTTCAAATTCTCAGAGACAACAACATAGCAATGCAACTAAAGGGCAAAATGAGAAGAGAAGACAGAGACTTCGTATGAAAACCGGTGATCAAGTCCTGCTGTATGGGGTGCCCTGGCCTAGCCTTGAGAGTTGCTAGCTCTAGGTATCTAAGTTTATATGGTGGAAGCGCTGATAGCAGTCATTCATAAACAGTTTAAATTAGAGATTCCCTTACTTTAAGGTAATAAGAAGTCAGCAACACAATGTGATTTGCAAAAGACATGTGGGAGCCAGAAAGAAACTTAACAAAGTGTGGTGGTGAACACACAGGAAAGACAACAACCCAAGTGGAACCTTTCTTCTCCTAACCCAGGTCTATGACTTCAGCATCATAACTTATGATGACTATCTTGAGAATAAGCTATGGACAATTTTAAACATCACTCTGCTTACAGATGTTCTACTCAGTTTGCTAAATTTGCATAACAATTATCCCATTTGTCAGCTCTTCTACAACTTCCCATATCACCAAACTAAGAAACACCTTATTTATTTACAGTGCTTCCTTGAAAGAGGCACCTAGACCTCTTTTCTTGAAACTAATGACTATAATTAATGATGGTCTAATCTTTCAACTGTCATATCTTTTGTCTTTTTTGGAGGGATATTTATGATAATTGGTTCTTGTCACTTGACATAATATATGATATGTGAACATAAACCTTGTTTCTTTTTGGGAAAAACTAAATTTTGTGAGTTTAAACTACCTCTTCACAAGTTATTAGCTGTTTTTTCTTGGAACATTAGTTATTATCTCTTGGACTAAGTTGTCTATAAAATGGGAATAATAATACGTAACACAAATAGATTTTTAAGTAAATACAAGTTAAAGAAAGAAAATAAAAATCACTCAAAATCTTATGACCAAAGATTTCACATTTATCTAACATTATATTTCATTTTTTCTTCACGAAAACGTATTTTCTCACAAAATGTATGTTATGTGATAATGTTTCCCTCACACTTAACAATACACTGTGAATATTTACTCTTTTCTTATATAATCACAAATATGATTTTTTCAATAATATTATCCATACAGGTAGAATAGTTATGTCAAATCATAACTAAAATTCAATTTTTAAAATATTTTTCCAAACTGTGTTCTAGTAAAAATTGTGTCAATTTACAATCTCACCAGAAGGGTTTGGGGATGCTGAATTTTCTTACACTTAGTCCAGTTACTGCTGCTGTAACTGAATATTTTAGACTGAGTAATTTATAAAGGAAATAAACTTATTTGGCTCATGGTTCTGGAGGTTGGGAAGTCCAAGACCAAGTGGCTGCATGTGGTGAGAGCCTTCTTGCTGTGTCATCCCATGGCAGAAGGTGACAGGGCAAGACAGCATGCACTTGTGAGAGCAGTAGAGCTCACAGCCTCAAATCCACTTAAAATCAGCAGTAATCCATCTATGAAGGTGGAGCCTTCATAATCTAAACACCTCCCACTAGGTCCCACCTTCTGAAACTATCACATTCGAGATTAAGTTCCAACACATGATTTTTGGGAGACACATTCAAATCATAGCAATTGCCAACACTATATATTATCAATTTTTAAATGTCTTATGTATCATTACCAAAAGGGCCATTTATATTTATATTTATTTCTTGGCCATTTATGTTTATTGGCCATTTATTGGCCATATATATTTATTCTTTGATAAATTGAAAATTTTGGTTGTTTACCACCCAAAACACCTCTCTACCACTCAGTCACCAATGGCTTTGTTTCTGCCATCATTGATAATTTTGGGTCTGTCTCCTACACCCCTACTTTTGTCACTATTCTGAGTGATCTCAATATCCATGTAGATAGATGGTCTTCCTAATATCGGGTTTTCTCAGTTTTTTAAACTTCCTCATCCCCAATTACCCTTGCTTCCCCTTTTCTCTGCTGCAAACCCCCATGGTCATACCCTGGAGTCATCGTCATTGATAATTGAGCCATTTCTGAACTCTCCACTTCAAGACTTCTACCCAGTGGCCATCACTTCTATTCTCTCACCTCACATTCTCTAGAGCTATACTCCACCAAGACAGGAATTCCATAAGTGTTTCATGGATGTGAGTGCCAGGGGACTGCCAAGAAAACATGATTTTAAATCCTGAAGTCCCTAAACTAAACTAATATAATTTCTTAATGTTAAAATAAATGTGAACATTTATCCATATTAAGAATTGAACATGTTCATTATGGAACAATTTTCTCATTACACCCAACGTTGCTTGGGCAAAAATGTCCACTTTCCAAATTTAAGTTGGGCATTTTCATTTTTATATGGCTCTCAAAAAATAGAAAATGTGTGAGTCTCATTGGTCTTAATTGAAAATTGGATATTTTTTCTTTTGTACATAAATCTCCAAAACATGTTCCTGGGAGTCTGATTCCTTTGTACATTTGACTGGTCTTGGTGAAGTAGAAAGTTTTATCTGATTCACTATTCCTACTCTGTGGCTAATGGATAAGGGTGGGTGTCATTAATGTCCAAAAACTACTTAGTCTGTGGGATATAACTTGCTCAGAGCACTGTGGGGCTTCACTTCTCTTCCATCCTTCAGAGATTCTTTTTCAGATAAAATCAAATTAGTACATCTAACATTTTGATACAGTCTTACTCATTTTCATCCTTGTATTTTTTTTAAAAAATCTCATTAATCTATTAACCAACTGCCATTTTAAGTGTCTCATAAACCTATTAGCCAACTACCGTTTTAGAGTTATGGAGTGAGTCTCAAATTGGTAACTGCAAAATTAGTAGGTCATTATTTTAGGCATCATGAAAAATTACAAGTATTTGAAGTGTCTTTCTCTATATTCAAAATACCTAAAATAGAATTAGGAGCTAAGACAAACATATAATGTTATATAAAAGTTGAAATTGTCACGGAAATATTACAAACATATACATATATATGAATCTGCAGATACATATTATAAATGTTTACATATATTTGTGTGTAGGTGCATATATATGACATCTAGACATATATTTACATATTTAGTGTGTGCGTGTGTGTATGTGTGTAAGTTACTAATGTTATAGGGTTGAGGTAAATGGCAAACCAATTGGAAAACTAGACAATAGAATTTTGGCTCATATTCTGCATGATTAAACTAAAGTATATTTCTGAATACATGTGGAGTTTCCCATGGAAAGATATTAAAAGGAAATGTAATGTAATTAAAATATTCATTCAGAGGGTACAAATTTTTGTGTTCCTTAACTGTTGAAGGCTTTTATATTTAATCTATATTTTTTCACTCTGTTCTGGAAAATTTTTACATCATTTTATTAAGAAAAACATAAGAAGCCAAATGCGGACTTATTCTGTGTTCCTAGAAACGATAATTTTTCTTCTTGAAACATCATGCAAGTTTCAGTTGGATTTCAAGACTCTTCTTTCTATATTTAAGGCAATGTAAGTCAAAGCAGAACGAAGTGAAACATTTGCATACAACTCCACACCTTCAGTCTCCCTGGGTGGTCCAGGTGTAATAGACCCAGACCCTGCAATCTGCCTCTATGTGGGGCTTATTCCAAATGGAACATGGACTTGCAAATGCTTGTCTTCCGTAGTGGCTTTCTCTGGTGATGAGCAGTGAGTGCACCTTCCAACGTGGCAGGAATAACTGCAAGTCTGTGTCAGTGCAGAAGACAAGCAAATGAGCCCCAAGATGCCTTGTGTTCTCTTATTCTTCCTGTCAACTTCCATTTCTCTTTAAGGGACTTGCACTTTATTCTGAAACAATCGGTCACAATGATTCTGACCTTTGGTTTTATACTAGACTGTTTCCATTATGAGATGTGCATTTTTTTCCAAAGAAATGATCACTATCTCAGCAACTAATGTATTTATGAGACACAGATCAGAAAAGATAGTTAAAAACACATACGCACAGAGTGTCTGGGTGGGCTGGGGAAGGAAACACCTACCCGAGTTCCTCCTCTCTGGCCTGCTGCCTCTAATGGGCAGAGGGTTGTTAGTGGATGTCCTCATTCCTCTTGGGAAAAAAAAAACTGGGAATTAGATTAAAATCACCAATTCACATGTTTCAAATTTCCAAAATGCTTATCTCTTAAATTTGAGGATTGCATATACTTAATTCTTCAGGCACATTTTCCTCTGAAATGTAAATTAAGACTAGAAGATAACATTGTTTATATTAGACTGTAAAAACATCAATGTTGGAACAATAATAAAAATGCAGGCTGGGCATGGTGGCTCATGCCTGTAATCCTAGCACTTTGGGAGGCCAAGGTGGGCAGACTGCTTGAGTTTAGGAGTTCAAGACTAGCCTGGGCAACATAGTGAAGCCCTATCTCTACAAAAGATATAGCAATTAGCAGGGCGTGGTGGCATGCACCTGTAGTCCCAGCTACTCGGGAGGCTGAGGTGGAAGGATTACCCAAGGCCTAGGAGGTAGGAGGTCAGGGGTACAGTGAGCCATGAGCCATGATCACACCACTGCACTTCAGCCTGGGCAACAGAGTGAGACCCCATCTCAAAAAAAATGCATTTTTACTCTTAAATTGTAAAAAACAAACAACAAAAAATACTACCTCATTTTACTCATTTAGTAAATTTCCATGAGACCTACTAAAACAGAAAATGCTTATGTTAAATGGCACAATTGTTCCTGATACCTTGTAGAGATGGAGATAAAAGGTCAAAGCTATAGCTATCTACAGAATCTGCCATGATTCAAGGTAAGTTTTCAAATGGGTTGGATAAAGGCTTGTAGAGAAGCCAAAAAATATCCTGCAATTCTAATGCTAAGCGACTTTGTATTGGAAAAATGCCCAAAGGCCTTGTCTAACATGACCACTTACTAATGACTGATGGGAGATCAACAGGGAAAGGGTGGGGACACAGCTTTGTCATGGCAATGTTCAGTGTGTGATCAGCCTTAAGCATCAGGCCAGATGTGGCTGCACAGCCCAGGGCTCCATTCCCTTCCCTGCATGACAGACCAGCAATGCCCACCAGAACTAGAAGCCCATCGTGAAGCAGGGCAGGAACCCCCACAGCAGCTCCACTGTGACTCGCCGGAAGGCAGCTTCAAAAGCCTTGAAGGGACTGAGCAGAGTGGTGAGATTTCTTGAGGATCTTATTTCAGCACTCTGCTCTAAGATCATTGCAAAATAAATGCAAACATTCTCAAGCACCCAGGGAAATCCAAATGTTCCTGAGCAGCACTCTGCACCAGGCACTGTGAAACCCAGGGAATCCCAAAGGGACCAGGCATACACCCCAGCAGGGGAGGCTCATGTCCCCATGCACTGCAGATGCACTTGGGGTCAGGGGATCCGTGTAAATTCTACATCCTTAAGCAGACACATCCAAAGGGCTCTCGCTACCCCTGGTAAATTTGACGTCCCTCTAGTGGATCGAGTCCCTCCCTAGACACGGCAGTCTGCACAGCTTCTGGTCCACGCCCCATGGACACGGAGTCCTAGAGGAAAGACAGCAATCTAATTAAGTCTCTCCGTCAACAGTAAATAAAAGGAGTAACAAAGAAATACGTTGGAGTCTTGTTGGTTTATTTGCTTATATCAGAAACAATAACACAGAAAGAACAAATAGAACCCCAGAGGGAAAATGAGTCTGGTTTTCTCTACCCAAAAGTCATAAGGGAACATTAAAAAAAAAAAAAAAAAAAAGAAGAGAGGAAAGAAATACACAGGCGTTTTTCTGAGATTTGCTGTAGGAAGCAGAACTATTGCAATTGGACAGTGTGCCACCTGGAGGCCAGGAGGCCCAGGCCCTGCCTCTGATGACCGCAGCCACCTCAGGACTAGGCCAGCATCCCCCCTGATGTCCCCAGGGGTCTCTGTGTTCAGACTGAAGATTAGTATCAGAAAGAGGCCATTGTTAATTGATTAGCTAATGTTCATAAAGTGCTTTGAAGACAAAGAGGGCTATATACATGCTTATTAATATTAGTTATTGTTATTAATAAGTTAATATGTTTTTAAATGTTTGGTTTAGAGCACTGCAGTGCTTTCTCCCTAGCGACTATGCAGGGGAAGTGGAATGACAAGCACTCGGGCTCTTGCTTCCTGGTCTTCTTTCTCTTCCACTGTCTGTGGACAGAAACTTCTGGTGTGCAGCTCAGCTTCCTCTCAGCAGGAGTAGCCCCTCCACTGGGTGCTCGCACCCTATTTATGGGGACTCTTTGCCAAGGGTGAGGACCTGGGCTGGGTGAGACTGCTGACAACTTGGTTTGTGTATTTATTTTTGATTTATTGTTTTGTCAAAAAGTTTTTTCTAATTAAATCTACCTTGTTCTTAACAATTGCTTTTCTCCAAGACCTTCTCATTCCATTTTCTAGAAATCACTTTAAACACTTTGCTCTTTGAACAAACTGACGACCCATCCTTGCACCATGCTTTGAGTAGCTTTTATTTGGTACCCTGTGTGTGCACCACAAATCCAGGTAGTTTAATGTTCTCATTCCCTGCTATTTGAATCCAGGTATAATCTGACACCTGCCAACAAGCAATTGTTGCATCTCCAAATGACACCTATTTGCTAAGCCCAGCTCATTGTCTTCCCGCATGGTACTTTTGAGGTCTTTCTGGCTGGAAATTGGCTCATCCTTCTATGGCCTCTTGCAGCACGTTTGTAACTATTTTATATCACTTGTAACATTCCACTTTTTAAAATAGTTCTCCATTTTTACAGTTTAACTCCTTAAGCAAGGACTATGTCTTAATCATTGACTCATCACAAAATTCCTTATGCATAGTAGATCCTCAATAAATATTCGACAATTAATTTCAAAAGTTAAGGTTGCGTTTATCCTGAAGAACTACTAGAAATATTTTTTAATTATAAACATTGCTATTCAGAAGACTGACAGCAACTCTGAGTGTGAATAACATTCCTTGATCAAAATTTCCCTTTCCTTTAATGAATATGTGGTATCAATATAAGAAATGTTGTGTTACTAGAAGAATTAAAGGAGACTTTGGTAAAATGGTAGATACAAATGGCATAGAGTGGTTAACTCCAAACACATAAAAATACTAGGTAAAATAGAAAGCATCATTTAAAACTCTGCTGCATTTGAAAGATAGGAAAATCCACAGGTTTCAGAAACTAAGAGAAGAGCCAAAGGCTCTGTGGAAAGCAGAGAAGACTCCACACAACACCTGGCCTCTGGTTACATAGAAGATGCTGCCTCAGCCTCAGCTGGGCAGGACTGGGGCTGCATTCTTCAGTGCAGAGCACAGGACCTCAGAGGGCGTCGGGTGGGTGAGATGGGTATGAGTAAGATGGGTTCACCTGTTGGCACTGGGAAGCAGCAAGGAAGCTTGCCAGCTAGCCAGATTCTAGAATGGACAGGAAAAGCCGTCTGGGAGAAATCAAAGCTCTCAGATGTGGTGTTTGGCTTTGAGAATCCATAGAGGGAAATCAGAACCAAGAAATTAATATAAATATTGGGTCCGGACGACTGAAACACTTAGGGGTCCGGCATGAGCAAAAAGCCAAACTAAACCAAAACAAAAACGTGGAAGAATACAGGATGATCACAAAACAAACAACTCCTTTGGACATAAACTAATGACAAACCACTTGAGGAAATGAAGCAGCATGAGGGAGAGCCAGCAGATTTAATTCACAGGAACATTAGGACCCCTCAAGAAACAGAAATAATACAGCCTTATGAATGAATATAAGAAAATGTTTAGGTTTAAGATGGTTGCAGAAAATTTTACAAAAATGGACAACATAATAAAAAATACAATGATATTTTAAAAATCGGCAGGAGCTTTATTCCCACCCCCGCCCTCCACAACCTGACCTTTGAGTGTGGGCTGAAGTTAGTGATTTGCTGCCCAAGAATAGTATGACAAAGGAGAAAGTCAACTTTACAGTAGAGAAAATCTTGACAAGCACTGCCTTGGCTAAGGGATCAAGGTTAACATCGTTAATAACAACTGATGTTGATAGCATGTTCTCTTGATATTATGGGGTGGAAATGCCATTACACCTTCCATAATCCCAGTCTTATCATGAGAAAAACATAAAACAAATTACAATTGAGGGACAGGCTACAAAATACCTCACCAGTACTCAAAACTATCAAGGTTGCAAAAACAAAGAAAGTACAAGAAACTGTCACAGCTAAGAGGAGCCTAAAGAGACACAGTGATTAAATGTAACATGGTATTCTGGATGGAATCCTGAACAGGAAAAAAAAAAAAAAAAGAAATTGGGGGAAAAAAAAACTAGTGGAAGCGTGGTTTTTTTTAAATATGAATGTACCAACATTGGTTTCTAGTTTCAATAATGTGTCATAGTTAATTTAAGATGTTAACAATCAAGGGAAGAGAAACTCTGTATTATCTTGGCAACTTTTCTGTATCTACTCTTAAAAATTGATTAGCAAAAAATAGAGGTGCGAAATCAGCAAGATGATGGAATAGAAGACCCCAATGCTTGTTCCCTCACAAAAACAATAAATAAACAACCACATATCAATGAAAATAGATCTGGGGAATTTCTGGACTTTAATGAGGAGCAACAGAAACCCTGTGGAGCACAGGAAATGAGGATGGACACACAGAAAAGTTGGGAAACATTTTACCTCTGTCACCCCATCACCCATTCCAGAGCAGCTCAAAACCAAGAGGGATCCCCCACAGAGGGATTTCTCCCTGCAGGGAATAGGAGAGGAAAGGGACCTCAGGAATTCTCCTCTCTGCCATGGACAACTGGAGCTCTAGAAAACGAGGACACCCCAGTGTCTTCATCATGCTGATCTCAGCAGACAGAGTTGCCTGGAATCCATGATGCAGTGCTCTCCCTAGATAAGGAGTCACCACTGTGTCCCCTTCTCAGGGGCAGGAGCTACTGCGGCACTGTGCCCTGCCCTCAGGTTCCCATGTCTCTGCTGAGCATTGCCCTCAAGGATCAGAGCATCATAGCACTTTACCCTAGACAGATATACAGCTCAATAACACAGGAAAGGATTAAATGAAACAAATTAAAAAGTTCAACAAAGAGAAAGAAATCTTCAAACAAATCCAAACAGAAATTCTGTAGCTGAAGAATGCAATGAACAAAATAAAACAGCATACTTGATTAGGAAAAAGAAAGAATCTGCAAACTTGAAGACTGATCTTTTGAAATTATTAAGACAGAGGATAATAAAAAGGATCAAAAATAGTGAAGAAAGCCTACCAGACTTACAGGTCACCATTAAGTGAATAAATATACATATGGGGGTTCCAGAAATAAAAGAAAAAATATCAAAAAGTGTATTTAAAGTAATAAGAGCTGAAAACCTCACAAGTTTTAGGAGCAATATGGATACCTAGAATCATAAATCTCAAAAGTGCCAAAACAGATTCAATCCAAAGAGGATTTTATTGGGATATATTGTAATTAAACTGGCAACAAAGACAAAGAGATAATTTTAAAGCAGCAAGAGAAAAGCAACTTGTCACATACGAAGGAACATCTATAAGGCAATCAACAAATTTCTCAGGAAACACCTTACAGGCCAGGAGAAAGTGAGATGATATACTTAAAGTGCTGCAAGAATAAAACTGCCAGTCAAGAATACTTTATTCAGCAAAGTAGTCCTTTGGAAATAAAGAAGAGATGAAAGACTTGCCCAGAAAAATGAAAGATGAGGTTGTTCATTACTACTAGACCTGCCTTGGAAGAAATGCTAAAAGGAGTTCTCCATGCTGAAATAAGAGGATGGTAATTAATAGCATTAATATACATATATGTATTCCATGAATAATACATGATATTATATATATGTAAATTTCACTTGTAAAGGTAATAGTGAAAGGTAAGTAAAGGTAAATATTTAGTAAAATTCAGTATATTCTAATGCTGCAATGGTGTTGTGTAATTTACTTTTAACTGTACTCCAAAGGTTGCAAGTATTAAAAACACCTATAACTACAATAATTTGTAACTGTAGACACAATATTTCAAAATGTAAAATGTTAAGTTGCTCTCTGCTTAAAATCCACTTTATAATATGCTTTATGTAAGTTTCATGGTAATGAAAAACCAAAAACCTATAGTGGATACACAAAACATAGAGAAAATAATCAAAGTGTACTACCACAAAAAATCAATTAACAAAGGAAGACGGCAGAAGAGAAATAAAGGAACAAAGAACTAAAACAATCAGAAAACAATTAGCAAGATGCCAATAGTAAGTCCTACATAGCAACAATTACATTAAATATAAATGGATTAAAGTCTTCTGTTAGAAGACATAGAGTGGCTGAATGAATTGAAAAATAAACAAAAAACAAAACCCAAAGACTCCATGCTGCCTACAAGAGACTAACTTAAACTTCAAGAACACTAATAGGAAAGTGAAGGGATGAGAAATATATTTTATGCAAATGTAAACCAAAATAGAAAAGGAGTTGCTATACATACATCAGAAGAAATAGACTTTACGTCCAGAACTGTAACAAAAGACAAAGAAGGTTATTATATAATTATTATAAAGGACTCAATTCATTAAGAAGACATAACAATTGTAAATAAATATGTACTCAATATCAGAACACATGAATATATAAACCAAATATAAGCAGAATTAAGAGAATGAATAGATAGCAATACATTAATAGTAAGAGACTTCAATACCCCACTTTCAAAATGAATGGAATATCCAGACAAAAAAATCAATATAGAAACAGTGGACATGAACTACTCTTTATGTCAAATGGATCTTATATACATGTGTGAAACTTTCTATCCAACAGTAGCAGAATACATATTATTCTCAAATGCACACAGAAAATTATGCAGATGTCTTACTTCATTCAGGCTGCTATACAAAATATCTTAGCCTGAGTACTTTATAAATAACAGATTTTTTTCCATTCAGTCAACAAATATTTGTTAAGTGCAAACTATATACTAAGGATTAGTTGATAACCATCATATTTGATACCCAAAAGAGATCCTTTATTTTATTTTATTTTATTTTATTTATTTTTTATAATTTAAGTTCTGGGATACACGTGCAGAACATGCAGGTTTGTTACATAGATATACGCTTGCCAAGGTGGTTTGCTGCACCCATCAACCCATCATCTACATTAGGTATTTTTCCTAATGCTGTACCTCCCTTAGCCTTCCAACCCCTGACAGTCCCCATTGTGTGATGTTCCCCTCCCTGTGTCCATGTGTTCTCATTGTTCGACTCCCACTTACGAGTGAGAACATGTGGTGTTTGGTTTTCTGTTCCTGTGTTAGTTTGCTGAGAATGATGGTGTCTAGCTTCATCCCTGTCCCTGCAAAGGACACAAACTTTATCCTTTTTTATGGTTGCATAGTATTCCATGGTGTATATGTGCCATATTTTCTTTATCCAGTCTATCTTTGATGGGCATTTGGGTTGGTTCCGAGTCTTTGCTATTGTGAACAGTGCTGCAATAAGCATACATGTGCATGTGTCTTTAAAGTAGAATGATTTATAATCCTTTGGGTATATACCCAGTAATGGGATTGCTGGATCAAATGGTATTTCTGGTTTTAGATCCTTGAGGAATTGCCACACTATCTTCCACAATGGTTGAACTAATTTACACTCCCACCAACAGTGTAAAAGCTTTCCTATTTCTCCACATTCTCTCCAGCATCTGTTGTCTCCTGACTTTTTAATGATCACCATTCTAACTGGCATGAGTTGGTATCTCATTGTGGTTTTGACTTGCATTTCTCTAATGACCAGGGATGATGAGCCTTTTTTCATGTTTGTTGGCCACATAAATGTCTTCTTTTAAGAAGTGTCTGTTCATACCCTTTGCCCACTTTTTGATGGGGTTGTTTGTTTTTTCTTGTAAATTTGTTTAAGTTCTTTGTAGAGTCTGGATATTAGCCCTTTGTCAGACAGATAGATTGCAAAAATTTTCTCCCATTCTGTAGGTTGCCTATTCACTTTGATGATAGTTTCTGTTGCTGTGCAGAAGCTCTTTAGTTTAATTAGATCCCATTTGTCAATTTTGGCTTTTGTTGCCATTGCTTTTGGTGTTTTAGTCATGAAATCCTTGCCCATGCCTTTGTCTTGCATTGTATTGCCTAGGTTTTCTTCTAGAATTTTTATGGTTTCAGGTCTTATATTTAAGTCTTTAATCCATCTTGAGTTAATTTTTGTATAAGGTGTAAGAAAGGGGTCCAGTTTCAGTTTTCTGCATATGGATAGCCAGTTTTCCCAACACCATTTATTAAATAGGGAATCCTTTCCCCATTGCTTGTTTTTGTCATGTTTGTCAAAGATTAGATGGTTATACATGTGTGATGTTATTTCTGAGGCCTCTGTTCTGTTCCATTGGTCTATATGTCTGTTTTGGTACCAGTACCTTGCTATTTTGGTTACTGTGGCCTTGTAGTATAGTTTGAAGCCAGGTAGTGTGATGCCTCCAGCTTCGTTCTTTTTGCTTAGGATTGTCTTGCCTATACAGGCTCTTTTTTGTTTACATATGAAATTTAAAGTAGTTTTTTCTAATTCTGTGAAGAAAGTCAATGGTAGCTTGATAGGGATAGCATTGAATCTATAAACTACTTTGGGTAGGATGGCAATTTTTATGATATTGATTATTCCTATCCTTAAGCATGGAATGTTTTTCCATTTGTTTGTGTCTTCTCTTATTTCCTTGAACAGTAGTGTGTAGTTCTCTTTCACATCCCTTGTAAGTTGTATTTGTAGGTATTTTATTCTCTTAGTAGCAATTGTGAATGGGAGTTCGCTCATGATTTGGCTCTTTTTTTTTTTTCTATTATTGGTGTATAAGAATGCTTGTGATTTTTGCACATTGATTTTTTTATCCTGAGACTTTGCTGAAGTTGCTTATCAGCTTAAGGAGATTTGGGGCTGAGATGATGGGGTTTTCTAAATATAAAATCATGTCATCCACAAACAGAGACAATTTGACTTCCTCTGCTCCTATTTGAATACCATGTATTTCTTTCTCTTGCCTAATTGTCCTGGCCAGAACTTCCAATACTATGTTGAATGGGAGTGGTGAGAGAGGGCATCCTTGTTTTGTGCCAGTTTTCAAAGGGAATGCTTCCAGCTTTTGCCCATTCAGTATGATATTGGCTGAGCGTTTGTCATAAATAGCCCTCATTATTTTGAATTTTTTTCTCACAGTTCTAGAGGCTGAGAAGTCCAAGATCAAGGCACCAGTAGATTTATTTTCCAGTGAGGGGCTGTTCCTCATAGACGGGGCCTTCTATATGGCCTCACATGAAGAGGGATAAACAAGCTCCCTCAAGCCTCTTTTGTTAGAGCACTAATCCTTTTTCATAAGGGCAGAGTTCTCATGACCTTATAACTTCCCAAAGGCTCTACTTCTTAACAACATCACTTTGGGAGTTTAGCTTTAACATATAAATCTTGGAGGAGAGGACACAAACATTCAGACCATACCACCAGGATAGATTATATGTTGGATCACAAAAGAAGTCTTAACAAATTTAAGAAAATTGATTCAAATAAATAAATGTATAAATGAAAGAGGAGACATTACAACTTAAACCACAGAAATACAAAAGATCATAAGAGACTACTATAAACAATTATATGCCAGCAAATTGGATAATGTAGAAGAAATAGATATGTTCCTAAAAACATACAACTTACCAAATCGAATAGGAAGAAAGAAAAAATGTGAACAAACCAACTGTGAGTAAGGAGATTGAATCAATTATCAAAAACCTCTTAACAAATAAAAGCCCAGAACCAGATGGCTTCAGTGGTGAATTCTACCAAAATTGATAAATAAGTAACACTAATGCTCCTCAAACTCTTCCCAAAAATTGAAGTGGAAGAATCACTTCCAAATTTATATGATGAAGCCAGCATTACACTGGTATCAATGTCAGTCAAGGACACTACAGGAAAAGAATATTACAGGTTGATATGCCTGATGAACATAGATGCAAAATCTTCCACAAAATATCAGAATACTGAATTCAACAGCACATTAAAAAGATTGTTTACTGTTATCAAATAGTATTTATCTCAGGGAGGTAAGGATCATTCAACATATACAAGTCAATAAACTTGATACATCACATTAAAAGTATGAAGAATAAAAATTAGATGATCATCTCAACAGATGCAGAGAAGGCATTTAACAAAGTCCAACATCATGTCATAATAAGTAATCTCAACAAATTAGGTATAGAGGAAATACCCCTCAAAATAACAAAAGCCACATATGACAAACTCAGTGCTAACATCACAGTCAACAGTGAAAAAGCTAAAAGTTTTTCCTCTAAGATCAGGAACAAGACAAGGATGTTGCTTCTTCCCACTTCTGTTCAACATAGTGCTGGAAGTCAGCCAAAGCAATTACGCATTTAAAAAAAGAAGAAGAAATCCCCACCAGAAAAAACTAAAATTTTTTCAGTTTGCAGAAGACATAGGTAAGGAAATCCTAAAGACATCATCAAAAAAACTGTTAGAACTAATAAACAAATTCAGTACAGTTGCAAGATACAAAATTAGCATACAAAACTCAGGTGCATTTTCCATGTAGTTACAACAAACTATATGAAAATGAAATTATGAAAACAATCCCACTTACAATAGCATCAAGAATAATAAAACACTTGGGAATAAATTTAACCAACGAGGTGAAACTCAAAGTTTTGATTGTACAGACACTGAAAACTATAGGACACAGAGGAAGGAAATTGAAAAGGACACAAAAAAATGAAAAGATATACCATATTCATGGACTGGAAAGGTTAATATTGTTAAAATATCTATAATACCTAAAACAATCTGTAGATTTAACAAAATTCCTACCAAAATTTCAATGGGATTTTTCACTGAAATGGAAAAATCAATCTAAAACTCTGCATCAAACCGCAGAAGAACCTGGAGATCAGAGCACTCTTAAGAAAGAACAAAGCTGGAGGCATTACAGTTCCTAATTTCAAACATTAAGAAGGTATAGCAATCAAAACAGTATGGTTATGGTTCTTGATGTAAAAATGTACCCATAGATGGATGGAACAGAATAAAGACAGTTCAGAAATAAACCCACATATATACAGTCAACTAATCTTTGACAAAAGTGGCAAGAATAGGGCCAATAATACACCATGAGGAATGGATAATCTCTTAAATAAATGATATTGGGACAATTGGGCATACACATGTAAAAGAATAAAACTGGATCCTTAGCTTACATGATATTAAAAAAAACTCAAAATGAAAGACCTGAAGCTGTAAAACTTTAGAAGCAAATATAGACGAATATAAGCTCCTAGACATTCACCTTGGTATGATTTTTGGTATAATATCAGACAAAAATAAGCAAGTGAGACTACATCAAACTATAATGTTTCTATACAGCAAAGAAACAATCAAAAAAATGAAATGGCAAACTACAGAATGAGAGAAAATATCTGCAAGCCATATATTGATAAGGGTTAATATTCAAAATATACAAGAAAGTCATACAACTCAATAACAATAAAGTAACCTAATTACAAAATAGGCAAGGCAACTCACTAGACATTTCTCCAAAGAAGTTATATAAATTACCAACATGTATATAAAAAGGCACTAAATACTCCTAATCATGAGAGAAATGCAAATCAAAACCACAATACACTATCTCATCACATTTGTTAGAAACCTATATCAAATAACAAGACACAACAAGTGTTGATAAGAATGTGGAATAAAAGGGAATGATGCAAATGTAAATTGGTACAGTCATTATGGAAAACAATATGGAGGTTTCTCAAAAAAATAAAAAATAGAACTACCTTGTGATCCAGTAATTTTACTTTTTTAAATTCATAATTTTTATTTTTTATTTGTACAAATATATGGGGTACATGTGCAATTTTGTTACATGCCTAGAGTATATAGCGGTCAAGTCACTACTGCTATATATTTGAAGGAAATAAAGTTATTATCTCTAAGAGTTATCTGCACTCCCATATTTATTACAGTATTATTCACAGTAGCCAAGATATGAAAATAATGTAAGCATCTGTGAAAAGATGAGTGAAAAAAGAAATTTATATACACATACACATACACACACGTACACATACAATGGAATATTACTTAGCCTTTAAAAAGGCTGAATACACATAAACATACATAGACACATACCCATACAACGGAACGCAAGACACATACACACAAACATATCCACATAATGAAATATTATTCATCCTTAAAAAAGAAAGAAATCTTGACATCTGCAGCAACATGGATGGACCTGGAGGACGTTATACTAAATGAAATAAACCAGAACAGAAAGACAAAATATTCAGTGATAACACTTATATGTAGAATCTCAAAAAGGTTGAACTTAGAGAAACAGAGGCTAGAATAGTGCTTTCTAGGGGATGAAGGGTTGGGAAAATTAAGAGATGTTGGCAAAAATGTACAAACTTTCTCTTATAAAGAAAATAAGTCATAAGGATTTAATGTACATCATAGTGGCTATGGTTCATAATAATGTATGGTATATGGTATATTGAACATTTTCTAAGAGAGTAGATATTAATTGTTGTCACCACATACAACATGTGGAATATGTAGTCTTAGGTATGTTAATTAGCTTGATTATGGGAATCATTACACAAGGCATATGTATATCAAAATCTCATGCTGTATGTTTTAAGTATATGTAGATTGTTATTTGTCAATTACACCTCAATAAAGCTGGAAAAAAAAGATTAAGCAACATAGATAGCCATCAAACAGGCCTTCTGGAAAGATTACTTATACAACAATACAATTGCTGAGAGGAAGTTTCTTATCAGCCTATTAGCTGCCAAAACATTTAAATTACTGATGGGTAGTGATAATACAAAGATCTATATCCTTTCAAATAATTGTGAGAATTGAAGCAAAAATAAGGTCATTTGCAGACAAACAACCGACAAAAGATTTTGCCATTTACGGACACTAATTAGAACTTACTACCAGGATTGAAGTACATACCTCAAGTAAACTGAACTCAAAAAAAAAAAAATAGAATGCAAAAAGAAATGATAAGTAAAATAACGAGCATATCTAAATAAGTACTTCTGTAAAAAATAATAGTGACTTTGTAAGGTGGTGGTTAAAATGGTATAAAATTAGTAAACAACAATAATCTGGGGAGAAAAAAGAAGAAAAGACTAGTGAAAAAGGTCTTTTAAAGACCCTTCTACTCTTCAGAAAGAATGCATAGATACTGATTGGACTTCATTACATCAAGAAACTTTGTATAAATATAATGCTAATCATTAAAGAATTAGAAATATAATATTTAACTTGAGAATTAGTATGATGAGGTTAAGAATACAGCTTCTGGAAAGGTCTTTATTAGTTATACAACCTCAGTCAAGTTATTTAATCCTTCTCTACCACTGTTTTCTCATCTGTAAATGTTGCTGTGAAGGTATTAAACTATAAGAGTGTGTTTCTGTGTCTGTGTGTAAATACATATATGTATATAAGTTTAACATATATAAATGTAAGTAGATTAAATTCACATGTTAAAAGACTCAGATTTTTCAGCCTGGATAATTAGCACAATCCAGCTCTAACAGCTTTACAGAAACATCATTCAATATAACCAAAAAGATTGACTAAAAGGATGGAGAAAACAAAGTACCAAAGGCAAAGCTGGTGCAGCACCATTAATGTCAGGCAAAACTGACATTAGGGCAAAAATCATTATTAGGAATAAATAGGGCACAACATCATAACTATATTAAATCAGGGTTCTCAAGGGAAATAGATCCAGCAGTATGTGTATATATAGAAAGAGAAAAAGATTTGTTTGGAGAAATAGGCTCATGTGATTGTGGAGGCTTGGGAAGTTCAAATTATTCAGAGAAGAGTTGCAGCTCAAGTCTATATTAGGGTTCTCCAAAGAAACAGGGTGTGTGCATGTGTGTGTGTGTGTGTGTGTGTGCGTGTGTGTGTGTTGAAGAGATTTATTGTAAGAAATTGGCTCAAATGATTCTGGAGGCTGGCAAACCCAAAATCTGTACAGCCAATGTCCCAGCTTGAGTCTGAAGCCTGAAAACTGCTGTAGAACTAGAAAGAGTTGCAGTCCCGGTTCTAAGATCCCATCAGTCAGAAGCATTTGCTCTTACTTGGGGAAGATTCAGCCTTCTTGTTCTATTTGGACCTTCAACTGATAAGAGGAGGCCCATCCATGCTGTGGAAGGTAAAAGTATGCTTTACTCAATCTACTAATTGAAGTGTTACTATCATCCAAAAACACCCTCATGGAAACTCCCCAAATAATGTTTGACCAAGTATCTGGCCACCTTGTGGCTCAGTCAAGTTAACACACAAAATAAACCATCACAGAATCCAAAGGCAGTCTGTTGGCAGAATTCCTTCTCACGCAGGGAAGATCAGTCCTTGTTCTTTAAGGCCTTTGACTGCTTGGATGAGGCCCACCCACCACATTATGCAGGAGAATCTGCTTTACTTGAAGTCCACTGACTTTAATGTTAGTTTCATCCAAAATTACCTTCATATAAACATAATGTTGGACCAAATATCTGGGCACCGTAGTCCAGCCAAGTTGAAACATAAAAATTAACTATCACAATAATAAAAAGAGTAATTCACTAGGAAGACAGAAGAGTCCCAAATTTGTATTCTAGCAAAGAAACTATAAAACCTATAAAGAAATTATTGAGAGTACTGCAAGGAGAAATTAAAGTTGAAAAACTCATGAATATTGGAGATTGCAGCATACCATTTTAAATGCTGATACATCAAATATTTGAATATCATTTTGCACACAATTTACCTAATAAAAGTTGTGGAGCCCTACACCCACCAAACAAAGAATACAAATTATTGTCAAGTGCACTTGAAATTTACACACTTCAAAAAACTGAGCACATACTCTGTTAGAAGAAAATTTTCAATCTAAACATTATACAGATACCATTATTTGGCTACAAAACAATACAGTTAGAAGTTATTTACACATAGCGAACTACTCCCCCGTAATTCCCTACACTTTTGCAAACTAACAGACACATATCCTAACATAAAATTAAAATGGTTCCTTTATTGTTTTGTTTGTCCACTGAACATAAGACCAATCCCAGTTAAATTCAAAGTATTAGAGCTACATATTTCTGCAGATTTATGTTCAGCTGGTGGAATATTAGAATCTGGCCTAAAATTTGACCAACCTACACAGACTGTAAGTTGTCAAATATAGGATTTTAACAACTGTTCTATCGATGTAGGTAATAACTTCCATTGTCTATTGCTTTGTCATATTTCAGAATGTTTGTTGAATAGCATCTGACAAATATTCAATCCCATTTTCAAACCAGTTGGTTAAAGGCAGTCTTGATCCTTCAGCACACAACCACATGTAACATAGAGAATTTCTATACAGTTGATGAACTGAAAACCTTTAACTATTAAAACTATTCTTTATATAAAAAACAGAGATTGAGGAACTATTATGGGGTAGAAGAAACCAAGGAGACATCACAACTTAACACAATGTGGAATAGCGGATTGGATCTTGGACAAGAAGAAAAGATACTAGTGAAAAACTGGCAAAATTTGAATTGGGTACATAGATTCGTTTCAAATCAGTTATTACTGCTAATTGCTTCAGTTTCAATAAATGTACTGTGGTGGGGGAAGCTGTCCTCATTAGGAGCAGTTAGTTGAAAGGTATGTGGGAAACATGCATATTATTTTCTGCAACTTTTCTTTAAGTCTACGTCTGAAATTATATCACACTGAAAAGTATGTATGTATGTATGTATGTATTTATTTATTTATTTATTTATTTATTTATTTATTTATTTGAGACAGAATCTCATTCTGTTGCTCAGACTGGAGTGCAATGGTGCAATCTCAGCTGACTGCAACCTCTGCCTGCCAGGTTCAAGTGATTCTCCTGCCTCAGCCTACTGAGTAGCTGGGATTACAGGTCCCGCCAACACACCGGGCTGATTTTTCTATTTTTAGTAGAGATGAGGTTTAGTCATGTTGGCCAGGCTGGTCTCAAACTCCTGACCTCAGGCGATCTGCCCTCCTTGGCCTCCCAAAGTGCTGGGACTACAGGCATGAACCACTGCGCCCAGCCTGAAAAGTTTTTTAAAAGTTAATCTTTATCATTCAAATTTTTATCTTCCCAGGTCCTCCTAAATAAAACATTGTTCTCTCTAATACTGAGGAAATTTCACCAAATTCAAAATGGGGAACGAGAGAACTGCTTACTGTATAATATGTCTACCCTTATGTGTCCAAAGATATGAGCACTGAATTCAGCAACACAGAATTAGTCAATTCTGAAAACAATGTATGATCTTTATTTAAAGATCTTTAAAGTGAAAAAGAAGTATTCTCTGGTTCTCTGGAAATTTTATTTACTCTTATATACCATAGACCAGTATAAACTAATTTGACTAGCATGGTTTTAGACATCATGCACAGAGCACCGAAGTATGAAACAGATAAAAGCAAAGGTGTAGGAATGAAAGAGAGGGTGTAGGGCTTGAGCCTCTTCCACTTAGCCTTCCCACATGGGATTTTCCACCCACATCCCAGACCTCCAAGGCATGGCTCCAGAACATGCTAGAAGGATTTAAAAGTTTCTACTACAAAATATGAGTATCTGATTTGAGAGATTTGATTAACACTTTACTAACAGTAAGTATAATTTAACTCTAATAGTGACAGTAAATCTACTACTTGGATATCCTAGAAGCACCCATTCTAGTAAAGGGATCAAATTATTCTCTCTTGCCTCACTAAAGCAGCAAGTTCTAAAGAGGACACTCTTGCCTGAGAAGTGCAGGAGGAAATCACATACACACTTCTCATTCAGCATTTTGTGTCTTCCAGGCATTAAATAATAATGCATGTGTGTGAGTGTGAGTGTGTGCATGTGTACATTCCGTTATATAAATTAAATATAGGAACTGCATGTTGTGGGGCTTTTTTATTAAAAAAGAGGAAGAGTCACACAGCTTGGAATAAATACTAAAGAAAAGGCAAGTTTCTGTAGAAATCAATCTCCTGCTTTTATATACTCCCAAATTATACTCATAAAGAAGGAGCCTCCAGCAGCACTGTCAGTCATGATAAAGCTATCAGTCTGAGATTTATTATGAGTTTTCTTTTCATGTATTCAATGGAAAACATCCCACAGGTGTGTTTATATTACCAGAGATAGATGAAGATTAATTGTGTGCCCAGGCACCGAAATGCATTGACATATTTTCTAAGATTTAAGTCGTGTTAAGTCTAATGCTTAAAAAGAAAAATAAAGAAAGGTCCAGAATGTTCACATGGAGAAGGAATATAATATCCTCAAGGTCTAAAAGAAAGAGCAAACCAACTATCATTTACCTCTAGGAAATAGAAATTCAACTTTCACCTTGAGGCCTAAGGTCTCATTTCTGGTTTTCTGTAAGCTCAAAATGGAAGTCCTTTGAGGCTGAGAAAATACCCCGGAACTGCCTCACGTTAGCCTTCCCCCGTCCAATATATTATACTTACTTCCTAAAGTTTTACTTTAGTAACAGACTGAGACCCAACAAGGAAAGACGTCAGTTAGCATTTAAATACAAGTACTTCAACCAAAAAGAAAGTTAAGCTAAAATCCTTGATCTTCTATCTTACTGGATTAGTTTACTTTAGCCAAGATAAGGAGCATGGTTTTACATATATTGTCTCTATATACTTGTCTGAAGATTATGCTTTTGGATGACAACATTATTTTATATTGCGTAAGAGTCATTTCTTCTGGTAGCTCTCAGAAAGCTTTGGAGGAAAGAAATGAGTTCATTCCTGTTTTAGTTATTTTGCGGAAGAGTTTAGCTGATGACATTAGCAAGCAAGTAGAGATGCGGGCTGTGTGTTATGGGAAGGGTTTATGGGGCTCCAAGAGTTAACCCACTAAAGGTCAATAGTAAAAAGACATTTTTGAGGTTTTTTTGTGTGTGAACTATGAAATAAGTTGTTTAGCCTAAGGGCCCCCAAAATGGGATGTCTATTCCCCTGGGCTGCAAAAAACAATTTTTGGAAGAGAAGTAGATATCTCTTCCCATAGATAAGAAAAGACGTCAACCTCCCTGGTATTTGATGCCCGGAGTGACACCAGTGAGCTCCCATCAGATGGTCCCAAGACACAAGTAGCACAAGAGCCAGCCTGAGGGCACACTGGGACTTCTGCATGCAGAGGCTGCAAATCTTGTCAAAAGGAATCCACATGACATTATCTAGCATTTGCCAGCTAACCTTCACAAAGTGGACAAGTGGCTTGAAAGCTTCAAGAAAAAGAGCTTCAGGTTTGTACTAATACAAATAAGCAGGCATATTAAACAGGGAAGAAGCCTGCCTCCTTCTCCCATTAACAGCTGTTTCAGCCAATTAAAAGGGAGCCATTAATTTCCATAATAAAGGGCAAATAACAGAGAAGATAGACACGTTTCTCCCCTTACCTTATTCCTATCTGTTCAGGATGCTCATGGGAGTGAGTACAGGACAACTGGATCCACAGCAGTCATTTTGCAAACATGAGGTATGAACATGAGGAGAAAAATAAGCATGCCGAGAATGGCAGAGAGAAAAAAAGAAACTACATCCTCGATGACATCACAGATCTTCTATTCCATCTTTAAGGCTTTTTTATTACATTCTTTTTTCAATACCATCATGACCTAAGCCATTTTTCATCAAGTTGCCTGCTATTTGCTGACAAATGCATGTTAGCTGATATAGTTTTAAATTAACAAACTGATAGAATGTGCTGCTTTTTGGAAAAAGATGTTTGCAAATATTTTGAAAGAAAGAAATGATTGTGTTTCCTTTATGTGAACTTTGTAGTTAAAAACGATGTAAATAAATTATCTCTAACTAAATCTTCTAGCTGCATACTTCAGAAGCTTAGAATCCTCTGATTCACTCAAAATTCCCCCTCCTCTCCCCAGAAAAATGTCTAGGGATTTTTTTTAAAAAGGAGAAGACACATTTTCCTTTTACTTTGCTGATACAACTGATTGACATAAATGAAGGTGGAGGTGTGGTAGCAAGTTCTACAAAATCTTGGCATAAAAGTTTGAAAAACATAGGCTAGATCTGAAAAACAAATATTATAACTTAATTAAGCATAGTTCATGATGCATTTCTCCTATTTGGAGTTAAATATCTGTGTGCAGGTTTTTTTTAATTTAGTTATGATAGCCTTTCAAACCAAATAGTAAAGTAAACTGAACTTAAAAACAGACATTTGAATTGCTGTACTTTAAACCTTAAGCCAAAATCTTCAAAATTAATGAAGCGTTGCTCTCACTACACTATTGTATTTTTAATAATTTTATACTCTTAACATATATACTTTAACATTAAACTATTATTTTTAATTTATTTTTTAAATTTCCTTTATGTATATGTTTTATGATAGTACATGATTTATAATTGATATATGCAGAGAGAGCAAATTCTCAAAAATTCTTGCTAGAAGTGTTCACAGTCCAAATTTTGGAAATTATTGCGTTTTGTTTAATAATGAGATTCATAATTCCTGGACTTGACTGCCTGAGGACATCCCCTTCCTCCCACCGATGGCCTAGAAAAGCCTGCATTTCTTAGAACCTCCATCTCTCCTAGCTTATCATCCCTGATATTTTCTTTCTCTAACTTATTTATTTAGCTACCATCTTATTAACATTGTTTTTTAAAAACTGTTCAACCTTTTCTCAAGGGAGAAATGAGATTATAATACAAAAGGTAGATAAGGCTTTTAGTTTGTGTTTGTATTAAGTTATTATTCTAATGTTTCTAATAAATCATAATAATGGAGACTAAAAATCAAAACATTCTTTCCAGATGTCGAATCAAACAATCTCTTTCACTCATCTTCCAAAAAGAAGAAAATCAACAAGTGTTCTTCAGATATGTAAATACAGTTTACAATTAAAACTAGGTTTTAACATTCAAAAATGTTGCCTTATTTGTTCTTCGATCTGTGCTAATCCCTGAAGCAATGTCTGGTGTAGAGTAGACACTGAAGAAATATTCATAAACTAAGTCAAAAGCTTGCTACCTCCTACGGAGACATCCAGATCTTAGTCCTTCCTCTTTCAAGACTTGGGGTCTCATTTTGAGACATGCAGCCCCCTTGGGATGAAAGACGACCAGGACCCGGACAGCAGTGTGACCTGCCGGGAGAGGAAGGCAATGTGAGCTTCAAAACCTGTATCAATAAATAGCCCAGTTGAATGTCTGCTCCCTTGCAAGCATCCTGAACCAGAGTGAGCAGGGGAGGCTGCCCATACCTCATTAGGATGGCCCTTCCCAGAGTGCAGCCCGGGACCTCCTGGCAGTCACGGGGATGCTGGCACAGGCGTTGAGGCCCACCCAGGTGGAGGCTCACATGCAGGTCCAGGGGTCCACTTCTTCCCACAAGACGGTTGCTTTTCTCACCTCCTAACACTGCAGATCTTGCAGATTTTCTATTTCTTCCCTCTCCTGTTTGCATCTCAGATTCATCACTTTAGGGACATGACAGAAACTTTAAGAATGCATTTTCCCCTTTCTCATTCACAATTTTTATAAGAAATAACTATTTTAAAAACAACGGTAGTATTTAGTCACAAGAGTATGTGCCAAACCCTCTGACTAGGCCAAGACAAATGCTATTTCACCTCTTGTTTAGCCAAAATCCCATGTATAAAAACTGAGAACCAGGTTTTGTAGGAGATAAAGATAAAACTATAATTTTCATTTTTCAAAAGCTGATAAGGGAAAGGCATTTAGCCGAGTAAAAGAATCCATCAAGTTCCCCAAAAGCCTCAAGAAGTGACATAGAAGCTGTTTTCTGAGAAATGACTTGGATTATTACAGTAGATGGTTAGTCAGATATGAGCAGGGCAGGAAAGAGGGCCCCAGGTCACCAGGAATGTCAGGGACCATCAGGTGACGGTCAAGCCCTCGTTAAGCTAAAATAATAATTGGGCACAGCCAGTGCCAGGGAAAGTGAGTCTCCCAACAGACAGAAATACCTGAAGCTTGAAGCTGGTGATGAGAAGCTTCCCAATAAAATCTCAGGAGTCAGACAACTGGACTCAAGCATGAGCACTAGAGGCAAAACCGTGGAACTTAGCTGGTAGAGGACCTTCCTCTAGGAACTCGACTGGGAAGGGAAAAATGCCTCAAGTGAGCATGTGCACAACTCCAGTAAATTCACTGTGCATGTGGTCCCTCCCAGATGCTGGCAGGCCACGGCACGTATGGACAGCCCACCCCAAGGGAAGAATCAGGAGAGAAGGGATGTAACCCCCCCAGAAGCAGGTCAATGTATAAGACCCCAACTCAAATGTCAAATGGCACACTTGATCTCTCAAGTTGCCGGCTTGGCCCTCTTCCAAATGTATTTTACTTCTTTTCATTCCCACTCTAAAACTTTTTTTCTCCTTTTTTTTTTTTAGACGGGAGTCTCGCTCTGTCACCAGGCTGGAGTGCAGTGGGGCGATCTCGGCTCGCTGCAACCTCTGCCTCACGGGTTCAAGCAATTCTCCTGCCTCCGCCTCCCGAGTAGCTGGGACTACAGGCTCGTGCCACCACACCCAGCTAATTTTTTGTGTGTGTTTTTAGCAGAGTCGGGGTTTCACCATATTGGCCAGGATGGTCTCGATCTCTTGACCTTGTGATTCGCCCACCTCAGCCTCCCAAAGTGCTGGGATTACAGGCATGAGCCACCACTCCTGGCCAAAACTTTTTAATAAACTTTCACTCCTGCTCTGAAACTTGCCTCTCTCTCTCCCTCTGCCTTATGCCCCTTGGTCAAATTCTTTCTTCTGAGGAGACAAGAATTGAGGTTGCTGTAGACCCATACGGATTTGCCAATGCTAATAGGATCAACATTCTTTCTGAAACAAATGGAAAATAAAAAATGGAGTCTTCAGTTTTACTGGCACAAGGCAAGGTACTAGTATGAGACAACAGAGTCTGAGTTGACTCCACAAGTCAGAGGTCAGTCTCTGGCACACACATACCAGCTCCGAGAAGGTCATTATCCAACCAGTTCAATGATCACATCCAAAATGTGTGTGCCAGGAGGGAAGCAGCTGACGCCAAACAGTTAATAATAACTCACAGGACACAAGGAGCCCATGACCGTACCTCTCTTCTGCTTAAACTTACTTCTTGGTGGAAGCAAGCACTGTAAAGAGGCCTCATGAAAGTGACCAGAATTGGCCGTGGCAAAGACACTCATTTTTCAGTTATCTCAGTCATTGAGGAGGAGGTGGGTTGCCCTCTTCCTCAAACTGACCTCTCTACCCGAAACCTTGTTTAATTTTCTAATTGTTTTAAAATTACTATAATTTTATAAAATGAGCTATGATTTCCTTATAAAAGCTCTAAGACAGGCTAAAATGGAAAGCTAACTTCAAATATTTACTGTTTTATCATTAAGCAGTTAAAAGTCTATTTTGATTTGCTCTTGTCTGCTGTATTTTAATCTGTTAATATTGAGTAGTTGAGTTCTGTGGTCTGCACCAAACATTAGAAATCAAACTCCAAGTTCAAGTGCAATTGGAATGCCTGGGCCCTTGGGCGGGCCACTTAACCTCTGGGTCTGTGAAAAGAGAGGATAAGGCTGACCTACCTCACAGGGCTCGTGGGGAGAGTATCTAATTAATAATCTTGAGCACTTTAAAAGTATAAGGTGCTATGCAAATGCTAAGTAGCATTATTATTAAAGCTTCACTTAAAATTAGGGCTAGCAAAGATAATTTTTGATTTAGGAACACAGTGAATACTCCAGAATAAATCTTTTATTTTAATATCATTTAAATCACAAAGGGAAATATGTAATAGAAATTTTGATGCTATTGTGAAATAGATACAATAGTAACTTGTCATTTTATTTAAGGGAGGAACAGCTGATATAAGCCCCTAGAAAGAAAGAAAATAATATGTTTTAAGGGCTTTTTCAAGTCCCTGGGGACAGCTCAATTCTAAACCATATAATTTCCTTTGGATTGGTCAAATTCTAGGTTAAAAAAATAACCTTTTACTACAGACTTGCTATATGTTAACTGTTGCTCTCATTACCTCTTGAATACTCTAAAATTTTATATCCCATTTGCTGATAAATCATACTGTACTTCAAAAACATTTGGCAGAGCTTGTCCTCTTAAAACTTTTTTTTTAAAAAAACACTCAACACTTAAAGGATGCAAAAGTTTACATGTACCTAAAAAACATGAAGCTTACAAATTTTGTTGGAATATTTCCTGAAATAATGTTATTGGACCTTACATTAATGACTTTGGAGAACATCTAGTTTTCATCTTTGATTAGTATTTTCTAAAATATACAGAAATTGTGTTCACATGGAGTTTTACTGCG
Source organism: Homo sapiens (assembly GCF_000001405.40). Taxonomy (NCBI): domain Eukaryota; kingdom Metazoa; phylum Chordata; class Mammalia; order Primates; family Hominidae; genus Homo; species Homo sapiens. The sequence continues at coordinate 75,967,971 of NC_000018.10, forward strand.
TCATATCTCTATGTGTTCAGAGTTTCAATCTCTAGATCTTAATCCAGGACTGACATGTCTTCAAGGACATAAACTAATGTGATGCAAAACCAAGTTCAGAGCACACCTCAAACCATTCTTACTGTGTTGAATGCTAACGTTAAGAGTTAACTAAACAGAATGTATATGTGCCGCAATCAATTAAATAGGGAACTTTATAATTAGAAACATTAAAATTTAGGCACTGAACGTCAAAGTGCATTGCAGCTATTACAAACATTTAAAAACCACAGGAAAATAAGACAGCAATTTTTATTCATCTTGTGTGCACTGAGAAGTTCAGGAGAAAGGAAATTCATGTTTTGTAGAAATTATCCCACTTAATCTTCCCAGCACTAGTCTGATGAAGAGATTTTCGCCCAGTTTTATGAATGAGGAAGCCAAGTTTAGGCACTGCCTATAACAGACCATGCTGCCTCCCACACACTGTAGCTCCTTTTGTTTTTGTTACGTGCCTGTAGTCTCAGCTACTTGGGAGGCTGAGGCAGGAGAATCACTTGAACCTGGGAGGCGGAGGTTGCAGTGCCGAGATCACACCATTGCACTCCAACCTGGGTGACAAGAGTGAAACTCCATCTCAAAAAAAAAAAAAAAAGGGCATTATCTCCAAAGATCAATACTGTCTCAAATGTGAATCTCAGTCTATGATTTTAGCCTTTCAAACAAAAGTCATGGTTCAGCTTCTGGTGTATCCTTACATGATTGGTACTAGCTCCTTTTTGCTAACAGGAAAGAAAAAAATATTCTTTTATGACTTGTCACATTGCCTTCATAGACAAGCAAATAGTCTTAACTTCAATCACATTTACTACATTGGAAAACAGAACGTGCTTGATTTTGTCCTCTGGACATAACCTAAAGACAAACCAATAGTGAAAGTAAGCAACTGCGTGAAGTCCATTGCAATTCACAGCATCCTATCTGTCCAGTATAAAATAATAAACCATTCCTAGAAATATTAGAAGAAACACCATTATTTAATTACCATAAGGCCTTCTGGGACAGAAGTAAAACGTGATTTAGGCAGATGCACACGAGCGGGGGTGAGGGTGGATAGGGGCTGAAAAGGCATTGTACAGATGACACATGAAATGCCAGCAGAACAGAAAGCAAATTGTGGACCAGCCCACAGAATGATAGAAGAAATGCTAAAATAAAATAAAATAATAAAAAAGGAGAATGCATTCTTTTTGATATTTTGTATTGTTGAGGCTGAAACAATAGCCAAATCAGAAAGGGGAAACAATACTTCAGAGATTAAATCAATGTTTTTCAAAGCCAAGAGGAAAAGAAGTCATGGAATAAATTTTTTAATTTTTATTTCTCATAAGATAGTGTATTCCTTTTAGTGAATCAGATTAGCTAAACCACAGATTTGTTTGTGTAAGGGAGCGGGTCTAGAAGTGTTTTGGACTAGAAACTGACAAAAGGCATGCAACCAAAATTTATACGATTATGGGACTTTATTCTATGAGCCTCATGAATCTGAGACTCATATTCAATGAGAAATTGGTTAAGAAAAGCACTAAACAGGAAAATATGTAATATCTTTAGGAATTAAGAATCAAAAGTCACAAGAAATACCAACTTACAGAAACTCATTTGTTTTATCATCTAGATTTGTAATTACTCCTCAGATACGCAGGAGTTAGAGATGCAAACTCAATTGCAAAAGTATAGAGCATATTTGGGAACACTGGGAACATTGTCGGGGACAATTGCTGGGCATTGTGGCAGAGGGAGAGAGACCCTACCCCACCACGTCCTCTGCCCATAAGCAGCGTAGGCCGAAGGCAAGGGGACAGAAATTGTCATCCCATCCGACCACATGCCTGGAAGGAAGGGGCCAGGAGCACACGTGTGGTTCCCTCAAACAGCAGCGGGTCCCACAGCACAGAGATCGGTGGGGCAGCACAGTACTACCAGGCAGTGAGTTTATTTAACAACTTTTCAAATACTGAAGATGAATTCAGCAATGCGTCCATGCGCCCGGCAGATACTGTCAGTGTGTAGTGCTGCTCTCCAGAGAAAGACTGTAGCTGTAATTTTAAAAATATTTTCACATGGTAACATATTCACAGATATTTTTTAGCGGGCTGGAAGATTCCCGGAAAGCAGAAAGTAGCAGAATAATAAATAAGAAGGAGTGTGGTATCAGCTCCCATCGATTCATCAATGCAAATGGAAACGTCTCCCTCACCGTCAGTGGGGTAGGGGATGTCTCACGATGGCCAGGAAGGAAATATAAGGGTTTTCATGCATGTACGTTTCCTCCTAGATGCCAGTCCATTTTCTAAGTATCTAAAAGCTAAGCTGACATTGAATTCTAGTGAAAACATGCGCTGTAATCTATCAATACAACCAAGTATACAGGCCCGGCAGGGCAGGTAGCCCCCAGCGGCTGGGCCCCCGACCTCTCAGCTTGCGCTGTGCTTCCTGGCCCTCCTCTGTGTTTCACTGCATCTTGCCTCCGTGGGCTCTGAAGGATTTTCCTCTCACACCCTCCCTCTGTACGGTTCCCTCCTGCGCACCAGCAGAGCCCTCTCCAAATCCACCCGTGGATCATGGTGTCCTGCCACCGGGCCCCCACTAAGACGGAGCTCTCCCACTGAGTGGCATTTACTTCTATTTTCAATTAAGCAGTTGACTTTTTTTGTGTCTTAAATTCTAACAAAACATTTTACTCCTTACATATTATGGACCTTAATAAAATTAAAAACAAACTAACAACAAACAGCCAGATCAGAGAAATAGAAGAGATAGGCCAGAAACAGAACCACATATTAGTGACTTTGGAGAACATTCGTGACTTTGGAGAATATAAAAATGTTATTAAACTTTTATATTTCACAAAAATGACAATGCCAAGCAATGAGCAAAGGATGGACGATTTGATAAATGATTAGCAAGTTGAGAAAAAAGTACAGAAATAGCTTCTCTTCACAAATACACCAGAATAAATTCTGAATAGATAAAATCGTCAAATACAAAAAAGAAAACCTGCTGGGCACAGTGGCTCACACCTGTAATCCCAGCTCTTTGGGAGGCCAAGGCGGGTGGATCACCTGAGGTCAGAAGTTCGAGACTAGCCTGACCAACATGGTGAAACCCCATCTCTACTAAATACAAAAAACTTAGTTGGGCATGGTGGTGCACGCCTGTAATTCCAGCTACTTGGGAGGCTGAGGCGGGAGAACCGCTTTAACCTGGGAGGCGGAGTTTACAGTGAGCCAAGATTGCACCATTGCACTCCAGCCTGGGCAAAAAGAGTGAAACTCTGTCTCTAAATAAAAGAAAACCATATTATAAAAAGAGAAGAAAATACTGTAGACACAAAAATATCTACATAATCCCTGCTTAGAAAATAAATTTCCCTGCATAAAATTAATGAAAGAAATAACAAATACTATTACACTTTAAATTTGATCACACAAAATTGTAAAACTTCTCTACAGCCATAGATTCCATACATAAAATCTTAATTTTCCCTTTTCAGGAAAATAACAGGTAGGAAAAAACTGATGAACCATAATATATAGAGAGTTCAAGGATAAAAGATATAGAGAGTTCAAAGGATAGGTTTAAGAAAGAGTTTCCACAGGATAAACATTCAATAACAGAAAATATTGTTGCATGAAAGATGACATATAAATATTTAATAATTTTGCCAAATATGCTTAATTGTAGTAAAAAATCAAAATTTGAAAGTTGAAAAGCAAAATTAATGATACACTCTTTCTAACCTACCACATAAGTAATTTGACAATAGAAATAAAGTGATATAATTCATATCCTTTGATCCCAACATTTCAGTACTAGAACTGTTTCTTGGGAAATTAAAAAGATGCTATTAAATGTGTGTTCCCAAGGATATTCATTACAACATCCTTTTTAAAAATCATGAATAATTGGAAGGGTTTTCCAGGCTCAACGTAGCAGAATAACTAATTACATGTTCAACAAGGCGACAGCAGCCATTAAAAATGATGTGAGTGCATAGTACATAAAGATGTGGGGAAATGCTCACATATAATATTAAGGAAACACAAGCAGGATAAAACATTATATGTAAAGTAAGATTTAAGAGAAGAGGACAGGAAGGTGATATAGGAAACAGTTAACAGTATTTATCCTTGGGTTGAATGATAACAATGATTTCTATTTTTTCTTTGTACTCATTGGTATTTTCCAAACTTCCTGTGATAAAGATGCATTAATTTTAGAATTAGAATGGATATAATGACTAACTTGAACTTATAACACTTAATGTGAAAGTGGGAGTAGTGAGACTTGAAACCTCGAACTCTTTGTGGGGGCATATGAATTGGTGAAACCATTCAAGATAACAATATATTGCTGTAACCTTTAAAATCATATTTCTGCTATCTAAAAAGTATTTCATTTTTTATTATTTTTATTATTTTTAATTATTTGCCAACAAATAATGAAAATATTATCTATTCCAAAATATATTTCTATACCTAAAAATAATGAAGGAAACCACAAAGAAAAATATTACTAAATTTGATTGCACAAAAATATAAAACTTCTTTATATTCCTAAATGTTATAAATAAAATTTTAATGTTGCTTAGGCAAATAGTATGTGGAAAATTATTTTATAGGCATATAACATGTTTTATAAACACATTAACATAATTACACAAGTATTTATATTTTATAAACATATAGTTATGTTGAATATATTAATATGAACAGGCATAACGTATAAATGATGGGTATATTTTTACAGTTAAACCTATCCTAACAAAAATTCAAAAGTCACCTAAATGTTCATAAATAGGCATTAGTTATATCACTTTGACCACTGATACAGTGAAACATTCTTATATGATGTTAATACAAAGTTGAGAAGAAAAATCTCAATTAAGTAAAAAAAAAAAAAGAAATGGAGGAATAACTCAAGAAGCATAGGAACCTTTTAAAAGGTTCATATTATGAAAGTTGTTTATTATATATTTTCATATTTTTGTGTATTTCCAGTATCTTCTCAAAATACACTTTTATAACTAAGTACTTATACTTTATTTTTTAAAGTCAAAAAAATTAGTTGATATTGAAAAAGATTTTTTACATAATTTTAACATTGAAACTTATCTAACACAACTGGAGACCCCAAATATCAGCACCCTTTTTGACCATTCACGTCTACTTTTGCAAGAGAAATTTTTTAAACACATTTTTGGTGTCATTATTCCTTAATAGGTATAATACTAATATGCCAATTCAGAGGTAAGTAGTTAAAAACTAATCAACATAAGTTGTTTCACTACGTATTTTGTCACAAGAGGGAAAATTTGACTTGACAAGCTTACGAATTTTCCTGGAATGAGGGAGTGGTTTTGGGTGGCTCACCTATGCCAATATGCTAGTTTGTTGTGGGTAGTTCCTTTAAGAAGTCATTTGAATGAAATAACTGCTTATGATACCAACTCATTAAATCACGCTCCTGAATATAAATAAACCAGCAGGAAGGAAGTAAAAGTAACACTTTTCAGTCCAACTGAAGAAAGATTTGGAGAGATAAGTGATGCAGACAAAATTCTTTGAGGAGAAAGCCTGTAAGCTTGTGATTGAATGGACAGACAGTTGACACCCACAGGCTCCCAAAATCCAGCTACTGCTGAAATTATCCATATGTTCTTTAAGATCTCAGTGATGGAGAAAGAAAACACAGCCCCAGTGATTTTCTTACTCAACTAAAATATTGACGACATCTTTTTTCAGGTCATGGTTCTGGCATCGGGGACAAAATTATTACATATTCATGAAGGTTAGTGAGGAGATTGAGTCATTTGAAAGTATATCACCTAAATCCTTAAAGACGGATAGTTTCATTTGTGTTGAATTATGAGATATAGTGGGGGTGGGGGGTAGAGACAATCCTGGAGTCTGATGACCCAATTTGTAGTCCCAACTCTGTGATCAACCAAAAGACTGAACAAGTCACCAAGTCTCTTTCCTTTCCTCATCTGTAAAATGGGTAAAGCAATAAACATCTCAAAATGTAGACTTTGAAACTTAAACTCAGTAATCTAAAACGGCCCTTAGTAAGCTGTTTAACAAAAGAAAACCATATTGTACGAATTCTTTAACACCGAGCTTGTTACCTACCAGGCGTCTCATGCACTGGGTATGCAAAATGATAAAGCAGCTTCAAAATACCAGCCATGCCTCAATTTATTTCAGAATAGAGTCAGAAGACCAGTTGCATCATCTGGAGCTGTACGATATCAATGAGTTTTTTCTGCTCCATCTTGCCGTCTATAAAGACAGCTGCCACCTGCAGGATCAGGCCCTGACCTTCTGCTCTGTGAAGGGCCAGTTGATATTGGAAGGAACTGTATAATGCACACTTCCTAATGATGCTGCAGCCATCTCAGTCCTGACCCAGAGAATCCAATCTGAAATTAGTAGGCATCTAATTGCTTTTTAATTTAAAGCAATTAGAAAGAAGGGCATCACCAAACACCATTTGTGAAGAAAGTATCACAACGAGAATGACTAAAGAAGCATAGGTTCGGCATCTGTGAGTTGCAAATGTATGTCTGAGCATAACTAGAACTAAAATGTCTGCAAATCAGTGAGTTGAACAGGAAAGTTATTATGTTTGCCTGCAGTAGTGTGTGACCATAATTATAATTGTTTCATTTTAAAAAATGAGTCCTTTGAGTTTTCTTTTTAGTGACTTCTTACTTCATTGCGACCCTTACAGTTGCACTGAAACTTGGAATACAAAAGCCATCCACTAGGTCTTGAAACCAAGAGAAGGGGCAATGTGGCGGATTTGCAATTTAAAATAAAAAGAAATTATGCATTATTTCCTCCTCCCTCCCTCACTCTCTCCCTTCATCCCTCTCTCCTTCCTTCCCTCCTTCCTCCCCCAACTTCCATTTTTCTTCCTTCCTTTTCTTTCTTTCTTTTCTTTCTTTCTTTTCTTTCTTTCTTTCTTTCTTTCTCTCTTCTTGCATTCAATAAATATTTATCCACTCCTTACACGCCATGCTTATGGGAATATAGAAATGAAACAGAACTATCATATTTCTAAATATAACACAAAACCATAAGAAAAGAGAAGCACCAAATTTATTACGTGTTTTTCAGAAGCTTTCAGAAATCCTTTCTATGATATATATCAAGGAAAATATACAAGAGTGCAGGGAATAGTGGAATCTGGGGCTTTTCCTAAACTGGCAAAGAAAGTGACTTAATTCAGGGTCAGTACATATTTAAATCCCACAATTTGAAAAACATCTGTTCCCTAGATAATAGGAAATAAAATCAAGAAATTGGTTCAGCGGTTGGTGTATGGGATATGGGAGTAGATATGCTGAAAAGAACATAATATCCCATACTATCTATAACTTTTAGGGCACTGACTGTTTAAATTTGCACGCACATTGTAGAATTGGAGTTTGAATTGGGTTCCATTTTTCATAAGTGAAAAGCTGTCTAGCAGGGCATCCCAAACACTGTGCCAGACGCTCTGAAGGCTACAAGGATGAGTAGTGAGATGAAGGTGGAGACCACGTCCTAGAGGCTTATAGTCAAGAGACAGAGAGAAAAAGAGACAGAGGGGGAGAGAGAGAGAGAGATCATGCTAAATAAGGATAGATGGACAAGAAATATGGAGCAGAATGAGCAAAGGGGGAGCCTCAGAAGACAGAAATATTAATCCTGACAAATGATCAAAATCACTTAATAGCAAAGGTGGCCTCTAGGATGAATGTGGGAAGTTAAATTGGGATTTTAAAAGAGTTGGAAAGAAAAACAAGAAAACTCTGGTTTTAAGAAACAGCATAAGTCAAGACAAGAGGTGCTGGGCCTCCAAGATCTGCTCAGATATATGTGGCTGGAGTGCCAGACCGTTGGAGAGATAGGAGAGTCCCATTTGGAAGCAGAGATTTATTAGGGTTAGGACAGCTGAGTGCAGGTAGAGAGTAACTTAGATGAGGAATAAAGGCCAAAACTTTTGCCAGCTTTTCATAAGTGGGAGTTGAACAATGAGAACACATGGACACTTGGACAGACGGAGGGGAACATCACACACCTGGGCCTGCAGGGTGGTTGGGGGCTAGGGGAGGGAGAGCATTAGGACAAATACCCAATGCATGTGGGGCTTAAAACCTAGATAACGGGTTGATGGGTGCAGCAAACCACCATGGCACATGTATACCTATGTAACAAACCTGCACGTTCTGCACATGTATTCCAGAACTTAAAGTAAAAAAAAAAAAAAAAAATTAAAAAGAAAGAGCATAAGTCAAGACAAGAGGTGCTGGGCCTCCAGGATCTGCTCAGATATGTGTGGCTGGAGCACCAGACAGTTCGAGGGATAGGAGAGTCCCATTTGGAAGTAGAGATTTATTAGGGTTAGGACAGCTGAGTACAGGTACAGAGTAATTTAGATGAGGAGCAAAGGTTAATTTTGCTGGCTGCGATCAGCCCTCTCTGTGGATGGCTGAGCATGGTTGTCCTCTGGTCTAGCCAGCTGCAAATGCCAGTGCACTAAGGAATCCTTAGTGCTACCTGGGATGAACCATGCTTTTGCTTCATGTGCACAACATCCTGAGACTGTTCCTGAAAGGCCATGGTCACTGGGAGTGATATGGAAACTCACATTGTGAAGGGTTTGACTTTACCATGGGTCCAGTCACTTGAGATAATAAGTATCTCATCAAAACATGTCAGCTCCTTAACATGTGCTATCCATTCCTCACACTGCTGGTATCACACGATTTCATGATATTTCTAGAATTGCAGCTCTGGGCAGCTGGTCACTGAGGACCGCAGCACTGCCAAAGCCATTGTTGCTTTTAATTAATCCAGGCTCCTCTCTACAGGATGGCAAAACTGTGCCCCTAGACAGCCAGTCTCCATCAGCATGGGCATCCCTCAGTCACAACAATGTGCTGCTGCATTGCCCCATCTTCTGGAAACGTTCACAATCCACATTGAAACAATGAAGAAATTACAATTGTTTCCATTCACCCACAGTTTAATGAGGATCGGGTGATAATGGTGGCAGTTGCGTGAAAATCTGAAACTTTTCCGTTACGGGAAAAGCTCCTACACATGAGTAATTACATCCCCACGCAGAGGCTTGCCCAAAAAGGAAATAATATATGTGTTTTGTTTTGTTTCTCCTTCTGCATCATAGAGGACTAAGGGAAGAAAGGGAGAAATAACATGCTGGCTAGGTATGAAAAAATAACGGATTGTGGTGGTAATAGGTGATTACGTCATGCATCACCATAGCAACTAAACATATAAAATAACAATTATGTTAGCAGAAGTTATTTGAAATAGCTTTCCTGATAGTTGATATACAACCCCAGTAAAAAGATGAGACAGATAAATAGAAAGATTTGTTCTTTCAATTGAGGTTTGATTCACTATTTCTCTGTTCTTGATTTTTCCCCATTATACTCTGAACTTCTTTAGAGGAAAGAAATATCCCTTTGTCTCTTTGACGGAATAAAAGCAATGCTTAAACCCTTCTCTCTACCTTTTTCTGTTTTGGAAGAGCTCTACCATTATTTACTTTACTCAAAAGGAAGCTGAGCACACAATTCAGCAGGTACAACATATGTAACAATAAGAAAAATACCATAGGGAAGTATTTCCCTGGAACAAAAAATAAAAGAAAAATAAAGAGTCAATAAAACCAGCTACAAAGTTCACTTTCACTTTGAAGACACAAAATGGAGGAGGCTTGAATCTTATTCCTTGTGTAAGTTACGTTGCATTTGTATTTAAAACCACACTATGGAAGAAATATAATCAGCTACATTTATCTTCTAGAATTGGAATATTTTTATTCAAATCTACCTTGCAAGTATCTTGCTACAAAGTCCTTTTAATTTTTAAAAAGGCATTCGGTGGCTTATAGCATTAAAGTATTCCTAATAATTCTGTGGCCCAGTAGGTAGGCTAGCTCTTTTCTTTCTTCCTTTCTTTCTTTCTTTCTTTCTCTTTCTTTCTTCTTTCTTTTCAAGAAATGTGGAAAACATTAGTGAAAATTGTGTTGGTCTGTACAATTTTATTCTGTTAAAGACAGGTTTTATGATACATTTAGCCTTTTAAATGACACTAATAGTCTCTGGAGACACACGATTTTTCCTCTGGTGCAACAATTAAGTCCATTTCAATGCTATTTAGAGAAGTTGAAACAATTCAGTTACTGTATGTCTGCTCCTAGGTATGTACTGTAAGCCCCAAAGAGAGCACCGAAAGTTACCTAAATAATAAAGTTTTAGCCAGCTTTAGACATGTACCAAACTATTTGCTTTTTCCATATTTCACTCCCTTCATTTTGTCTCATTTCTTACAGAAGGGGAGTAATAAGACCTTCTGAAGTGTGTGCTGGTCAGAGGAGTGACTCAGTAATGAGGATTATTAATCACAATTGGGTTCTTTTCTCCTCCCTCCCCAGAGCTGGAAATGTGTTTCCCACTAGAACCAAGTAAGGCTTATTTGATTTATTTATTTTATTTTTTTAATCAAGTAAGTTAGAATAAATATGTGTGTATAATTAGACATGCTTTTCAGGTGAAAGCATATTTTGGTAGTTGGAAGCCTCTGCAGAATATGTGTTTGTATGTTGCTCAATTATGAAGCTCAATTATAATCAAATTATTACCAACTGAGAAATAAGGAAGTCAGAGGAAGTAATTTAGTGAATTCCAGATCTACACATTTGGCTCAGCTCATGCTTTTAAGTAAAAGTTTAACCATTGGGAGAAAAGTTGAAGTCTAGGAATGTCTCCACTTCAGCAAAAGGTCCCCAGGTAATATCATTCACTCCTTTCAGACATCTGATCTGTTGAGATTGCCTTATTAGAAACATTGCTGGAAAAAGTGTGTGAGTTTTTTCTTTTAATGGGCACATGTTCTTTTGTTGTTCTGTGGGAAAAGAAATAGAGATACTTAATGAACCTGGAAACAATGATTGCGAGATTTTGCATTCTTGGAGGAATTGTTATCATTCATTTCCATCCTCTTGATATCTGATCTCTAAATCCGGAAGAGACTTCAAAAAGCTGCAAAAGAAAACAACCACCAACACAACCAAATCAATCAAACACAGGACATTCTATATAAGCCTGGTTTTAATCACAAATCAAATTGAGATCACGATAAACATATTTTTCTTACAGATACCACTTTTTCCCACAATATCCTCTAAAATTCATTAATATGATAATACTCAGAAAATGGTAGAGTATCTTGGTCACTGGTTCTTGCGAGGTCCAGAGCGGAACAGAAATACGAATTATCTTCATCGTTTATCCCCAGACAGCAAAAGGGCTGGAATGGAGTAGATATCCCTCCAGCCCATGGCAATCCTCATTCTTCTGAGGTCATGGTTCTTACATCAACTCCTCTTTCAGCGATTGTGGATGAAGTAGGGCTTGGTGTTCTGTGAGTCTCCTCCCATATGGTTATGTGACTCTACTGTGATTTTTATCCTGAATATGTTTATGTTCTATCTCTTGAAAAAGAGTACAGTATCCTTAGCGGTAAAGCTATAGTTGGCCTTCATTGATGACCACTGAACCTACCATGGTGTGTAAAAATTGTGTGCGTGACACAGGTCCTCCAAGGAATTGTGTATTAATTCTCACATTACAGTTGATGTAGACTTTTGCACACATATTAATAAAAAAAGAAGAGAACTAAAGAACTAGAGAAACTGGGTGAGCAAATATCTCACTGTGGAGGCAGGAACAAAAATTATTTTTGCAAATCAGAAGATAAATAGAATATATTTTTCATAGTAGTGAATGAGGGTTTTCTTCAATACTCAAATTAAACAAATTTGAAGATCCAGTGTGTATCTTTGTGATAAAAATTAAGAAAATTATAGAGTGAGTGTTAAATAAACAGTGATTTCTCCAGCAAGTTTTCTGGTTCAAAACTGTGTAATAGAAGACTCTATTGTTTTAAACAAGATAACTGTAAAGACAAAAGAAAGTGTCTTCAAAGAACTTTAAAGTAGTCAGAGAAGGTATTAGATTTTTAAGCACAATGCATTTTAAAGTAATTAATTTTTGTAAAATGCTTTCAAATTGTCCATGGAAATGCAATTTTTATGGTAAATGTAAAGTAGTAGGTTTGAAACTCATAATAGAATTTCGATACTGAAAGGCTAAATGTACACTTTCTCTTTCTTTCTCTTTATAATTGGACAAAGAGAAAGTTAGTTTGGTACCTAGACTAATGTATTATAAGAGCAGATAGAGATCAATACAATTTTCAAACTAAATAAGCTCTCACTGCTGTTTTTATTTCTCTCACCATTTAGGAAACAAAATGACTTCAATGCTTCTGTTCACATTTTTAATATGGCAAAGAGTCTCTAAACCCAACAGTGTTGTTAATATAATGATCATGGTGACCTGAATTTCTCCTGCATATTAGCATGTTAAAATATCATTTTGTATTTAGGTAATTTTACATCATTACCAAATGTCTCATCCCAAATATCTTAAAATTGACATTATTATCAAATTCACAAAATATTTGAATACATGTGATAAGCCAAGGACCATGTAAAATTCTGAAAATGAAAAATAAAGCACAGTATCTACAATCAAGGGGCCACAGGATTTGGCCAACACTAAGTTCAGTTTATCTGCTATTTCTAATAAAGGAAATATGGCCCAGTTGGAAAAACTTCATCATTCCCGAAATAAAAAGTTTTTATTGTTCATAATTGTATTTTATTATTTAGCTCAAATTTTAAGTTTAACCAAAAAGGATTAAGACAAGTTAAAAATTCAGAGGAATGTAATTAGAAAAAAGTCCTTCAAACAACAGGGATACATGTGTCATATCAAGAATAATCTACCTTTTTTTCCCACTTCCTACAATTTGAAGATAATATTTTCTCCTCCTAGTGAGGAGAGCATCGACATTGGAATAAACATGTCAGGGTTCAAATCCGACCACGCTCCTTAGCAGCTCGGTGACCTGAGGTCCATGCCTCCCTGTCTGACATGCCATTTTCTTTATGCCAAAAGTGGAGCCTCAAGCCTTCCTGGCAGGTTCTCTGGATACCAAAGAATGCAGAGCTTATAACTTGCTGGGCACTTACAAGGGAGTCACTTAGTGGTCATTAAAGATAACTGGATCGGTGTGATTCAGCTTATCTTTACAATGATGAAAATGTGATAGTTATTAACAAAGCAGCTGAGCATCTGTGGATATTTTACAATGAAAATAGTTGGAGGGTAGACCTGAAGCCTGCACTTCAGGAACAAGCTGCTTAAAGGTGACGTCATCTTTAAGCATTTCTTTTCAAATTTAAACAATTATAACAAGTTTTTGGGTTTCTGTTTTGTGTTTATTTAAATAAACAGTACCAGTTTGTTTTGAGGTATATCATGAAAGAAACGTGTTTGTTGTAATTAAACACACAGACTCCCTAGGTGCAGTTCAAGAATTCAGAATCTAATATTTTAGATTCAAATCCCAACTCCCTTGCTTCCTAGCTATGTTTCTTTGGATAAATAACTTAATTTCTGAGTCTCAGCATACTCACATAAAAACGGGGTGTCAACTGGGTTATTATCATGATTTAATAAGATAAAGCATGCAAAGTGCTTAGCACAGAGCTTGGCACAGATAAGTGGCCCATAACTGGCAGCTGTTGTAATATTGATGCTGCTACTTCTAATATTGATGATGATGGTTATGATGATGTTGCAAAGCAAACTTTCTGGAGGTAGAATGGCAAGCATATTATCTTTCTTTTAAATTATGGAAGCATTGCTCTTAAAACACTTGACTAGACCACAACTCTAGTATTTCAAAAGCTGAGGTTTCTCAGCCCTGCGCAGCATTGAAAACAACATTGAAGAAGTGCAAAGCTAGAAATATTTATTTCCATGTCCTTTAATGTTTAGCAATTATAATCAGAAAACTCCATACAGGCAAGTCTCTGCCTTGTAAATATTTTAGCTCTATTACTCTGGTATAGACTGCACTTGTAAAATAAGAAACCACGCTAAGTGTCTGCTTCTCAATTCATAAAGAAGACATGAAATTCTAAATATCTTACCAAGCCCAAAATAAGCCAAGCAAAGTGCTCTTATAATTCAAAATATAACAAAGAATAACGCAAAATATGCTCAAATCATCCTTAATTTGTGTCTTAAAATTTGATTGGGATAGCTGCACCATTTACAGCAAGGAAGCTTCTCAGATTGTGCATCCACGTATTTTGTAGCCATTGTCAATTTTGACATTTACCAGAAGGATTTCAAAATGCAAGTATGCAGATTCAATACACCACGGGTCCAGCCGCCTTCCTCAGGCACATGAGAACATGGAATACACACCAGTGCACATCCACGTGCCACTTCTGTTCCCTGACACCAGTGTTACAGGAGTCATGGGATTCCAGATGACCAGGATGTAGCATCAGCCTCATGCCTGACTTGAATCTCAAAACCACTCTCTGCCACTGTGCTTGAAGATCAGTGAAAATACTGCCTTGTGCTCACATTAGCCTTGTTCTAGCTCCAGGTGACCAGCCAACAAGCAAACCAACGCTTCAACAAAGATTGAAGTGAGAGGGGCTCCTGGCTCCTCACTTCCCCCTGACCACCCCAAGGGATGGGCCGAACATCAGTGGTCAGCCCTGGGGAGTGAGAACAGGTGGCCAGGGTGGGTTCAGAGTACCAGCTCCCTGTCTGGTGCAGCGTGAGGCAGGGAGGCTCATGGCTGCACTCCAGCCCACTCACTCCCAATCAAGGCAACTCCCTGTGTACCAAAATGACAAACTCCTGTCCTCCGCACCTGACCACCTGCCAGTGGCCCTCAAGAGATGTCAAAAATACAGGAGTCTGAAGAAGGTGTGGTCAACAACAGTGAAATTCAGCACAAGATTTTTGCTTGTGCGAGTTACTAGTTGCCTTAGTTTAAGGTATTTTAAAGAAGAGAACAAAAGAAAATAACATTTTTAAATCATGCCTTTGCACCCCAGGAATATATTTGCATTAATGCCGCCGATGTGTCCAGCACCATGCTCGTAACAGGAAACTCTGGTGAACCTGGCAGGTGGGGACCTGCCCTTGCGGAGGGTAAATCCTTGAGAGAAAGGCAGCATGTTAGACCGAATGATGTTCCCTGCCCCCCAGGAAATGAGATCCATGCCCTAACTCCTGGAGCCTGTGAATCTTTTCTTATATGGCAAAAAAGAACTTTGCAGGTGTGATTAAGTTAAGGCTCTTGAGATGGGGGTTTATCCTACATGATCCAGGTGGGCTCAGTGTCGTCACAAGTGCCCTTGTACAAGAGGCAGAGGATATTTAACTACAGAAGAGGAGGAGGAGGCAATGCGACCCCAGAGGCAGAGACTGGAGAGATGGGATCATGAGCCAAGGAACACCTGGGTCCACCAGAAGCTGGAAGAGACAGGAACAGATTCTCCCCCTTGAGTTTGAGGATTGACACTGATTTAGAACCTCTGGCTTCCAGAACTGGAAGATAACCAACTTTTATTTTTTTAAGCCACTAAGCGTGAGGTCATTTGTTACGGCAGCTCTAATACAGACAGAATTTTACAAGTATTAATGATCAATTCCTTGAAGCAGACAAGCGAGGTGTGGTGAGAGAGAGTAACGAGGACAGTGCAGGAGGAACAGTTTCCGGTTGTCAGGGAAGGCTGCTTCCATACCCAGATGACTGCTGCGCTTGGCTGCACAATGGATGTGAAGACGCTCAACCTCACCTCCTGCATTTGGGACCCACCATCCCCAGCTCTTAGGCCCCCTTCTCAGTGATCCCTGTCTTGGTATGTGGCACCAAAGCTGGAAGCCTAAGAGGCATCCCTCACCCCATCGGCCACTGTGTCCATTCACCCCCCTCACAGACCTCTCCACTCTGCCTGCTTCCTTTATCTTCTCTGGCACAACTCTCATTCGGGCTCACCTGAATGACCGTATTGGACTCCTAATTGCTATCCCAGCCTGCAGCTTACCCCTCTTTAGCCCAGTCAGCCTTCTTGTAAGAACCCTAATCTGATCCTCTGCTCTGATAGCCCGTGGTGACTTCCCACTGCCATGAAGATCTCGACCGGCAGGTTGAGCAGGGTCTACAAAGCCTGTCATCCTCCTCCTGGCAGGCTGTGAGCCTGAATAGTGAAGTCTGTTGAGTTCCTCTCATCTACTATGCCCTTTTGTCACTGGGCCTTCATGTATTCTATTTTTTTGCTGTTGGAAATACTTCTCCCATTCTCCCTAAATTAACCTTTAAGGCTCCACTGACGTATTATTTTCCAAAAACAAAACAAAACAAAAAACAAAAACTTGGCCCTATACCTTCAGTCCCACATCTTTGAGCCTCATGTTCCCTTCCCCTCTCACCAAATCATGTAACCATTATTTTGTTTAATGACTATCTTACTACCCCACTGTAACCTCCATGAGGGCAGGAAGCTGTGGGTTCCAACTCATTATGCTTTCTTTAGTAGGATTAGAAAGGGATGGAGATGGATCCCATGAACCAGATATTCTTAGGGACCGTGTTGATGTGTAAACATTTTTGTTCATGATTGCATTGACTAAGAGGCAATCATGCATCTTTATAAGATTGGAGAATAAGACTACGAACCTCTGGTTTAGGGGTACCAGGCAACAGGCAAATGCCAGAAAGACAGGTTCACATCCGTCCTGTTACAGAAAACATGCTACCCAGTAGCTCTCCGGAAGCCAGCACCTGAATCAACCTCTCAGCCATGATCACCCATGACATTCCAGGTGAGAAACGTGTCACAAGAAATGTTTCATCACAGTGAAGCAACAGAGTTTGCAATTGACTCCTCAAAAGCATAATAAACTAGGGAAGATTTCAGGTTTTCTCCAGGGTGAGAGCAACTTCATTCTCCTGCATTCTGACTTGCTTTCACTGAGAACAATGGAGAGGCTGGAGTTATAGTCAGAATTCAGGAACTGGCTGTCATGGGTGGCCTCATTGCTCTACATGCAGCCTGTGATAAATACAGTAATTGCCACACCACTGATATCTGTGGCAGTTATAAATACTGCAGTGCTTTCCTCTCCTGCAAACTCAGGGCATGGAGGAGGGCACTGGGCTTCCACATGGCATCAAAAATGTGTGTCTGTAGAAGAAAGGCTCACCTCACTGCTCTACATCAGGCGTGGGCAAATATTTTCAGCAAAGGGACAGATAGTAAGTATTTTATGCTTTGTGGGCCATATAGCTTCATGTTGCAACTACTGAACTCTGCCATGGTAGTGTGAAAGCAGTCACAGACCATGTGGAAGAGAGTAAGCGTGACTGTGTCCCACTACACTGTTACAACACTGACATGTGAATTTCACTTAACTTTCACATGCTGTGAAATAGCATTCACTTTTTAATCTTTTTTTTTTCAGTTACTATAAAATGTTAAAAACATACTTAGCTCACAGACCACTCACAGTCAGGTTGTGCCTGGATATGGCCTATGGGGCAGAGCTTGCGGGGACTTGCTCTGGTCCATAAGAAAATCAAAGGAATTCATGGTAGATTAGGACTTGCAACAAACATGAAAATGATCAAACAAACATATGCAAATGGCCACATATTTTGGAAATGTCAAGGATAAAAATGTTGCATATAAGAAACATGTTATTTAAAAACACAAGACTTGTAAACAGTTTAAAGTAACGGAAAATGCAGCAGAAAGTCTAAAAAGCATAATAAATTTCTCATATTGAATAAAGAAAGAAAATTTTCACCATTTAAAATACGTATTAGACTAATGTAATATTTATTTTAAAAGTTTCGAATAACTAGTGGTAACATTTTAAACGTGACATCTACTTTCCAAATCACAAAAGAAAAACAAAGAATAAAGTGAAGAAAATGAGGTCTCTATTTCCAAAATCAAGAAAACAGCAATAATCAAGGAAATAATTCTTCAAAAGTGTAGTATTGAAAGAAGAGAGGACTAAGACCCAATATTCTCACGCATTTCTTAAACACAAAGTGATCTTTAAGTCATAGCAACTACAACTTATTTAGAAAACACAATGAAACTGGAAACTAATAATAAGAATCTCAGGGAAAATTTCTTTCTATACATTTACAAATGGTATTATAAAGTATTGTGTAGCCAAAGAGGAAATTAAAAGTGTAAGTATAGAAAAAATAAAACGTGAATATGACAAATTGAGATCTACATAACTAAGCCACACCCACAAGGAAATGCATTACTTTTGGCATGCTACGTCGATAGAAAACATAGTCTTCAAGCCACACCCACAAGGAAATGCATTGCTACGTCGATAGAAAACACAGAGTATTCAAGTATTCAGAAAATAACTTCAAAACTTTCTAATTTAAAGAAAACAGAAGGAAAAATATAATGAAGTAGAAAGCAATAAATCAGAAAATCACAATCTAGAGTGGATGAATGAATTCACAAAGCAAATCTTTGAAGGAAAATTTGAAACACATTATGAGGGAAAAAGAGGGACTGGAGGGCCTTGGCCCACAGGAGTGACTCTGTCAGGTGCAGCGAGAGGAAGCCATGCTGAGGCCCATCTGCAGCCGCTAGCCCTCACCATGGCTACCCAATTCACGAGCCCGTTGGGCAGCTGCTGGTGGATGAGGAAGGCGTGTGGCTTCTGTCCACTGGTAGGATCATCTTGTCCACTGCTTATTCAATGGCCCCTCTGAGCTGGATGCTTTCCGGTGGATGTGGTGTAAGATGCAAAGATATGCACACTTTGCACTCATTTCTGCAGATCTGTACACGTGCCTCCAGCCCAGACCTCTTCATCTTTAATCCTCCAGCTTTGCTCTTTCCAGCTAAGCTCTTTGTCACTTCCCAAGTATCCATTTATGTACTTACGTCAAGTCTCTGCCATTCCATCCAGAAGCCACTTGGAAATGAACTTGGGCCAGGGCGGGCCCTGCATATCTCCTGACCTCTGTGAGTCCCCATTTCACAGGGAGTGGGGCAGGATAGTGCTTTGGGTTCTCTGGTATCAGCGTCTATTAAACTCTGTATCTAATATCTCTCAATAGATCTGGGTATTGTCCTTCCGCCTAGAGTACTAGTTACTCTAGGAAATGACCACAAGTCCCATTGGATGAAAACAGTGGAAGCCACGACTGTGTATAACTAGGGTAACACTGCACAGCCTTTGCAAGGAGCCCTGCCTCTCCCATCATCAATGGGCGTTATCTGGAAACTGGAGGAGGGCTCATGATTTTATCCCAACTGACAAAGGAATTCTGCTGGCCTACCTTTTAAAGTCACTCCTGGAAATGTAAATCAAGCAATATCCTCATTGGCTTCCTATCTGTCTCTGCCCTAGAAGTCCCAGGGTCTACTAGCCAGGCCCAGAGCCCCATGGGTCCAGGCCCGGATGACACTTAGGCCATGCTGCTCTGTGCAGTAATGACATTGGTGTTCCCTCTCACCTTCAGCGGCTGGCCCCTGACACTCTGAAATCTTATCATCCTTTTTAACACTCAGGAGACCTGTTCCAAAGTAACATTTCTTATGTCAGCCCTATTTGCCTGAAGACAGCCCACAGCTGGGCTTTTCACGGCTAGTGGCCCTCCCTGGGGCATTTCTCGCAGTGCTAACAGAAGGAGTGCCTCCTACACCGACCGCAGGAAACATAGTTGGCCAGTGGATTTTCTGTTCTCATAAAATCAATGTATTTTAAGATGCCATCTTTTTCAACTTGCTTACTGTAGTCCAGGGCTCTGTTGACACTTCGGGCTGGGTAATTCTTTGTTGAGGGGTCCTGTCCTGTGCATTGTGGGGTATTTAGCAGCACCCTTGGTTTTTATTCACTTGATGCCAGTAGCACTTTCCCTCACTGTGACAGCCCAGAATGTCCCCAGATATTGCCAAATGTTCACTGCGGGACAAAACAACCGAACTTGAGGGCCAATGCTAATGTAAATAATCATGTAAATAATCATGTAAATAATCACGTAAATAATAATCATGTAAATAATCATGTAAATAATAATCATGTAAATAATCATGTAAATAATCATGTAAATAATCATGTAAATAATAATCATGTAAATAATCATGTAAATAATCATGTAAATAATCACGTAAATAATAATCATGTAAATAATCATGTAAATAATCATGTAAATAATAATCATGTAAATAATCATGTAAATAATCATGGTTTCCAAGCTTAGCAGTGATTCTACTGAAATATTGGTTTGGCTGCAGATTTTCTTCTAAGATGTTAAATTCTGGGTCATGAGAAAGTGTTTCTAAATCAATGGCTTCGCCCTACCCAGCTGTATCTGCCACCCTCCCTGGTCTAG
The DNA here is from genome assembly GCF_000001405.40 of Homo sapiens. NCBI lineage: Eukaryota > Metazoa > Chordata > Mammalia > Primates > Hominidae > Homo > Homo sapiens. The sequence goes on from NC_000018.10 coordinate 75,988,352, forward strand.
CATATCCCATAACCATTCCTGGTCATACCTTCCCAGTTTCTGGAGGATGGTTCCTTTTAAAATGAGCCCTTCCTTCTGGAGCCGATGCAGCGTTTCCCTGCTTTAGCTGTGCTGAGATTTGATCTTGTTATTGGTCTGGAAGCACTGAGAGGGGAGGCGCCAATGTTAAGGGGGGCAGACAGCATCTGTCTTGCAAGTCCTCCAGCCCAGGGTGAGTCTGCATGGTCTCCAGGTGATGGGAGGGGGCCATCGGTTCTGCCAGATAGTGCTCAGGGAAATCGAGGGCTTAAACTCTGAAGACCATCTTCCCAGTGTCCCAGGCCAGGTATCTGGGTCTTACCACTTCTGTGACTTCAGTGTAGGAGAATTGCCGGGGAAGCAAATTCAGCCCTTCTCTGAAATGCTACCACTCCTGAAATCATATTTTGGGCTTCAGTTTTAGTAAAGTTTGCCTTTGGGCTACAAGAGAAGAGATCTTCTTAAAAATGCTTCCAGGTAGGCCTTCTCGCTTTTACGATGTTATTTTTTATTTCACAGATTCCATAGTCTTCATCAACAATCACCCATTTCCTTGATGTTCATGCTGATGTGTGAGCCAGTCCCTCCCTGCACTCAGCCTGGTCCAGGTCAGGTGAGAGCCCTAGTCATCGTGATGCCGCAACGGGGCCCAAGTTGTCACTATCTTCTCTCCACCAGTAAAGGTTCCCATCCCATGACCCAATTCTGAGCCTCTGCTTCCTAGAACTACTTCTGGTTCCACCTCTCTTAAGTTTCCTTCTCCAGAAGCAGACCCTGAGAAAAAAAAAACAAAAAACAAAAGATGGAGCGAATGTAGCTTATGGAGGAGGTGGTTTCAGGAAGGAAAGTGAGACAGAGAAGGGAAGGCAGCCAGGGAAAGTGTCATCAATAAGCACGTTTCTGCTATGGGCGACCAGTGCTCAGCTGTGCTAGAAACCCCTGGGAGGGGTTGAGAACACGTTCCAGAGCCTTGCATGGGGGATGAGGAGTCTTCTTCTTTACTCTCCAGTTCCCAGACATCGTTGAATGAGAGCTGCTCCCACAGGTGCCGGCTCCCAACACATGAATCCTGCCCTGTGTGCAGACAGAGTGTGCCATAGAAAGCCCTCAGGTGGGAGCTTCAGCAGGACGCAGTCTGCATGCCCAGAACTCAGAGTGCCATGGGCATAGGGGTGGGTATTGTAGACACTGATGGCACCTGCTGCTGGAGAGAGGAAGGGAACTCCCACTGCATAGCCTAACTGGGGGAAGGCTTGTGGGGTTTTGTTTCTTACTCCCTTTCTTCATTAACTTTGCTTTGGCTTCCTTTTAGGATCTAACCTCTTCACGATGTGTGCAGTCCTGGTGGATCTCACTAGTCAGTTGCCCTGCCCACCCATCCCTCAAGAGCAAGCCATGGGACCCAAGCGAGGCCAATGGAACCCTCTCCTAGTGGGTTGGATCTTGAACAAAATGTGCAAGGATTTAAAAAAATGGCTGGGCCTCATTTGTTTTAATAGTAGTTTCTTAATCCAGTCTATCATTGTTGGACATTTGGGTTGGTTCCAAGTCTTTGCTATTGTAAGTAGTGTCACAATAAACATACATGTGCATGTGTCTTTATAGCAGCATGATTTATATTCCTTTGGGTATATACCCAGTAATGGGATGGCTGGGTCAAATGGATACACCATGGAATACTATGCAGCCATAAAAAATGATGAGTTCATGTCCTTTGTAGGGACATGGATGAAGCTGGAAACCATCATTCTCAGCAAACTATCGCAAGGACAAAAAACCAAACACTGCATCTTCTCACTCATAGGTGGGAATTGAACAATGAGAACACTTGGACACAGGAAGGGATACATCACACACCGGGGCCTGTTGTGGGGTGGGGGGAGGAGGGAGGGAAAGCATTAGGAGATACACCTAATGTAAATGATGAGTTAACAGGTGTAGCACACCAACATGGCACATGTATACATATGTAACAAACCTGCACGTTGTGCACATGTACCCTAGAACTTAAAGTATAATAAAAAAAAAGATATATATATTTTAAAAAGTAGCTTCTTGACATGACCATTGACGGGTTCTTGCTACTCCAACCCTAGACGATGCCCTGAGTCCTATTCCTTATGAGAATGTTTCTCCAGTCTTTCTTTCATTACTATGAGCTGCATAATATCCTTTCAGTGAAACCATTTGCTGCTTCAGTTGGTCATAACACACTTCTGTTGCTCAAAACCAAATAAGCCTAATTGATAAGGTGGGCATAGTGCTTGGACTTTCCCAAAGAGAACTGAGTTTCAGAGTATATAGAGGATTGCATAAAAGTAATACAACTAATAAGTGACAGAAACAACACTTCAATTCCAAATGTGGTGTTCTTTTTATTAGAACAGCATCCCTCTCTCCTATGTATTTTTATTCCTAAAATCACTCCTGAAACTTTCCCTCAGCTATAGGCAACATGACTATAAAAGTTTGGTGTAGGTCAGACCTACATTACTTAAACAGATGGAAAGCTGTTTAAAGCATGAGTCCTGTTCTATGTTTCTTTCTATACCCATCCCCTACTCCAAAGTACATTGTTTTGTATATAGTGGTCAGTTAGATATATTTGCTGATCAATTATCCAAAAGACAAGTGAACGTTTGAGAAGTGCATAGCTCACACGTCTCTCCACAGGTGTCTTTTGCCAGTTCTTAGGCATTTCCGGTGTGTCTCTAAACCAGTTTTCCCCCCTCAATGGCTCCTGTCCCTTCAAACATCCTTCCAGGAAGCATTCTGCGGCTGTTCTAGATTCGTACACACCCGAACTTGCCCACTTTATGTTGCAGGTCTGTCTGGTCACTCCTGCCTAGCCCTGGGTCCTTTAGGATTAGACACTTCATTGGAAGAACTATTGGTTCCCTGGAGTTGAGCTTCCTGGCTCCTGTTCTCCTGCCTTGACCTGGTGCAAGGGAATCATCCTCACCCTCATGAGAACTCAGGGCCTCTCTCTGCCTCCACACCAGGAGGGAATTCAGACAGTGAGGGGGACTTTTAGAGCTCTCTCATACAAAGCTTCCAACAACATTTCATTGTTAGATAAACTATTGACATTTGACATTTGTTCTTGATGTTGACACATTGTGTCACTTTCTTCAGAAACTTGTCCCAGTAATTTATCTTTTTGAAATATCTAGCTTTTCTCAATTATAAGGAGGCATAGTTTCATATCATAACCTCATTTCTCAGCCTTTTCAGTACCCTCTCTGCAGATGTGTATTTTCTAAACCCTCATATGGTTAAATTAAATCATGAACTCCATAGAGTTAAGAGATTTATTCAGTTTTGGGTCCCTGGAGTTCAGCAAAGCACCTAATACATAGTGAGTACTTCCTAAGTGTTTGCTGATCGAATGAATGAATTAATACATCCGGGATAACTAGTATATGCGCATACTGCATTTCTAAGTAAATACATACCTTATTCTACATAAAACATTCATGTCCATAGTGATCTCTACTCTATTTCAAGCTAAGATGTGACCTTTTCTTTAAATTATATGAACGCGATGGTGAACTTGTGATGAGATAGTTTGCAGTTTCAGTTCTATTAATTACAGCTACCAGTTCAGCCCCAGAGTACGTTGTTTTTCACAGAAGGGGTGGAAATCAGGGTGGAGGAGGCTGCATATTGAAACCCAGGGTCTTTGTGGCCTCAGCAGGGTGCAAGTTTGGGATTGCAATGTGACTCTTCCATTCTAATCATCCATTTTCCCTAGGCCAGTTGCCATCCGTTGGCTATGGAGTGAATTCTAAATTTTCCCTTCCTTCTGTTGGCACATGACATACTATATTTAATTCCCAAAAGAGGACATCTGTATCTAAGTTGAAATGAAAGAGAAGGTTGAATTCAAAGGTTGCATGTTTTTTTTGTAAAGATCACTAAATAATAGGAGATGAACATGCTGCATGTCTGAAATACATTCCCAAGAAGTGGAAAGATAAATCTATTTTCTTTTCAAACTTGGTTTCCATTTGATTTAACTGAAATCACTGCCATTGACTATCTTCCTACAAGTCAACTTCATTCTCTCAGAAATGGACAATGATGTAAAAATTTTAACCTGATATTCAAACCTAATTCAAGAGAGTCCAAATCAAAATATACAATAATAGTTATCTCCAATTTCAGAGCTCCTTTGTCCTGCTTTTCCCCCTCAAACTCAGGATACGTTAATTTATTGTTATTAGTCTCCGTTGAAGCTCGTCTGTCACATCGTGGAGGTAATAATGGGCTGTTTAGTATTCTCTGCATAAGGTACTCCAGGCCTTGAATGACAACACTGGCCATTTCTTTGTATGAAAAACCCTATGATAATGTTGGGTATCATGAATATTTAACTTGAGATATCTGTTTGTGAACGTGTGTGTATCTGCATGAGCATGTGTTTGCCAGAGTATGATATCCACAGTGAAATGATCCCTAACCAAAAGTGGGTGAAAAAACAACTAATGTAAATTCCAAACACCGCAGGACATCAGGATCAGTGTTCTGGGATATGATTAGCTTCCGAGTTGTGGAACTCTGTGAAACAAAGATAGATCTCGGTGGAACTTAACATACAGGGGGAGAAAGGCAGAAATGGAGAGGGAAAAACAGAGTCAAAATGAAACAATAGAGCAAGTAAATATGAGCTGAAATCATTAGTGTCAATTACTCTCATTCAACTCATATGTGACCAAATATAAAAATGGTTTTGGGATTGAGTTGCTGAAAAATTCAACAGATAGAAAGAATTGGGGCATATTAATGTCCTTCTGGAAGGCTTAATTTGGGGTGTGGGGAAATACAGTTTTATGCTTCATATTTTTTGTCACTCTGATGAGCAGCACTTTCTAGTGAGAAAGAATGAAAATGACAACAAATGGATTCTGTGGAGGAGCAGACAAAAGCAGCACGAGACACTCTCTAAAATGAGTCCTTTCTAGTTAAAAGCAGAGGGAAAAAGCTGCTCTTGTAATATCTGATTAAAAGGACAGTGTAAACACTTAGTAAACAGGAAGAAAAGGTTCATTGTGCGAAATGGGGCTACTAGAGGAGAGCTGGAAAAATTTTCATGACGTGCACTGCATTCTGGCAGCCATGGGAAATGGGTAGAGAGTTTTATGTGTGTGCCAGACCTGAGCCCAGGCACAGGCAGAATTGTGCCAGTATCACCCCAGCGCTACGTTCCATAAAGAGGTGGGCTACAGGGCCAGAGGGCTGATGTGGGCCAGCTCCCCACTGCCTGTCACCACTCTGTGACCTTGGGCAGGTTTCTGAACCTTCCAAAACTTTTTGGTAAGATGTGAAGATTAAATGGGATAATGTATACAAAACATCTAATAGCAATTTATAGGTATTATTATTATTATCATTCATACTATTTCTAGCAAAATGAATAAAGTGCAAGGAACTTCACCAATTCATCAGTGTCTTGTTCCGTCTCCCAGGGCACCCTGAACTGGAGTCAGGACTCAGAGCTGTCAGCTGATGGAAGCACAGACCGTTGTCATTTCTTCTGTAGTAAGGCAATACTCAATGTGCTGAGTGTTGTGGTTCTCTCTCTACCCACCACTAAGTATTTCTCAAGGGTTCAGATAGAGCCCTTTTCCCTCCTCTCTTTCTGCTGTCCCATTGTAACTGCCTTGGCTACTATTCCAAACTCGCCAATGACACCCTCCATCCTGAGCCTGTCCTCAGACTCTCTTCTGCACACACTTCCCCTGATCTTGTCAAAACGCTGACATGGATGCCAAAGAGGCATTTCCACTCAGCCCAACCAAAAGTGCTCAAAAATATTTCTCCCTCCACCCACATACTCACTTTCTGTTGTTTCCCATTCTGTCTATGGTTAACCATCCCCCCAGTCTCCCAGGCCAGACACGACAGTGTCATCACAGCCCCCTCCCCTCCCAGGCGTGTTCAGACAGTCCCTGAGCTGGTGGGTTCCACCCTAGATGCTCCTCATCACTCCTGGGGGGCTGCACCAGCCCCGTCTCCTGCAGCCCCTCACCTGGAGAGCTGCATCACTTTCTAGTGCCTCTTCCCCACTCACTGCCCCGGTCCCTTCGTGGCTGTTTCACTCATCGCTGTTAAAATACAAATATGGCCTTTATGTCTCTTCTACAACAATCTCCAGTGGTGTCCCATTGCTCTAGAACAAAATCCTGACCCCTCCGGTTGGCACTCAATGCCTTCACGGCCTGGTCACATATGGCCTTTGCAGCCTCACAGGAATGAGAAGACTCCGTGCCCCTCCCCAAGCCACTCCACACACAGGCGGGAATAAAGACCAGGAAACATGTATTCAGTCAACACATTTAGCCATGAAAGTATGTGAGGTCATCCAACAAGAGGACAGACCGGGAGTTCATACCTGCTGGGCTAGAAACTGGAAAGCTGGTGAGAATTTCTAGGACCAGACTGAGAATGAAGAGATGTTATCCATCCCTGGCGCCCAAACACCCTGAGGAAGCTGTTTCTCCTGTGGTTAGACCTTGATTTCTTCTCCTCCAGCCTAAACGTATGGAATTTAATGATCTTATTAAGGACACTGTTGGTTTAGTATTTAAGGAAAATGAGCTGGTAGCAAAATATAAGCAGGGCACGACAAGGTGAACGAGAAGGGAGGGAGTTCAGGAAGGAACGGAGGTTTGCGCTGGTAAAGCAGAAGCCGGGGAAGCTGAGAGCCCGAGGAGCCTCGCTGGTTGGGAGGGGGCCAGGAGGAAACAGCCGAGAACACAGACCCCGGATCGGCATTCCAGGAAAAGAGGTCGATACAGGAGTCATGGGTTACATGAATGGAGAAGAGATGCTCTGAAATCAGGAGGCAGAGGACAAGAGGGGCAGGTGGACAGGCAGGAGCTTGTGGGAAAGTCTGATTTGCTAGGTGCGTCCTCCAGGCGAAGAAGTCGAGAAGTCCTTACCACCTGGGAAGTCACCTTGGTGGTCTGCCTGGTGTGTGGCTTGGGGTCACTGTTGGTCTGCTGGGCACAGCACAGGAAACAAGTGAGGACAAGCTGAGACCCTCTGGAACCCTTGCGTCTGTTCAACATTGAATTAACACCTGTAGGTCCTTTTTAAAACTTTTTATTTTGAAATAATTATAGATCTATAAGAAGTTACAAAAATAGTACAAGAAGGTCTCCTGAACCTTTCACCTAGCTTCCCCCAATGGCTGCAGCTTATGAACTATGGTACAATATCCACACCAGGAAACTGACACTCTTGCAATGTTTGTGTAGGTCTATGTCACTGTATCACATGCAGACTTGAGTGATCTCCACCGTAAACAAGACACAGAATGGTTCTGTCACCATGAAGATCTTTACAGGCACATCCACCTGCAACTCGCATGATTCTTAAAGCCAGGAAATCACCAATCTTCCTCTATCTCTAAAATTTTGTTATTTCAAGGATATTGTATAAATGGAATCATATACTATGTAACCCTTAGGACTGACTTCCGTCACTCAGCCATATTCCCTGGAGATTCCTCTGAGCTGCTTGTGCATCAAGAGTTTTTCCTTCTTAGTGCTGAATAGTGTTCCATGGCACTGATGTACCGTGATCTGTGTAACCATTCACACATTGAAGGACATTTTGCTCGTCTCCAGATTTTGGCAACTGCGAATAAAAAGGCTACCAACAATTGTGTACCAGTTTTCTGGCAAGCTCTCACTTTTCTGATATAAATGCCCAGGTGTGTGACTGCTTGGTCATAGGATATTTGTATGCTTTGTTATTGTTGTTGTTGTTGTTCAAGAATTTTCCAAGTGATTTTGCAAAGGGTCAGAATCGTTTCATATTTTCACCAACAACGTATGAATGACTGAGTTTCTCTGTGCCACCGATAGCATTTGGTGTTGTCACTAGTTTTTATTTTGGCTATTCTAATAGGTGTTTTGTGATATCTCCTGTGACCTTAATTTGCATTTTTTAAGGTTAGTGATGTTGAACTTTTTATGTGCTTTTTTTCTATCTGTATGTCTTTTTCAGTGAAAGATCTCTTCATGTTATTTCCTATTTTCTAATTGGATCATTTTGTTTTTTACTGTTGAGCTCAGAGAGATCTTTACAAATTCTAAATATGAGTCCTTTAACTGATATATGTTTTGCAAATATTATCCCTTGGTTTGTAGCTGTCTTTCCATCCTTTTAATGGAGTCTTTCACAGAGCAAAATTTTTGTTTTGATAAAGTTCAATTCATGGATCTTTTTCTTTTATGAATTGAGCTTTTGATACCACATCTGAGTACTCTTCATCAAGCCCAAGTTCTGAATTTTTTTTCCTGTGTTTTATTCTGAAAAACTATACTTTGGTGTTTTACATTTAAACCATTTTTAGTTACCTTTTGTATAAAATGTGTGGTTTAGGTTAAGATTTATTTTTTGTTTAAAAGACTATCTGTCTTCCATTGAATTATTTTAGTACCTCTGAAAAATCAGTTGGCTGTTCCTGTGTGAGGCTGTTACTGGTCCATTTTTCTATTTCGTTTATCTTTGTGTGTATCCCCATCCCTGCCAGTCCCATAGTCTCAATGCTACGTAATAAACCTGGAAACAGGGCAGAGTGAATATTCCTCCCACTTCATTATTCTCTTTCAAAATTTGTTTAGCTATTCTTAGGATTGTGCTTTCCCATGTAAATTTTAGAATAATCTTTTTTGAATTTATAAAAAATTTGCTAGAATTTTGATAGGAATTGTGTTCAGTGTTTGTAGCAATTTTGGGAAAATTGTTATGTTGAGTCTTCCAGTTCATGAGCAAAGATCCTCTCTTCATTTGTTTAGATTGTCTCTGATTTCTTTCATCAGCATTTTGTAATTTTCAGCACACAAATTCTATACATGCTCTGTTAGAGTTACACCTAGGTACTTGATCTTTTTGTAGCTATTACAATGGTACTATATTTGCAGTTTCGGTTTCTCTCTCTTCCTTATTAGTTTGTAGAGATACAATTCATTTTTGTGTGCTGATTTAGTATCTTGTGAACATATTGATCTCATTTGTGGTAGGAAGCTTTTGTTTGCTGGTTGGTTTGTTTTTTAGATCCTTTGAGATTTTATACGTAGACAATCATGTGATCTACAAATAGGTGAATTTCTTTCTTTCTGATCAGTATGGATTCTCTTTACTTTTCTTTTCTTATTAGACACTATGATAGTAAGAATTTCCAGTATGATGTTGAATAGCAATGGTGAGAGTGAACATTCTCACCTAAATCTCAATTTTAGTGGAAAGCCATTTAGCATTTTAACATTAAGTTGATGCTAACTATAGCATTTTGTAGACAGGAAATTCTTTATCAAGTTGAGGAAACCACCCTCTATTCCTTACTGATAATTTTTGTCATTAATATGTGCTGAATTTTGTAAAGTGCGTGTTGAATTTTGTCAAGTGCGTGTTGAATTTTGTCAAAAGATTTTTTCTCCTAAATTGGTGTGATCATGTGATTTTTTTTCTTCTTTAGCTTGTGAATACAGTGGATTACACTGATTGATTTTTAAAAGTAGTAAACCAGTCTGGCATCCCTAGAATAAGAATTTACTTGTGGTATATCATTTTCTTTATATATTGCTGAACTCTATTGGGAAATATTTTAATAATGATGTTTCAGTCTATAAGATATGTGTATGAGGTCTGAAGCTTGCTAGTTTGATTTTTGTTAATTTTACTAATTTTTTTAAAAAACTAAGTTTATTTTATTTATTTTTACTCTCTGTTTTCAATTTCATTGATATATGTTCTTATCCTTATTTCTTTCCTCCTACTTGCTTTGGGTTTATTTTGCTCTTCTTTTCTAATTTCTTGATGTAGAAACTTAGACTATTAATTTGAGGCTATTTGTCTTTTTTAATGTATGGACTCAGTGCTATAAATTTTCCTCTAAACAATGCTTTAGCTGCACCCCACAGATTTTGTATTTGTGGATGTATTTTTATTTTTATTTAGTTCAACTTATTATTTATTTCCTTTGAGATTTCTTTGATTCACAGGCTATTTAAAGGTGCAATATTTTGTTTTCAAGTTTTTGGAGATTTTCCTTTATATTTCTGTTATTAGTTTCTGCTTTGATTCTGCTATGGTCAAAGGACACACTCAGCATGATTCCAGTTCTTTGAAATGATTGAAGTATGTTTAATGGTATCAGATATGGTCCACTTTTGTGAATGTTCAGTGGGAGAACAGAATGTATAATCTGTAGTTGTTTACTAATGTGTTCTTTAAGTGTTGATTAGATACTGTTGGGTAATGGTGTTGTTAAATTCTCCTATTTCTTGCTGATATTCTCTGTAGTTATTCTATTAATTATTGAGAAAGGTGTTTTGAAGTATCCATCTGTAATTATGAATTTTTCTTTCTCTCCTGTAACTTCAAGACCTTTCCTTTGTGTTTAGTTTTCAGAAGTTTGGCTATTATATGTCTTGGTATGGATTTTTTTAGGTTTACCTTGTTGGAGTTTTCTCAGCTTCTTGAATCTGTAGGTTTATGTATTTCACCAAATGGGAAGTTTTTAGCTTTGAACAGTTTTTCAGCCCTTCCCTTTTCTCTCCTTCTAGGCCTGTGATGATACAAATATTAGATCTTTTGCTTTAGTTCCCTAGGTCCTTTAGGTTCTGTTTGCCTTTAAAAAAAATATTTTATTTTTGTGGTTCAGAATGGATAATTCTTTCTTTTTTAACTTTTAAGTTTAGGGGTACATGTGCAGGTTTGTCACATAAGTAAACTTTTGTCATGGGGGTTTGTTGTACAGATTATTTCATCACCCAGGTATTAAGCCTAGTACCCATTAGTTATTTTTCCTGATCCTCTCCCTCCTCCTACCCTCCACCCTCGGATAGACACAGTGTGTGTTGTTTCCCTCTATGTGTCCATGTGTTCTTATCATTTAGCTCCAACTTACAAGCGAGAATATGCAGTATTTAGTTTTTCTGTTCCTGCATTAGTTTGCTAAGGATAATGGCCTCCAGCTCCAACCATGTCCCTGAAAATGACATGATTTCATTCTTTTTTATGGCTGAAAGTATTTCACCATGTATCTGTATCACATTTTCTTTATCCAGCCTGTCATTGATAGACATTTAGTTTGATTCCATGTTTTTGCCATTATCAATAGTGCTGCAATGAACTTATACATGCATGTGTCTTTATAACAGAACAATTTATATTCCTTTGGGTATATACCCAGTAATGGGATTGCTGGGTTGAATGGTTTTTCTGTCTCTAGGTCTTTGAAGAATCACCACACTATCTTCCACAATGGTTTAACTAATTTATACTCCCATTAACAGTGTATAAGCATTCCCTTTTCTTAACAACTTTGCCAGCGTCTATTACTGTTTTACTTTTGATAATAGCCATTCTGACTAGTGCGAGATGGTATCTCATTGTGGTTTTGATTTGCATTTATCTAATGATCAGTGATGTTGAGCTTTTTTTCATGATTGTTGGCTGCATTTATGTCTTATTTTGAAAAGTGTCTGTTCATGTCCTTTACCTGCTTTTTAATGGGATTGTTTTTTTCTTGTAAATTTGTCGAGTTCCTTATAGATGCTGGATATTAGACCTTTGTCCGATGCATAGTTTGCAGAAATTTTCTCCCATTCTGTACATTGTCTGTTTATTCCGTTGATAGTTTCTTTGGCCGTGCAGAAGCTCTTTAGTTCAATTAGATCTCATTTGTTAATTTTTGCCTTTGTTGCAAATTTGCTTTTGATGTCTTTGTCATGAAATCTTTGCCCATGCCTATGTCCTGAAAGGTATTGCCTAGGTTGTCCTCCAGGGTTTTTATAGTTTTGGGTTTTACATTTAAGTCTTTAATCCATCTTGAGTTTATTTTTGTGTATGATGTAAGGAAGAGGTCCAGTTTTAACCTTTTGCATATGGCTAGCCAGTTATCTCAGCACCGTTTATTGAATAGGAAGTTCTTTTCCCATTGCTTGTTTTTGTCAGGTTTGTTGAAGATGTGATAGTTGTAGGTACGTGGTCTTATTTCTGGTTATTTGTTCTGTTCCATTGGTCTATGTGTCTGTTTTTGTATCAGTCCCATGCTATTTTGTTACTGTAGCCCTGTAGTATAGTTTGAAGCAGGGTAGCATAGTGTCTTAAATGTTAATCTCAGTTGGTTTTAAAGGGAGAACAAGAATGTCAAGAGGAAAGAGATAAAGATAAAAGCAAAGATCAATAAGTCAGAAACCAAGAAAAAAAACTTGTACTTTCTTAGGTACATTCTAGCAAATTAAAAAAAATGCATAGACAAATTCTTGACAGATATAATCAAGATACTAAGAAATTAAATGCCATAACTATAGAAAATCAGTATTAAAGGAGTCCTTAATATAGATAAATATCTTTAAATATTAAGAATAATGTTTAAATTGCACATTAACAATGATAAAGTTTTTATAAAATGAATTGTTCTCCGGAAGAAAATTACTTAAGTTGACTTAAAAATAAAAAGAAAATTTTCAAACAGTAAAACTGAAATGATTACTAAATAAATAACTTCAAAACTGTCTCTAACTTCAGACTTTTTACCTATTTGCAGTAACAGGAAGTTCTTATGACTTTTGAAATGGAATTTTTAATTTCTTAGTCATTCACAGGTGCAGCAGATTCAAGAGTGAATGAAATTGATCCCCAGTTCTCAAGGAGCTTATATTCTGGCTAGAAGAAGTAAACATTGAACATATCAGAAAAGCTATAAACAGATCAAAAGATTGTAGAATGTCAGGGTTAAAGGCATCTTTTCCTCCAGATGCCTCTTTTTAAATAAAGACTGAAAGGATATTTCCTTAATATTAGGAATAGGTTTACATCGAAAAAGTAATCTACAAACTTAATGGGGGAAAACTGGAGGAAGTCCATTTAAAATGAGACACTGCCGGGAGGGAGGTGGGGGGGGTCAGCCCCCCGCCCGGCCAGCCGCCCCGTCCGGGAGGTGAGGGGCGCCTCTGCCCGGCCGCCCCTACTGGGAAGTGAGGAGCCCCTCTGCCCGGCCACCACCCCGTCTGGGAGGTGTACCCAACAGCTCATTGAGAACGGGCCATGATGACAATGGCGGTTTTGTGGAATAGAAAGGGGGGAAAGGGGGAAAAGATTGAGAAATCAGATGGTTGTCGTGTCTGTGTAGAAAGAGGTAGACATGGGAGACTTTTCATTTTGTTCTGTACTAAGAAAAATTCTTCTGCCTTGGGATCCTGTTGATCTGTGACCTTACCCCCAACCCTGTGCTCTCTGAAACATGTGCTGTGTCCACTCAGGGTTAAATGGATTAAGGGCGGTGCAAGATGTGCTTTGTTAAACAGATGCTTGAAGGCAGCATGCTCGTTAAGAGTCATCACCACTCCCTAATCTCAAGTACCCAGGGACACAAACACTGCGGAAGGCCGCAGGGTCCTCTGCCTAGGAAAACCAGAGACCTTTGTTCACTTGTTTATCTGCTGACCTTCCCTCCACTATTGTCCTGTGACCCTGCCAAATCCCCCTCTGCGAGAAACACCCAAGAATGATCAATTAAAAAAAAAAAAAAGAAAAAATAAATAAATAAAATGAGACACTGGACTAGAATGTCTGCTTATTTAACAGTGTTATGGAAATGTTGTTAATGGTTTAACACAATGAAAAGAAAGATATAATGATGTATAACTAGCGGATTTGATCAAATGCAATTGATCTAATGAGATAGAACTAGATTTGATCAAATACAATTGTTATTATGAAAATCAATATAAATATCCATTTATTGAGATAGCTAATAAATATATACTCAATAAATAAAATCCAAGATAGCCACTAAAAATGAATAGAAAAGAAAGAGTTGATGGCTAATTAGTGGGTTCATTCTTTATTTTCACTAAAAATAAAAAGAAAGAGGTGATGGCTAATTAATGGATTCACTATATTTTATAATTTATCAAATTATAAATTATAAAATATACATATGAAAAACAAACCTTTTCTTTATACCAGTAAAATTATAGCAGAAGATATTGCTAAAAAGAGATCCCTATCATAATTCCAACCAAAACATATGCTACAAGGAAATAAAACATAAAATTTTAAAATTCTGAAGATTTTAAAAAGCCTTGAAATACATAAAATTTTGAAAAAAGGAAAACATACAGATCGTATTTATCTATGGGATGCATGAACATTTGAAATGATATACCATTTGCCCACAAATCAAAGCAATTGAAATCAAAATTATAAATTACCTAGGGAATAATAAACAGGTGAAAATATAAAGAATATTTTGGGAACAAAAGTATGAGGGAGGCATGCAACTGACTTTGCCAAACATCAATTGATAGTCTTAAGGCGGGGCAGGCATAATAATGGAACAGAACGGAAGGCCATGAGCAGGTCAAATTCTCTGTATACTTTAGCACTTAACAAGGCATGCATTTCTCATCATGGAAGAGACTGTCAGTTAATTAAGGACAATAAATGTACTGTGTACCATATTCCATAATAAACAAAAGAAGGACCAAATAGTTCACTGTAAACCAAGAAAACAAAGATATAACAATTTAAAACAGCTAGAAGAGTTTAGAGGAGAAAAAGGGCTTTTCAGCATAAGATTAAAGGAAGAATTAATAAAGGAGGCCAGGCGCGGTGGCTCTGCAATCCCAGCACTTTGGGAGGCCGAGGCGGGTGGATCACCTGAAGTCAGGAGTTCGAGACCAGCCTGACCAACACAGTGAAACTCCGTTTCTACTAAAAATACAAAAATTAGCTGGGTGTGGTGGTGGGCACTTGTAATCCCAACTACTCGGGAGGCTGAGGCAGGAGAATCGCTTGAACCCAGGAGGCGGAGGTTGCAGTGAGTCGAGATCACACCATTGCACTCCAGCCTGGGTGAAAAAAGCAAAAGTCTGTCTCAAAAAAAAAATAAAAAGAATTAATAAAGGAATACAAACATTACAAACATTTGGTTGCAATGTTTTTAATTAGCTCCCCCCAAAAAAAATCCCAATATGAACAAAAATAGAATGTAAATGGCAAACCCAAAGGTTGTGAAAACTTTTGACAAATTGAATTATTTCCTTAATATATAAAAGATTTTACAAATCAAAGTCCAGGGAAATAAAAAAATATAACAATTGAAAAAATAATGATTACCAAATTGCATCTTTTTTTATTTAATTTTATTTTAAGTTCCAGACATGCAGGTTTGTTACATAGGTAAACGTGTGCCATTGTGCCATGGTGGTTTGCTGCACCTACCAACCCATCACCTAGGTACTAAGCCCCACATGCGTTAGCTATTTCTCCCTCCCACTGTGCCCCAAACCAGCCCAATGTGTATTGTTCTCCTGCCTGTGTCCATGTGTTCTCATTGTTCGACTCCTAGTTATAAGTGATAACATGCGGTGTTTGGTTTTCTGTTCCTGTGTTTGTTTGCAGAGGTTAACAGCTTCCAGCTCCATCCATGTTCCTGGAAAGGACATGATCTCATTCCTTTTTATGGCTGCGTAGTATTCTATGGTGTACATGTACCACCTAGAACCAGAAATACCATTTGACTCAGCAATCCCATAACTGGGTATATACCCAAAGGAATAAAAATCATTTTATTATAAAAAGACATGCACGGTACATTCATTGCAACACTATTCACAATAGCAAAGACATGGAATCAACCTAAATGCCCATCAATGATAGGCCAAATGGCATCTTTTTTAAAATTGGTATTTTCAAAACAAATCTAGAGTGTTACAATTATCAAAATATAATTAATTTGAAATTAAACAAATATTACATGCATGTATGCATACATACACATATAGATATATATGCATGTTTACATATATATATTTAATATTATACAAAGTTTATATCTTATCTATAACCAGGGACCGCAGAGTTTTACTAAATGACAAGGGTAAAAATTATCGTAATTGATAAAGAAAAGTCCAAAAGTGATACAGTTCAAAAAGAAAATATCCTAAATGTGTCCTGACTATTGCTGAGGTGTCAGGGAGGAGTTGGTGTCAGATGGTACAACAGGATTGTATTTTCTCCTGTTGAGTAATTGTGTTGCTGGTGGACCCTGATCCCCCTGGGTGCCAGCTTAGGTGACACATTGGAATCACAACCCAAAAAGAGTGACTCCATCAAGCTGTGGGTCCCCATGTCCAGGCAGCAGAGATAAGATACCACAATGAGCTGCTAGAAAGTGAAATCCTTAGACTGTCCATGCGATGCCAAGTGGCCAGTTTGTCCCTTTACTCTGCACCCATGGCCTCCATGAGGACAGAGGCTGCACATTCTCATTTTGCCTTCTCACCAGGAGGATCCTGGATTCCCTGACATTCTGGGCCCAGAGCCTTGCACCCTCTCTTGTTTCCCATTGTGTGCATTGAATATTCCTTTTTTCTTTTCTTTTCTTTTCTTTTTCTTTTTGTGAGACAGAGTGTCTCACTCTGTCACCCAGGCTGGAATGCAGTGGTGCAATGTCAGCTCACTTCAACCTCCGCCTCCTGGGCTCTGGCAATTCTCCTGCCTCAGCCTCCCGAGTATCTAGGATTGCAGGCACCTGCCACCACACCCAGCTAATTTTTGTATTTTTAGTAGAGATGGGGTTTCACCATGTTGGCCAGGCTGGTCTCGAACTCCTGACCTCAAGTGATCCTCCTGCCTTGGCTTCCCAAAGTGCTGGATTACAGGCGTGAGCCACCATGCCCGGTGCATTGAATATTTCAATATCATCTCTGCCAAGCATGAAACTTCCTCTCCAGTTGTTTTTACCTATTTTACCAATTAAAAAATGCTATGTTTTCAAACATGTCCCTATGTAAACACAAGCCAAAATATATCTTGGTCCTTTTAAGTATCCTATGCTTATATAAAGTTTTTATTTTAAAAATAGAAGATGAATGGAAATAGAGAAACAGTCATTTGTTCTCCTATAAACACAAGAACTGGATAGTATTTTATTGTATAATGGTAGGAATAAAATAATTTACTCATCACGGTCATCGTAGCCTTTCAGACGAACACTTCTGCACTCCAGGTTTTTCCACATGGCTCCTTCTCTTCGTGTCTTATCTTTTCCTTCATGTTCCTTCCTTTCACCTTCCACACCTGTTAGAAATGACACGGGAGGCGCTTGGCAGCCCGGACTCTTATGAGACACCACACAGGTGCCTTTAGAGAAACTTCCATGGAGTCTGAAAGCACTGTAAACAAGGAGCAGCCGCGAGATGGGAGAAAGTTGTTCGTCTGTCAGTTTGTACCTGACTGCACATCATAATCGAACCCAGATTTTAGAAATAACTCTTGGTGGCGCCGGCTGTCTGCAACGCAGCCCATTTCCTGCTGCTGCTGGAGTCTCAGCTCTTGCCCATTTCCCTCTCTCTCTCTCTCTGGAGGCTGCCTGGTCGCACGTCAGCCAGGAGACTTACAGGTGCGGGCTGGCCTCCCGTGAGCCTTTAGATATGTCATGCGAGTAGGCAAAGCTCCCTCCACGGAGATCTGCCAGGCCGTGGGGTTTGTGACACATGACACACAGTTTCAGCCGGTCTGGTCACAATCGTAACATGCTTCCTCTTCCCCCTAGCTGTCCCCTCTTCTTCTCTTCATAACTGCCAGGCTGGCCCACAGCTGACATCACACGCAGGAGGAGGACAGATTTCAGCTGTCAGCTCAACAGTGCAGAAACGTGCTCACCAAAAAGAAGAAGAAAAAAAGAACTGTAAACTTTTAGTAGGATAGGAAATGCTAGTTTCTTGGTGAAAAAATGGTGACCAAGACAAGGAGAAGAATTTCTTTACTGCAAGTAAATTCACCCATTAAATCTGCTCCCCACCTCCACACCCCTTGCCCCTGGGTATTGACACACCTGGGGCAGGAGCAGTCGTGGGAGAGAGTGAACAGATGCACGGACCTCATCAATCAGCTCCCTTTTATGCTCTTGAAGGAGATCCCTGAACACCATCAGGGGCTCATCCCTGGCTTACCTCACCAGCAGAGCGTTGGCAAAGTTAGCTCAAAGCAGCCTCGTTCCCATACACTCGCCGTGCGGAACAGCTTAGCTAGAGGGACCAACCGGAATCTCATCCGTCTGACCTTCCCTTGCACGACAGGGCTTCCTTGCAAAAAAGAGGCTGCAGAGAACAGAAAGCATAGTGGGAGTGCTTCACATTTTTTTCCATCAAGGATAGAGAACAACTGGGAGGGGACAACAGAAATAAAAATAGAAAAAAAGAGAGGTAAGTTACTGAAATCTAGCAGAGACAAGTACAAATCAATTACACGAAAAAGCACATGTAAAATGAAGCCACATAAATATATAAGGCACTTGCACTGTATGAAAATAATGCTGAAATTATAGAGCTGTCATCCACAGACTGTGGAGGTGCCTCTCCCTTCTTGATGTACCTCTCAGGGAAGGATGGGATGAGGCTGACATAAGACTCACCTGGGCAGGCCAGGTGCGGTGGCTCATCACTGTTAGTCCAGCACTTTGGTAGGCCAAAGTGGAGGATGGCTTGAGCCCAGGCATTCGAGACCAACCTAGGCAACATAGAGAGACCACATGTCTATGAAAAACTAAAAAATTAACTGGGTGTGGTGGCATGCAACTGTCATCTTAGCTACCTAGGAGGCTGACACAGGGGGATTGCTTGAGCCCAGGAGATCAAGGCTGCAGTGAGCTATGATCGTGCCACTCCAGCCTGGGTGACACAGGGAGATTCTGTCTCTAAAAAAATAATTTAAAAAAAAAGTTGAAAAGGCTCACTGGGCAGTGGTGGTTGGGAAGCCAGGTGGGGCGTGCCCCTCCACTGAACTCCAAGATCACGTGTGAAGGGCCCCACATGGCGGCCATACCTCAACACCAGATAACGCCTTCTGACAGTAGACCACCCTACTTGAGAAGAGCCGATCCACGGCCCCCACCAAGAAAAACAATATAAAAATAAATTAAAAATAAACCCAGAACTCGGCCATGGAGCTTGAGGAAGGTAACATTGTAGAAGTGCTATTTTCTTAGGGAGGAGAAGAAGGGTTCTTGTGAAAAGGGACCATTGTTTTCTTTCTCGAAATTTAAGTGCAAACAAAAAGGACGAAAAAGAGCTTAAGGATCTGACACAAAGGCGAACACATTCCCTTCTCGACTATCAAAAGCATGAGGAAAATTTTTAGACCTCCCAGAGATAACGTTTCCAAGTTTTATTTTCCAAACTTCACTCTTATTAACACAGCCCTGGTAGATCATTTTCGAAGTGAAGTTTTTTATATTCTCTTCACTGTTTGAAAAGAAAATATCACGCTTAGTTTTCCAATAGGTAATCTTCAGTCAGAGAAACAACTCTGTCATTGAGACTAAGGGAAATGATGTTCCTCTCACGAAGGACCTGCCAAGTGTTGCTTTTAGGGAACCAGGTGATCGCTGGGCTCCACTGCGGAGAGGACATCCGAATTCCACAGCCCGGGGAAAAGCTCCGTCTACCCTGACACATGCAGCCTGCTTTGTGCTGCACAGATATCTCCCTGACTGGCTGCGGCGTTATTGTTCAATGAAGAACTGGTTTACAGATAAAGGTGGCCCTGTCAGTTCTGAATAGCTCCAAGCTAATTGCTGACCCTAGCAGGCCCAATTAGCTGTTACACACTCAGCAAAGCGGCCCCTGGGACCTGCCCCTTCTAACATGCCACATTGTGAAACTCTCCCTGCGTCGGTACCTTGGCTATCAGCTTTGTAGTCACCTTTCAGCAGATCAAAGATTTCTTGGAAAGAATGACTGCTGTATCAGCCCCAACAGGCCCATATACAGCTGCACACACATCACAGCGAAACCCAAAGCATTCGTGGGGATGAGCAAGGACTCGACGCGGTATTCCAGTGCAGGTCTCAGAACGATGCCTTGATTGCTGTAATTTGAAGAAATAATCCCAAACATTTAGTTCCAGTAAACTCCCTGAGAAGCGACATTCGTGACAGCTCACTCACGGGCTCTGTCGCTGACACTGGATGTGCATGTCTCAGGATGGGATGGTCTTCCCATCGCCAGACCCACCTGACCTAGAGGACACGCTCACCTACACAAACACACTCAGGCACTGGCTTTCCTTCTCCTCAAAACTATGCATGTTCTTGTTCTAGAAGTCACCCAGGATCATGTTAGACAATGTGGAAAACAGACGGGGAGAAATAGAAAGGGAAGGAAGCAAACCCCAATGTCTTCTTGCAACAGGTAGACTTTGGTGATGGAATTTCCTCCTATTATAGAAGACGCCTTGTAAACATCATGGGCAGTGATGACACAATATTCTGTCCTGTGCTCGTTCACTTCCTGTTCTCTAATGCTTATGGCCACTTAAATAGTAGTTAATGTTGTTTTGCCATTATGATTTATTTCAAAAGTAAAATTAGTCTAATTTTAACCTAATCAAAACTAGGTCAAAAGATGCTAGGTTGAAGGATATTAATGCGTGTCACTAAATTGTTTTCCAGCATAATTGAAACAGTCCAGCAATCTTTAACACTGGTTACCAGATGTTCAACAGCAAAGTATTATCATTTTTTGGAAATATTTATAAAATTTTATTAGATTATTATTATAGCTGAACTTTCCCCATGTGTTTGTTAGTAGGTTATAAAAATTTTCCATGTGCTTCCTCCATTTACCAACAATGTTTATGATGGTTTTTCTAATTGCGTGCATGATTTCTTTATATAGTATAAATATTTCTCCTTTGCTGCTATTAAATATATCAACTTGTTTCATTCAGTTTTGATTTATTTTGTACGTGCATCTCTTTTTACATTTTTGGGTAGTCAACTATATCAGTTTCTGTATTTATTGTCTTACTTTATATACTAACCTATATTTCCTCTTGGTTATTTGTTAATTTTATTTATTTATTTATTTATTTATTTTGCTTTGCAAATATATCTGGAGTCAAATTTGTGAAGATTCTGTTTTCCAAATACCAAAGCAATGAACATTGCACGTGTTTTTTTACTTGAGTTATTTAATTATTTATTGGAGTATATACCCAGTAGTGGGATTGCTCGATCAAATGGCAGTTCTGTTTAAGTTCTTTGAGAAATCTCCAAACTGCTTTCCACAATGGCTGAACTAATTTGCATTCCCACCGATACTGAATAAATGTTTCCTTTTCCCCTCAACCTCACCAGCGTCTATTGTTTTTTGGTTTTTTTGTAATAGCCATTCTGACTGCTGTGAAATGGCATCTCATTGTGGTTTTGATTTGCATTTCTCTGATGATTAGTGATGTTGAGTATTTTTTCATATGTTTCTTGGCTCCTTGTATGTCTTCTTTTGAGAAGTGTCTGTTCATGTCTTTTGCCCACTTTTTAATGGGTTTGTTTGGGTTTTGCTTGTTGAATTAACTTCCTTATAGATGCTGGATATTAGACCTTTATTGGATGCATAGTCCCTGAATATTTTCTCACAGTCTGTAGGTTGTCTGTTTACTGTGTTGCTAGTTTCTTTTGCTATGCAGAAACTCTTAGTTTAATTAGGTCCCATTTGTCAGTTTGTTGTTTTTATTGCAATTGCTTTTGAAGACCTAGTCATACATTCTTTCCTGGGGCCAGTTGTGTCCAGAATGGTGTTTCCTAGGTTTTCTTCTAGGATTCCTATACATTCCTTACACTTAAATCTTTAATCCATCTTGGGTTAATTTTTGTATATGATGAAACGTAGGGGTCCAGTTTCATTCTTCTGCACATGGCTAGCCAGCGGTCCCAGCACCCTCTATTTAATAAGTAGTCCTTTCCCTATTGCTTATTTTTGTTGACTTTATCAAACATCAGATAGCTGTAGGTGTGCAGCTTTATTTCTTGGTTCTCTAACCTGTTCCATTGGTCTATGTTTCTGATTTTTTGTTTGTTTGTTTGTTTGTTTGTTTTCTACCAGTACCATGCTGTCTTGGTATAGTTTGAAGTCGGGTAATGTGACACTTCCAGCTTTGTTCTTTTTGCTTAGGATTGCTTTGGCTATTTGGGCTCTTTTTTGATGTCATATGAATAATTTTAGAATATCAATCTAGGTTCCCATCAATGGTGGACTGGATAAAGAAAATGTGGTACATATAAACCATGGAATACTACATAGTCATTAAAAAATAATGAAGTCATGTCTTTTGCAGTAACATGGATGCAGCTAGAAGCCATTATCCTAAGCAAATTAACACAGGAACAGAAAACCAAATACTGCATGTTCTTACTTACAAGTGGAAGCTAAACACTGGGTATTCATGGACATAAAGATGGCAACAATAGACAGTGGGAACTAATAGAAGGGGAAGGGCTGGAGAGGGATAAGGGTTGAAAAACTAACTGTTGAGTACTATCCTCACTACCTGGGTGACAGAATCATTAATATCCTAACCTTCAGCATCACACAATATACCCATGTAACAAACCTACACATATACTCCCTGAATCTAAAATAAAAGCTGATATTGTTTTTAAAAATTGTCGAAAGGAAAAATAAGTAAATAAATACAAAGAAAATTTCTTAACAGTATTGTATAGTCCATTTTTTCCCCACTGATATGGATTACTTTCTTTAAAATACCATAAGTATTTGCATGAACTATATTCCATCTCTGAATGAGCTGTTCTCTTCTAATAGCTATCTGTTTAGTCTCATATGACATCATCTTAATAATTATTTCATAAATTTTAATACTTAATTTAATACCTAATTAACATGACATCTTTACTCTTCTTTTAAACTTTTATAAATATTTTAATTTTAATTATTTAAAACAAATTTTAGAATCATTTCATCATATTCAAATAAAATTATTGTTTGGATTTTGCCAAAATTACTTTTAAACAAACTCATTGATTGTAGGTAGGTTGCTCACAACCATAATGAAAGATTCCTTCTCTATGTCCATACCACCTTTGCAATGTGACTTTGCTGTTCCCCATATTAAGGGGTAGGGACTACTTCCTCACTCTTTGAATTTTGGCTGACTTGTGACTTGTTTTGACCAATACCATTTGGTGGAAGTGCCCTGTGCCAGTTCCAAGCCTAGACTCCTGGAAGAGGCTTTGAGTGCTTCTGCGCTTCTCCTTGGAACCTGTTCAGCTGCAATGTGATCAAGCCCAAGCTAGCCTGCTGGAAGATGAGAGACCCCAGGGAGCAGAAGGGAACCGCTCCAGCTAAGGCCGTCCTGGACCAACCTGCTCCAGCTGACCTGCAAACTGGCTTCAGATATGTGAGTCAGCCCCGTGAGACAAGATAAGCCATCCGCTGAGCCCCACCCAAATTACACACATAACAGTAAGGAAAATAAATGGTGGTTGTTTAAATCTTCTGCAATTTGCAATAGTTTGTTTTTCTGCACAAGATAACTGATACATATAAAATATTTTATATTCCCATCATGGATTGAATTATGTCCACCCAAAATTCATATGTAGAAGCCCTAATTCCCACAAGGATTATGTTTGGAGATAAGGGCCTTTAAAAAAGTAATTAAAGTTAAATGAAGTCAGAAGGGTAGAACACTAATCCAATATGACTGGTGTCCTTATAAAAAGAGAGATGCCAGGGATGTGCGTGCACAGAGGAAAGGCCGTGTGAGGACACCCCGAAACAGCACCATCTCGACCAAGAAGAGAGGCCTTAGGAGAAACCAACCCTGCTGGCACCATGATCATGGACTTTCAGCCTACAGAACTTAGAAAATGAATTGGTGCAAATAAAACACCCAATGTATGTGTTTTGCTACGGCAGCCATAGTAAACCAATAAAATTTTCTGTCAGAGCATTCTGTGCCTCTGAAATTATTTAAGTCTTCTTTTCTATTTCTCATTAATTCTGGCAGGCATCTTTTATGGGTTCTTCATGTTCCTAAAACTATTCATAGACATTTTATGCTTTTTCTTGCTTTCTGAATGGGATCCAGTGGATTTTTTTATTGGTCAATGCTTGAATGTAGAAAAGTTAAGGAAATTCCTATTATGTTAGGGATAAAACAAGGTTATCACCGTTATTCATTAACATTTCTGGAAGTTTTGGCCAAGGCAGTAAGAACCAAAACAAATAAAAGATGAATAAATACTTGAAAGATATGTGTAGATGACAAGGTTGATTTTGATATGCTTATCTTGCTAACATGCTACTTTAGTAAACTTTTACATTTGAACATCATGTAAGTTCTTTTCTTGAATTTTTTAGGTACACAACTGATATGGTTTGGCCGTGTCCCCACCCAAAATCTCATCTTGAATTGTAATCCAAATTGTAATCCCCACATGTTGGGTTGAGGGATCTCAACGGAGGTGATTAGATCATGGTGGCGGTTTCCCCCATGCTGTTCTCATGATAGTGAATGAGTTCTCATGAGATCTCATGGTTTTATAAGGGGCTTCTCTGCCCACCCCCCTTTGCTTGGCACTTCTCTCTCCTGCCACCATGCGAAGAAGGATGTGTTTGGTTTCCCTTCTGTCATGATTGTAAGTTTGCTGAGGCCTCCCCAGTCATGCAGAACTGTGAGTCAATTAAACCTCTTCCTTTACAAATTACCCAGTCTTGGGTATTTCTTCATAGCAGCATGAGAAAGGACTAATACAACGAACTTGTCATCTACACATATCTTTCAAGTATTTATACATTATCTATTTGTCTTGGTTCTTATTGCTTTGGCCAAAACTTCTAGAAAATTTTACTGAATAATGTTGGTAATCTGTTTTTTACCCCTTAATGTAACAGAAATTTCTCTAGAGATTCTACTGTAAAACATTATGATAGAGAGAGTGCAAGGATTAAACCAGTGGACTCCAGTGTCAGACAAGCAGGATCTGAACTTGGACTGCAGTTTCCCACAACTACGTGCTTTTTTCTCTTTGCCAAGTCAAGCATTAGTAATTCAAATTCTTCCAGCTATGACCAACATTATCCTGGGCAAGTCCCTGAACCTTTCCATTTTGTGATTTCCCTTCAAGGGTGGAATCAGCCCCACACCCAAATTTGGTGTGGAGGTTGTATTAGTTTCTGAGGGTTGTCATAGTGAATCATTTTGTCACCCTAACCCTTCTTTGGTTAGTAATGCATCTATTTTTTCTTCTCTTTTGTAGCTTTGTAAATTTTAATTTTTGAAAAAAGTTTCCTTTTTAACAAGACTATAACTTGTTAGGCTATAGTTTTGCATAGTACTTTCCTGTAACAATTAAACGTCTCCCACATATCTATTTCTTTTTCATCATTTTTTCATAATTTTATTATCACTGCATTTGTGAAACATAAGCTTTTCCATTCATCACTATACCACAAACCGGATGGCTTAAACAACCGAGATCATTTTCTCAGCGTTCTGGAGGACTGAAGACCAAAATCAAGGTGTTGGCAAAGCAATGCCCTCTCCACAGCCCCTACAGGAGGACCCTTTCTTGAGTCTTCCAGCTTCTGGGGGCTCTGAGTGCTCTTTGGCTTGTGGTCACACCACTGCAATCTCTGTCTCCATTGTCACATGGCCGTTTTCCTTCAGTGTCTGTATTTTCCTCCTCCCATGATGACAAAATTCATGTTAGATTAGGGCACACTCTAATGACGTCTTCCTATCTTGATTACGCCTGTAAAGACCCTCTTTCTGCATAAGGTCACCTTCACAGGTCTAGGAGTTAAGATTTTCACATATCTTTCTCAGGGACACAAATTCAGCTCAAAACAGAGATGGAAACTGGGGATGCCACACACGCATCAAGCATGCATGGCAATGTGTGTCACTTACGCAATGGGACTCACAGCAGGGCAACCACCCGCACTTGTCCAGAGAGGTGAAGGAAGCGATGAGTGGCTGTAGCTTTTACTGTGGTTGGGGCTGGGGCCTTGGCAAGGGCTCCTGAGTGCTGAGTGGTTTGCATGGTTTGAACTTCCCACCAGTACCAAAGCATGGGGCACATAGACTTCATGATGGCGTTGCCAAACGTGAGGTACAGAGGGAAAAAGAAGGAGTGGGCCACGTTTTGTCAACAAACAAGAAGGAACATTTCCCTGGCCTATAAGGTCGAGTTAACTATATTATCTTAGACCCCATTTGTGGTGGTTAAAGGAGCTGATGCCTGTGAAACCCAGCATTGCTCCTCTGCCCCTCAGAGCAAGTGCTCAGTCAAGTAAAGCCATCAGCCATTATTATTGCATGTTAATTATGAGTTTAGGTATCTTAGATAACATCAAGGAAGGATTTTTTGTTCCAACATATTTAACATTTTTAAACATGGGTACAGATCATGTATATTTCACTCTATATTCTGAAAAAAAGTTGAGGTTTCTGAGATTTATCAATTTCCTAAATCTTGAAGTTATCTCCTTTATCACTTGTGAATTTTTCCTATTTCTTCTTTGGTTATTAATGTGTCTGTCTTTTCTTCTCTTCTTCTGCAGTTTTTTAAATTTTGATTTTTGAAAAAAGTTTCCTTTTTAACAAGACTATAATTGCTTAGAATATAGTTTTTCATAGTGCCTTCCTGTAACATGTAAAAGTCTCCCACATATCAAATTCATTTCTTTTTAGTTATTTTTTCATAATTTTATCATCACTGCATTTGTAAAACTCGAGCTTTTCCATTCCTCACAAGTTATTCCCAAAGACCAATTATTGAATTTATCATTTCTACCGTCTTACTATTTTTCAGTTTATTGGGTTTTTCCCTGTCTCTTTTTCCATGTTATTTGTTTTAGGTGTTTTTTGTTTTTGTTTTTTTTTTTCTGAAAGCCTGAAACAAAATCTTGGTGCATTTATATTGATCATTTTCTCTCTCTAAAGTAAGATAATAAAAAGAAAATAAAACAGGTACTTCAGTCTGAAAGCAGCTTTTGAAAATGTCTCTCCGATGTTATTATCGTTGTCGTAATTCAAATACTCCAGTGACCATCTTTTCAACTGCCTGCTTGATCCAGAGTACATTCAGAATATTATTTATTTCCAAGTGCTTTCAATTACTTTAACAATCACCATTTCCTTCTACATTTTGCATCTAAATCTTACCCTGGAGAGATGTAGAAAAATAAAAATTCCTCAGTGCTCAACACCCCCCCGGAACTTCCCTTTACTCTTCAGCGGGTTCTGAGTGGAATTCCGTCCTCTCCAACCCCGGAAGTGCTCTTGCCAGGCCCATCAGGGGTCTCGAGGCTGCCCTTCATTCTACCTTAACTTTCTGGACTTCCTTCCTTCTCTTCCTTTTCCTTTCTCCTCTAGGCTCCCATGAGGACAGCAGACTATACCGAACGGTTTCCCCTCCTCCCCAACTGGTTCCCCCCTCTCACCGGCTTTTCCTCCTCTAACTGCCTTCCATGGCGGGCTGCCTGGGCAGGCTCATTCCCAGCTCTCCTGAGGTCACTCTACCTGCCTCTGTGGTCCCTGCCTACGCAATTCTTCTCTAGAGACTCTTAGCGTCATCGTCCACTCTGAACTCACCCACTCCACGGGGATACAACTCCCTCCGAAGGTCTTCACAGACCACTCCATGAACAATTTCCTCAATCGCCAATTGCTCTACATCTTGTTACCTGCTCTCTTATTTCCTCCATGGCATTTGGCCCTCTGTAAAAGCAAATGAAAGCAGGGGTGGTTTTCTCCTATTTACTGCAGCGTCCTCAGCGCCTAGTGCAGTGTCTGCCATAAAGCACATGTCCAATAAATGAAACAATAAATGGGTACAAAAGACCTAGGTGGAAATTGCACAGGAACATTCTTAAAATTCTTTTCCACGTAATTCCAATACAGAGGTAACTAAGGAAGCTACCAGCCTGAACTATCTCAGAATTTTGAAATTTATCGAGCCTTCTCTGTCACGTAACACAGATTAATTGTTGTAAATAATTCACAGATGCCAAAAAAGAAGCTGTGATCTGTCTAGGCTAAAAATTTCTGTATATTTCTATTGATTCAGTATGTTTAATTAAATAGTTTAAGTCATTTCTTCTTTTTTTATTACCTGTGTGATTTATTATAAATGGTTATTAGAGGTATTCTTTTAAATGCTTCCATAAGAATTGTGTACCTAGGCCGGTCGTGGTGGCTCACACCTGTAATCCCAGCACTTTGGGAAGCCAAGGCAGGTGGATCACCTGAGGTCAGGAGTTCGAGACCAGCCCGGCCAACATGGTGAAACCCGTCTCTACTAAAAATACAGAAGTTAGCTGGGCATAGTGGCAGGCGCCTGTAATCCCAGCTACTCGGGAGGCTGAGGCAGGAGAATCACTTGAATCTGAGGGGGTGGAGGTTGCAGTAAGCCGAGATTGCGCCATTGCACTCCAGCCTGGGCGACAAGAGCGAAATTCCATAAAAGAAAGAAAGAAAGAAAAGAAGGAAAGGGAGGGAAGGAAGGAAGGAAGGAGGGAGGGAGGGAGGGAGGGAAGGAGGGAAAGGAAGGAAGGAAATGTGTACCTACTCATTTCTCTTCGCTGTACATATTTTGATGCAATATTACTTGTATAAATGTTCATAACTAATATGTCTTCTTACGCATTTTGCTTGTTAAAATAAAGAGTACAAATGGGTATTCTTATTCATAACTAATGCTTTTGGCTTTAGATATCAATATTATAATTATTGGGTATTTGTTTTTCGTTTATTGGTTGTTTTGTTTGTCTCTTGGTTGGTCTCTACTTTGTCTCCTGTATTTCAAGACATCTTTTTAAAGTATGTCTGAATTATTTCATTTTGATATGCTCACTGAAAATGGTACAGTGTAAGACATTGTACTTTATTTTTTCGCATAAAATATATACATATGTACTCATTTCCGGGGCTGCCCTAGCAGAGCACCACATACTGAGAGGCTTAAACAACAGAAACTGATTGACTCGGAGATCTGGAGGCCAGAAGGCTGAGCTTAGGCTGTCAACTGGGAGGGTTCCTTCCAAAGGCTGTAAGGGAGAATCCGCCCCACGACTCTCACCCAGCTTCTGGTAGTTGCCAGCACTCTTGGGTGTCTCTTGGTTTGTGGGAAGATCATCCCAGTCCTTGCCTATACTTTCACGTGTGTTCTCCCTGTAGCATGCTCTGTCTCTCAACTGCCCCTTTATAGAAGTGCATCAGTCATGTTGGATTAGGGAGCCATCCAACTACAGTTTGACCTCATTTTAATTTAACTAACACCATCTGAAGTGATCCTATTTCCAAATATGGTCACGTTCTAAAGTACTGGTGGTTAGGATTTCAACATGTGTAGGGGCACCATTAAACCCGTAAAGAAACTCTCAGATTTGATCTGACTCTGATCCTCACGTTTTATGAATTTGCATTTTATAATTCCTTCTAGTTTTCAATCTAATACTTAGGTTCTTGTTTGGTTTTGGCTTTATTTTTCTGTAGAGACCTGGTGGCTATTACATTCTGCATTGATTTGGGAAGTAGACATCTGTTACTGGTAGACTAATTTACGAGTGCTTATATTCAAGTTTTTAAAGAACACATTTAAACCAATATTTGACTAATTATAGGAGTCAATCATAGACAAACATCTCATGTTTGTCTAAAATCATAAAACAATATTTTTATTCATCTTAGGAAAATGAGTTAGGCACTTTTATTATTTTCTCTTCTTTGTTAATTTTAGCTGATTTGTAAATCTTATCTCTCTTTTTATTTTTTAAAAAATAGATAATTTAATAAAATAATAGTGGAGACAATATATTTTAAACATATTTAAAATAATTGTTTTAACATTTAATAATATCTTGACAATTGTTGAGATACTTGTAGATTCACATGCAGTTCTAAGAAATATTACGAATAAATTATTTGTCTATTTTACCCAGTCTTCCCAATGGTAACATTTTGCAAAGTCATGGCATAATATCATAACTAGGATACTGACAATGTAACAGTTTCACTTGTACCCATTTGTGAGTGTGAATGAAGTTCTGTGTAGGACATCCATGCACCATCTCTGTCAAGACTGATCAGGTCCAAATCACAAGGACCACACGGGCCTCCATCTTGCTCTTTCGTAACTCCATCCACCTAACCTCTTCCAGCTCCTACTTCCCCAACATATCCTCCACTTATAAAATGCTGACATTACAAAAATGTTTTATAAATGGGATCATAGGATATGTTACTGTTATGGATTGACTTTTTTCACTCAACATAAATCCCTAGAGGTTCATCCAAGTTATACACACACACACACACACACACACACACACACATATATAATCACATATTTGCAAACTATATCTGACAAAGGACTAGCCATATTAACAATCGAGTCCCTTTATTGCAGAGTAGTATTTTATGTACAACAGTTTATTCAGGCATTCACCTGTTGAAGACCATCAGGGCAAATTCCAGTTTTTTACCACCACAAATAAAGATACTATAGACATTCCCATACGTATTTTTATGTTAACATAAGCTTTCATTTCTGTGGGATAGATGCCAGAGAGTACAATAGCTAGATCATATGGTAATTGCATGTTCAGTTTTACAAGCAACTGCCAAACTATATTTCAGAGTGGCTGTAACATTTTACATTCCCACCAGAAGTCAGTGACTCTGTTTCTCTGCATCCTCACCATCACCTGGTGTCACCATTTTTTATTTTAGCCATTTTGTTGAGTTTACCATAAAATCTCATTGTGGTTTTAACTTGCATCTTCCTGATAACTGATGATACTGAGCATCTTCTCATGTGTCTATTTGCATCCGTATATCCTAAAACATGAAATGCCACTTCATGGCTTTTGCCCATTTCCAATTGGATTACTTTTGTTTTTATGATGGATGGGGTTTTTTACTGTTCTGCATATATTCTAGTCCTTTGTCAGACATAGTTTGCAAATGTATAACAATATATATATTAGCAAAATCAAAATTAATGAAGCAAGAACTGATGGAACTAAATAAAAAATTGAAATATCCACAATCATGGGCAGAGATTTAATTATTTCTCTCTCTGTGCAGCTGAAGGATCAATATAAAATAACTTAAAAGGATATTTACAAATCTAAACATGACTATCAATCAACTTGACCTAACGGACATATGCAAATCCCCTGCAAACAACTCAGAATAAGCATCCTTTTCAAGTGCAGGTGCACAGATGTATGCTGAGCCAAAAAATAAGCTTAGTAACATTCAAAATATTTAACGCTGCAAAATATAATTTCTGACTTAAACAAAATCAAGCCATAGTTTAATAACAATGAGAAATCTAGAAAATTCAAAAATTATGAAAAAATAATAAATATACTTCTAATTAACCATTGGAACAAAGAAAAAACTCTACAGTAAATTTAAAAATCCTTCAAACTAAGCAATAAGGAAAAAAAGTAGATCAAAATTTGTGAGATGAAGCTAAAGTATTTCTTAGAGGGAAATGCATAGCTCTAAATGCCTGTATTAGAAAAGATGAATTTAATCATCTAAGTTCTCACCATGAAGGTAGAGCAGAATGAGAGTTATCAAAGGCTGGGAAGGGAGGGATGAAGAGAGGTTGATTAATGGGTACAAACCTACAGTTAGAGTGAAGGAATAAGTTCTAGTGTTTGATAGTACAATAGAAGGACTGGAGTTAATAATAATTTATTATATATTTCAAAATAACCAGGAGAGAAGATTTGAAATGTTCCCAACCCAAAGAAATAATCAACGTTTGAGGTGAGAGATATTCTAAATACCCTGATTTGATCATTACATATTGTATGGTGTATGTATCAAAATATCACATGCATTCCATAAATATGGACAATTATTATGTATCAATAATAAATAAATTTTTAAAAAGAAGAAAAATCTAGAAAACAAAAGACCAAACAAAACCTGAAGTTGAAGAGTATACATAATAAAGCTTCTGAATGGAAATCATTGAAATAAAAATCAAGAGAAAATTAGTAATTATTCAAGATGATTTCCAGAGAATTAATAAAATTTTTAAGCTCCAAGTAAAAGTAACCAAGAAAAGGAGAGAATATGTAAATTACTAATATCAGAAATGAGAGTTTTCATCACTACTGATTCCATGAATATAAAGAAAGTAAAAGAATCTTATTAACAACTGTATACCTACGAATACAGTAACTGAGATGAAATGAATCAATTCCTTGAAAGACACAAGCTATCAAAACTCACACAAGGAAAAATAGATCATCTAAATAGGCCTATAACTATTAAAGAAATTAAATCACTAATCTTCTGAAAAGGAAAGCAGCAGGTCCAGATGATTTTTTTTTTTTTTTTTTTGGTGAATTCAACTGAACGGTTTTTAAAAAGATGATTCAAATTTTTGTAATTTTTTCCAGAACATAGAAACAGAGCACTTCCTAATGCATTCTATGAAGGCACCATTGGCTTAATGCAAAAATCAAATAAAGACATTATAAGAAAGAAAAACTACAGACCAACATTGCTAATTCACACAAATACAAAAATCCTGAACAAAATATTAACAAATCAAATCTAACGATGTGTAAAAAGAATTACACACCATGACTAAGAGGGATTTATTCCAGGTGTGCAAATCTAGTTCAACAGTTGAGGAATCAGTGAATGTAGCCCATGACATCAACAGGTTCAGAAAGAAAAATTACATAATCATATCAACGCATGCATAAAAAATACTTGAAAAAAAGTTCAACACCTTTTTTATGATAAAAACTCTCAGCAAATTAGGAATACAGTGGAACTTCTTTAACTTAACAAAGGATATCTACAAAAACCTAGAGATAACACCATATTTAATTAAGAGAAAATTGATGCTTTCCCCTAAGAGTGGAAACAAGGCAGATATCTCATTTCACCACTTTTGTTTAACATCAAAATGATAGTAGAAGTTAATGCAATAAGATAAAAGGAAATAAAAGGCATACAGATTAGCAAGCATGAAATAAAACTGTCTTTGCTAACAGATGACATCATTTTTTTATGTAGAAAATTCTTTTTAAAAAAAAAACAGCCCCAGAACCAATAAACAATTATAGAAACATTGCAGAATACAGGCTAATACACAAAAGTCAGTTGTGTTCCTATATACCAGCAATGAACAACAGAAATTTAACATTTAAAATGCAATACCATTTATGTGAGCACCAAAAAATGAAATATTTAGGTATAAATATAGGATAATATGTATGGAATCTACATAAGGATAACTACAAAACCTGATGAAAAAAATCAAGGAAGATCTAAATAAACAGGAGCTATTCCATGTTCATGTATAGAAAGACTCAGTACTATTAAGATGTCAATTCTTCCTAATGTGATATGTAGATGCAGTGAAATCTCAACCAAAATCTCATCAGGTTATTTTGTGAATATCAACAAACTGATTCTAAAGCCTATATGGACAAGGGAAAGAAAGAAGAGTCAACACAACCCTGAAGAAGAAAAAAGTTAGCAAACTAACACTACCCAACTTCAAAAATTACTATAAAGCTATAGTAATCAAAACAGTGTGGCATTGGTGAAAGAATACACAAGTATATCAGTGAAACAGAATACAGAGTCCCAGAAGTAGACCAATATAAATATAGTCAACAAGTCTTTGGCCAAGGGGGAAAAAAAACAATGAAGAAAGGATAGTCTCTTCAGCAAATGGTGTTGGACCAACTGCACATCCATATGAAACAAAAAATCTAGACACAGAACTTATACCTTTCACAAACATTAACTCAAAATTGATGATAGATTTAAATGTAAAACATAAAACTATAAAACTTCTAGAAGATAACAGGAGAAAATGCAGCTGTCTTTGGGTTTGATGATGAATATTTAGATACAACACTAAAGCATAATTCACGAACAATGTTAGTTTGTACTTACTAAAACTGAAAACTTCTGCACTGCAAAACGCACTGTTAAGAAAATGTAAAGACAAGCCACAGATTGGGAGAGAACATTTGCAAAACACCTATCTGTTGAAGGATTTGCATTCAAAATATACAAAGAACACTTAACAAAAAAAAATTCAATAAAAACATGGACAAAAGATCTGTGCAGACATCTCACCTAAGAAGACGTACAAATGACAAATAAGCATGTAAATGATGCTCAGAATTATGTTATTAGGTAATTGCAAATAAACAAACAAGATATCAGTAAACAAATATTAGAATGGATAAAATCCAAACAACTGATAACACAAATACTGACCAGGATGTAGAGTTACCAATTAGCTTGTTTTATTTGTATTTTTCTGCATTTTCTAGTTAATTTCGGTGGGATCATTAGTCTACCACAAGTTCCTTTATATAGCTAACGGGTGGCACGATTTTGCTGACTTGAAAGTGCTACTTTAAAGTTTTATTTCATCATGTACTTATTAAAGTAACTAGTAATTGGGAAAGAATTGGCTATGATATCTAATGAATTGAGCAGTAACCAATAAGACCACCCAAGTCACATTTATTTATAATGTTTTTCTTTCAGGTCAGTTCAATAAATGTTCATTGACTGCTCACTATGGCATTATTTCCAGGACTACCTGTAGTCCAACCATGAAATCAGACCCATGCATTTAGTAATGTTACAACATTAAAATGCCATGAACAGACAGACGCCTTTCTCCACTGTGAGCTCCAGCTCCACTTCTTGCCCTATTTCTCAGATGGACTATACAGACTCCATTTTCCATAGCATGATTTATTCTGCAACCCAAGTAGCCAGTGAAGTCAGAGCTTCCCAGAAAAAAAGAAAGCAGTTTCAGGTTTTGTATTATTGAGTTCCCATTTTCAGTATTAAGAAAGGAGAAAACAACAAAGATTCAACTTCTATTTGCATCACTCATTCTTGTTTATCTGAATCTCTCAAGACTGGACAATATGTACATAACCAATAAGCCACTTTTCTTTTACGTCTTTTGGGTTTGGATGTCTGAGAGAAGGAAAGGGTCATCACTGTAAGGACACAATTATGATACAATGTGGAAAAAATCTATAGCAATGAAACTAGAGCCCTTCCTCTTGACCTAATAAAAAGATACTCTCTGTGTGGAAGAAAGAGTTTAGTTTAGGAAGTCAAATATGTCAAGTTCAAATGCTATCAAGTTAGAATGCTAGCTCTAGCACTTCCAAAATAAAAACTTTGAACAACTACTTAACTTTCAATTGAGTATTTACCCATCTGTATGGTGGGAATAGCAACATCCACCTCACAGCATTTTTCTTACTATCATCTTTTACTTGAGGAGTGGAAATAATCACCAAGGTTAACTTTGGTTGAATTAAAAATAGTAATTTAAAAAGTCAAAGTGCTGTTAGGTTTACTTTCAGCTGCTTTGGAGAGCTGCCATGTTTGATTATATAGAAGGAGAAAGGTCATACACATCTCCATGCCAATCAGATTTTTCCCCAGATGCAAGACTTTCCCGTGTTGTGGGTCAACTTTTAGGGAAAAATGAAAGCTGTTGTTCACTTGGCCATCTCAGTGCCCCTAGGAATATTCTGGAGTTTCCTGTTTCTAATGCTGGATTCAAGACAAGACTAAATAATTCACAATGTTACACCAAGAAAATCAAAGACTTTTCAAAAATTTATAAGGATGAGATATTTGTTGCACTTGAAGTATCTTTTTATTGGATGTTGGTGTATGCATAGAAGCAATCAATAGTAGAGAGAAATAATTTCTCTAACTAGGCTTCTACAGAAAAGTGAAAGGATTCTTAAATATTGCGATTATACTAACGAGATTAATATACCTCAAAATACTAACAGTTAAATAACAAATACCTAGTTTCAACTGAAAACATATAGAAGCAATATTTTTCCATCTACTATCTGAGCAGTTCTACCATGAACTGTGTAAAGTAGTAATCATGTTTCACTAAGACTTGCAGGATCAAACCAATTGTATCCTCTGCATTGTCGGTATGTCTGAATACATGTGTTTCAAATTTATATTAAAAATAAGAAGCATAATTTACTTATTTTCTGATTCAAAGCAGTGGATTCTCAGTAATCTGTCTGCCATGGAAGCTGTACTAACCTTTGGACTGATAATAAATTGTGCAAGCAAGAATTTAACTTGACGGCTTCAATATAAGAATATTCTAATCCACAAGCCCCCTCCTACTTGAACAAACGTTGACCTCTGAGATTTCCAATAATTCTTTAAGAATATAAACTATGGCCTAATCTTGCTCCTCAAAAGAGGAGTATACTTCCACCAGCTCTATTTCTACAAGAACACCTTGATATGTGACTTTCAATTCACACTCTCCTGAAACTAGTGTCTCATCAGTCCCTGAACTTCTTACTTCCATGACTCTAATAACGTTTTCTTAGCGTTCATTCTCCTGCTTCTGTGGTAAAGATGGCCACCAGTCCTCCGCTGCCCCTCTCATCTGGAAGTGACATCCAGTTCCCCTCCTTCTGAATCTGCACTAGCTCCCTGTGTCTCTACCAGCAGGAGAGATGGAATGAGGCTTGGCCAGGTCCAGGCTGTCCTGGGAGCCAGCAGCAGCTCCTGCCTTGGTGCTCGGGAGTCCTGGGAGCTACATAAGGAATCTGGCTACACTGTTGGAGAGGCCTGAGGGAGAGGCCAGAGGATGTGTGAGAGGGACCCAGGGGAGCCCGCCCTCTGCCCTCTTCACCACAGTGCCAGGCATGAGTGTGAAGCTGCCTGGGGCACTCTGGACTATGCTAGCTGCCAACAAAATGGGGCCGAGCACCCCATTATGAGATATTAAAAATGGTTGTTGTTTTCAAACCATTAGGTTTTGGGGTAGTTTCTTAGACAGCATAAGATAACAGGAACAACGCTATGCAGCCTGTGACCCTACTGGACCGACACTACTTTAAGCTGTCATTGCCGCTGCATTGATTATGGTAATAACTCCAAACGGTTTTTTTCCCTACAGTTCCTTCCGTTCTGTTCTTAATGATGAAACTCCCAAGGCTGCCACGTAGGTTTAAACTTTAAACTTGCCTGTCCCAATCCCTGATGTAGTCATCAGCCCCATCCCTTAGCACCAGGGAGCTTCCAGATGATTCCTTAGTTGGGAACTGTCTCTGGAACATTTCATTCCATTTTCATAGAATTTTGACTATATACCAAGATGTGTCTGTTTGCTTTTGGTGTTTATACCCATTCTGAAGTGTAAAGCCCACTGCAAATTGAAAAACATGGCTTCATCGTTCTAGATAGGATTCTTCCAGTAATAAAGACTAAATGCTCTTTTCTTTAATCCTGTTAGCCAGGTTGCATTTCAGATTGTTTTTCGGATTTGTGTTGTTGTTTTTGTTGTTGTTACTGTCGTTGTTGAAATGACGGCTGTCGTGTACTATTTCTTCCTTCTTTGCTTGCAATGTACTTTATTTGTATCAATAAACAAGACTTTATGTTTCTGTTAAAGTGAATAGATCAAATTAATCTTATTGTCCCAAATTTTTAAACTTTTTTATATCTTAATTTCATTATATATCATGCATTCCTTTAATGATGTAAGTTCTATATCAATTCATTAGAAATATATGAACAAGACAAAACCTATGGTCTTACACCAGTAAACTCTCAAAAAGTTAATATAAATATGTTTTACATATATATCTATTCAATTTTTGTGTGCTCATTTACTTATGCATAATAAGCCTGATTTCTGAAAGTTTCTAAGCCACTCAATTTAGCACGTGTGTAAGTAAAGTGGTCTTAACAATGAGATCTAGCGGCTCAAACAAATAAAGGAGCTTTTCTCTCTTTAAATACAGCAGTCCCCCATATGTGGAAGTGTTCCAGGACTTCCAGTGGGTGCCTGAAACCATGGCTAGTACAGAATC
This sequence comes from Homo sapiens, assembly GCF_000001405.40. Lineage (NCBI taxonomy): Eukaryota > Metazoa > Chordata > Mammalia > Primates > Hominidae > Homo > Homo sapiens. The sequence continues at coordinate 76,026,103 of NC_000018.10, forward strand.
CTATGTATATCATGGGTTTTTTTCCTGCACACACATATCTATGATAAGACCTAATGTATAAATTAGGCACAGTAAGAAATTAATAACTTCTCTTTGGCATATATTTGGCTTCTCTTTGGCATATCCAAATTGCCGGCGTCACTACTCTTGTGCTTTGGGGCCATTATGAAGTCAAATAAGGGTTACATGAGCACAAGCACTGTGATATCACAACAGTGGATCTGATGACTGAGACAGCAGCTAAGTGACTAACAGGCAAGGAGCCCATACAGCAAGGACATGCTGGACACAGGGAGGAGACATGTCCTAGGTGGGACAGAGCGGGACAGTGCGAGACTTCATCATGCTACTCAGAACAGTGCACAGTTTAAAATTGATTAATTGTTTATTTCTGGAATTTTTATTTAATACTTTCTGATCATGGTTGACCTCAGAAAACTGAAGCCACGGAGAGCAAAACCTCAGATGAGGGGTGACCCTGTGAACAGCTCAGCAAAGGAGGCAGGTGATCTCCTGCCATCACGCAGGGCCCCTCCGGTCATTCTGTGTCACACCTTGTGCTAGGTGAAAGCTGACTCACCTGGTCACATGCGTGGAAAGAGGAGGTTAAAAGCAAACACTTTCCTTTCTAAGGAAGTGATCGTGAGTTTGCTCACATGGCTTCCTTTCACCTTCTGCTGGCTGCAACTCCATCACATGGTCTCACTACACTGGAGGGAGATGGGAACATTCCTTCTCCAGCTGGGAGAAGGCAAAGCAGCAGGGGGCCTATTGTTAAAGAAGTGTCTTCTATCTGAAAGACAGGCAATAATAAGTGCTGGCAAAGATGTGGAGAAAAGGGAACCCTCATACCCTGTGGGAATGTTCACTGATACAACCGCTATGGAGAACAGTTTGGAGGTTCCTCAAAAAACTAAAAATTGAGCTATCCTATGATCCAGCAACCCCACTGCTGGGTACATACACCTCAAAAAAGAGATTAGTCTATCAAAGAGATATCTGCACTCCCATGTTTGTTGCAGCTCTGTTCACAATAGCTAAGATTTAGAAGCAACCTAAGTGTCCATCAACAGATGAATGGATAAAGAAAATATGGTATATATACACAATGGAGTACTATTCAACCATGAAAAAGAATGAGATCCTGTCACTTGCAACATGGATGGAACTGAAGGCTGTTATCTTAGGTGAAATAAACCAGGCACAGAGAGACAAATATCACATGTTCTCACTTATTTGTGAGATCTAAAAATCAAATCAATTGAACTCATGGACACAGAGAGTGGAAGGATGGTTACCAGAGACTGGGAAGGGTATTGGGAGGTGGGGTTGGGTGGATAGGTGAGGAAGGTAAATGGGTACAAAAAAAATAGAAAGAATGAATAAAACCTGCCAGGCATGGTGGCTCACACCTGTAATCCCAACACTTTGGGAGGCCAAGGCGGGTGGATCACTTGAGGTCAGGAGTTCGAGACCAGCTTGGCCAACATGGTGAAACCCCGTCTCTACTAAAACTACAAAATTTAGCCAAGCATGGTGGTGCATGCCTGTAATCCCAGCTACTCGGGAGGCTGAAGCACAAGTATAGCTTGAATGCAGCAGGCGAAGTTTGCAGTGAGCCGAGATTGCACCACTGCACTCCAACCTGGGCAACAGAGCAAAACTCTGTTTCAAAAGAAAAAAAAAGAATGAATAATGACTAAAACCTATTATTTAATAGAACAACAGGGTGACTATAATCAATAATAACTTCACTGCATATTTTAAAGTAGCTTAAGAAACATAGTTGGATTGTTTATAACTCAAAGGATAAATGCTTGAGGAGATGAATACCCCATTCTCCATGATGTGCTTATTTCACATTGCATGCCTGTATCAAAACATCTCATGTACCTGTAAATATATACACCTACCATATACCCACATAAATTTTAAAAATAATTTTAAAAAATCAGTTTTTAAAAAACAAAGAGGAGCAGGAGGGAGACTGTGGGATGCTCTTTCATCTCTGCCACAAACCGTTCATTCAATCATCACCTGATGTAGCTCATTTTCCTGGGAAGCAGTTGCAGTCTCCCCATGCCGACGTCCAGAACACCCACAGTCTTCCTAAATGGTCTCCTGGTGTGGACGGCATGCCCTCCTCTGAATGCAGTTGTTCTTTCAGCTTAATAATCCCTTCAATAAAGGGACTGAATTTAATCAGACATCGTTAGTTCTTCACAAACTTCCTATGGCTTCCTGCAATGAAGCCTCCTGTGTATTTACAGATGCTTTAAAATTCATTACAGAATTATTTTCTGGATTGAAACCAAGTCCACCAAGCTTTGTTTCATAAATCCTGCCTTCCCTATTACTCTTTCTGAAAGTCAGATATTTGCCTATTCTCTCCTTTGCAGCCCCTTCCACTCCCCAGATCTCCCTCCAGGGTGGGTCCACACGTAGTTGATCTCTTACTTAAGTCCTCTTGATACACAGGCGTATATAAACCAGGAGTCAAATTATTTAGAGTTGTCAGGTGCTCTTTATCCATTCTTGCACCAGGCTGCCTTGAAGCCTGGTTTTGGCTACCTTGAAGCAACATTCATTTTTACCCTTTTCAGTTTGAGGATGATTCTCCTTGGCAGAGAAGATGGGGGCAAATAGACATGGAGACGTTTTGCTTTTGTTATGTCACTGGTTTCAAGCTACAGACGTATTTGTACCCAAATCTCTTTTCTCTGATCATATCTAAAATGTCTTTGATATTTCGTTAATATGATTCCTACAGTTCCACATCACAGTCTCGTCTAATTTTTCTCTTGTCTAAGTGTCCTTCAGCATACTTTTTTGTATCTCCTTTATTCTTATTACCAATTCATATTCAGTTGAAAAGAGTAACCCTTTAAACATGTAAACTTATTCTTCCAGCCTCAGGTTTAAATTGTTCTAATGGTTTCCCATTGCTCTTAGGATTAAGAGGGCATTTCCCTGAAGTCACCTGAAAGCCCTCTCCGCCTTTGCCTTCATCGTGTTCTCACTCTCTGCACACTCCCTGGTGTGGCCAACTCTCACCATGCTCCTGCTTACCAAAGGTCCTTGGCACAGACTTTCTTTGAATGTGAAATGCCTGCAGTTTTTGTCTATTCTGAAGAAGCTGTCACTGTCCCTGCATGCCTCTTGACCTCATCACAGTTGCTATTTCACCTTTGTTTATATCATTATGGGATAACGTTCTGTCTCTCTCTAGCTAAACCATAAGCTTTACAAGGGCAGTCACTGTAGCAAATAGCACATTGAAGATACTAAATATTTGTTGATTAAGTAAATAATCGAAGTACATTATTTGGAGCTTTCTAATCATCTTGATATAGAACTTCAAAGAATGTTTAATAAACTAATTTGCATTGAAAAACTTCAAGAATAGGCCATTGAATTTAGTCTCACATTAATTTGACTATTGAGCTACTTTTTTAATGTGTGATTTATTTCAGAGAAATAACAATCCAAGGGAAACATACTGGAAAATGCTTTATGAAAGCAGGGATTCAGGGAAAAAATTGGTTAATTATAAGGTATGAACTTCATTCCCTGGGATACTCTAGGTAAACAGTCATGGAAAAATAATGACTATCTCCCTTCTTTTTCTGATGGCCTATTCTTTAATTTTCTTATCTTATTACAATGGCTGGAATTTCCTGAAAAATATTAACTAGTAATAAAAGTGAAAAATATTTTATTCATTTTCTTGCACATTCTTTTAATTCTTGGCTTTTTAATCAAATGTATTGCACATTGAGTACAATGATTTTTTTAGTTGGAAATAGATATTCTTTTCCTAGCATCTTCTCACTCTTAGGTTACACAGAGGGTTCTAATTTTAATTTGTAAGGTTATTATAATTTATTGATATCTTTTGGACATTTGCAAAAGTATTATATGTTTTTTCTCCCTTAAGATACTAGTAATTGTAAACAACATTTGTTTATCACTGTCAGACAAAGTGCTAACTGCTGTATACTTTAAAGTATTTGTTTCATTTAATTCGAGGGCAATAATACACTTTTTTAATGTTTCTTTTCCAAATGACGAACATATTTAAGTAGGCTCAGTATCTGGTAGGTTATAAAGCCGGAATGTGAAGAAGTTATGTCTGAACCCAAATGTGGCTTCCATAGGAAGGTGATAAATTAGATTATTTAGTTTTTAATGTTAACTATGCCTGTAATTAATTTTCTAATGTTCCATTTAGGATTTCTAAACTTACATTTTTAGACTTTTTTCTTTTTGTCTTTATTTTTAATTCCTGCTATAATTGACAGGCTTGATATCAGAGTATAAAATCTTTATAAAATAAATTAAAAATATTTTCTTCACTTGGAATTGCTCTATGATCATTTATAATTCATTATATTTTTCCTTTCTTTGTAGTAAAACAAAAGCAATTTGAGGGGTAAGTCCTTCACAGATATTGTCAAGGTCTTACACAGTTATTTACCTTTCACGCCTTTGCACTTTTCCTGAACTAATTTTAGAATTTATATTTTCCAAGCAAACTGTTCATTTTCCATGAGATATCTTGTTCACTAACAAACATGTATGTCATGTTACTTTTTAAAAATATTTATAGTAAAAAAGGTTTTAAACACTAATTGAAACAATGGTAAAATAAACACATATATACACACCAACTTAACTGAACAAGTGAATATTTTGCAGTTTCCAAACATAACGTGGCTTCATCAACAAACACTTAAGCATGAAACTCCTGAAAAGGGGCTCTATTCCAATACAGGAGCAATTCATACCTAATAAAATGAACAATAATTCCTAATACCATAAAATACAGGGTTTATGTTCATATTCCCTCTGTTGTACTAATGATGTCCTATAAGCTTTTCAAACACTTTACGTTCCAACCAAGGTTTTGTATTGGATATAATTAGATATGTCCCTTTAGTCTTTTTAATCTAGAACAGGTCCCGAGCTCTGTCTTTATTTTCCTTCATGACGTATTTTTTAGTGTTAAGTCTCACACAATGTTTCATATTCTGGTTTATTTAAGAATGTTTTTTATTCTGTATTTATCTAAAGATGTGGTCTAACGTGTTTTTCTCCCATATATTCTTTATACACTCAAAAATTAGGTGTAAAGACCTGTTCAGATTTAGGTTCAACATTTTTGGAGAGAATACATCATAGGTGTTGAGACATCTCATATTTCAATACACAAGGAGGAACATGACATCAGGTGTTCACCTTTCAGTGTTGCAAAGTTTAATGATTTCTCACGGTACATTTTTCAGTTAGAAAATAATCTGTCATGGTGGGAGGGGTAATCTATGGCACTAGCATCTAATTATGATTCTTGCCTGAATAAATTATTTCAACTGGAGTTATAAAATGATGTAAGCGTCGCTGTCAGTGGTGGCAATTGATTAAACTATCTTCCTTTCTCTCCCTCCCTCTCTCGCCCCTTCCTCCCTCTCTATGTGTATGTACAGATAGATATATACACAGAGAGAGAAAGAATATGTGTATATGTAAATATATACATAGAAAATATGTGTATATATAGATATATACATAGAGAGAAAGAGAATATATACATATATTCTGAGTATCTTTAGACACATGGATTTTTATATAGCCTATGTTTTTAAATTAAACATAATTGTTCTTCTTGTTGCTCAAATATTCCCAAATGTGGTTAATAAGAGTCTCTTTGGGCTGGCCCATTACATGACTGTGACTCCTCCATTAGTCCACAAGCACTTCCTGACTTTCTGGCACGACAAGATTCCCAGGCTCACCTTGTGCTTTACCTGCCTTGGACCTTGAATTAACTATTCAAGAAACGTTGGTTCCTTTCAATAGGGAGTGGTGTTAGTAACCATAATCTGGGTACGAGAGATGCTCATTGCTGTTGGGCTATCAGTGCTCACAGGTCTAATTGGTAGGGGATGGACAGGCAGATAACACAAGCACATACATTGCTCATAATATTAATGTTTTCTTTATTATTTAATATGTGTAAGTTATTAAAAATTCACCATACCAACATTATGACTAAACATAAAGTTACTGAGTAAAAATTTAGACTACTTGGCTGTTATTGCCTTATTTTTAAAAACATTTCCCAGTGGCATTTTGCAGTAGAGTTTTATGTTCAAATGCCACTTGAAATAGTTCAATTGAATATGCCCTTAGGATTATTTGTTTCAACCTCTTTTCTATTTAAATCTGTTTTGTTTTCCTTTTTAATTATATTCAAACATTTATATGATACATAAATCAATATTAGATTTAAAAGTTTCATTTCCATCCCCATCTTATTTTTGCTTTTTTGTTACACAAAGATAGCATAATATACTCAGTAATTTGCATATTGCCTTTTTCACTTCATATCTGTATGAGGAAATGAGTTTAAAGAGATCTTTCTCATGCTTTTGAAGCTGCCAATACTCTACAGTGGGGTAAAATCATACTTTATTGAGCCAGCCACCATTTCCGGATATTGGGTTGCTCCTGATATTTTATTTACAGAATTGCATTTCCTTGCATTTAAGTTTGTTCATATTTGTGGAGGTATATCTTTGACTTAGATTCTCTGAGACAGTTTTGTTGGGCTCAAGGGTAAAGGTATATGTAATTTTGTTAGGTATTGACAAATTATCTCTATACATTCTATATACATGTGAATGTTTGCTTTTCCACCAGTATGTTCTTAAACTTTGGGTTGTGTATCTTAGACATACAATCTAATGAGGAGAAATGAATCTCCATGTAGTTTTAATTTGCATTTCTCTTTTAATAGATGAAGTTACACATTTTTTCACATGAAGAAGGGTATGCAGGATTCTTCTGATCTTTAAATATTCTATTAATTATTGTTGATATGTATATTTTTTTAATGGAATTTTGCTCTTGTTGCCCAGACTGGAGTACAATGGCGCGATCTCGGCTCACTGCAACCTCCACCTCCCAGATTCAAGAGATTCTCCTGCCTCAGCCTCCCAAGTAGCTAGGATTACAGGTGCCTGTCACCATGCCCGGCTAATTTTTGTGTTTTTAGTAGAGACGGGGTTTCACCATGTTGGCCAGGCTGGTCTTGAATTCCTGACCTCGTGATCCACCTGCCTCAGCCTATTGTTGATATTTAATAGAGCAAGTGTTTGTTTATATCACTGACATGTTTTCTATTTTTTGTTTTTTGAAATTTATTGGGATTTTATTTTTATTGAGATTTTGTAACTTGACCAATGTTGATAAATATTCCATGGGCACTGGGGAAAAAAAGTGGATTCTATCTTAGGAAAACAGAATTCAGTACATACTTAACAATTACTTTGAATGTTTACTTCCTTATATAAAGAAAAAAAAGTGCATATTATTCTACCCCACTGCTACTTTCCTTCTATGTCTATAAACTTCTGCTTTCTCATATTGTGACCATTCATTTATTGTAGACCACTGCCTACTCAATATCTCCACTGTGGTATCCAATAGCCAGCCATATTGAAGTGGAAAAGCAAACAAACCCCCTCTAGATCCTCCTATGGGCTGTTCCTGTGGTCACCACCATCTCAGTCCATGGCAGTTGCACACCTCCGTAGTTCTGCCAGACTGAACCACAACCTACAGTCCCCTTTGGCTTCTCTCTTTCTCTAACATCTCACATTTCATTCATTCATAAAAAATTCCTATGCTTTGCATTGGGTTGAATTTGTCCCCCCAAAAGATAATCTCCATGTCCTAATCCCTGGTACCTAAGAAGAAGACCTTTTTTGGAAATAGGGTCTTGCAGATGTGATCCAATTAAGATGAAGTTCTGCTCAATTAGGGATGTCACTGTTCCAATGACTTCTAAGTGAAAGGAGAGGGAGATTTGGACACAGAGATGCATAGAGCACACAGAGGGAAGACGGCCATGGGAGGATGGACCCTGGGATTGGAATGATGTAGCCACAAGCCACAGAAGCCAATAGGCCAATAACCAGCAGAAATTAGGAGAGAAGCCAGAACAGATTCTCTCTCAGAGCCCCAGATGGAGTCAATCCTGCCAACAACTTGATTTCAGACTTCCAGCCTCCAGAACTGCGAGAGAACAGACTTCTATTATTTCAAGCCACTCACTCTATAGCAATTCTTTATGGCAGCCACAAGAAACTAATACATACTCTACTAAAATACTATACCCAGAATATGGCTCACCTGTAAAGCAATCGAATCTTCCTCAAAGCCTCCTTGCTTCTTAGCAGCCAGAACACTGCACTAAAAATATGCCAGGCCATGGCACTGCCCCACTTGCATGGCCCTGGTTCTCCCATTTCACTTAGAATAAAGACAAGGTTCATTGTAAATTAGACCCCACCCCATCTGAGACTTCAGCTCCTGCGACTCTGCCGCCCACACTAGCCCCATGACTGCCAAGCATCATCCTTCCCCAGGGCCTTTGAACAGGCTACCCCTCCACCTGGACCACTTTTCCCACTGATCTCATCACTCCCTCACCTTCAAGTCTTGCTCAAATGACAGCTTCGCAGTGACAACTTCCCAGCCTCTCCTAATTCAGATTATGCCTCCCCTCTCCTCACCCCCTCCCCTTGTTTTCTGCCTTATTTTTCTTCATGTCATTTATCACTTTCTATGATTTTTTTAAGTTTTAGATATTTATGACGTTTGTTGTTTCTTAAACCCCCTAAAATGTATGATCCAAGCATGCAGAGACTGCTGTTTGCTCTGTTTCCTGCTGCAATGCTCACACCTAGAGCAAGCTCACCGCGAATCTCTTTGGTTCAAGACTCAGTGACTTGAATAAATTCTTTTCGATTTTATATCTTGATCTGGTCTGGTCATCCATATCTTTTCATGCAAAAGTAAACACTTCTATAATTAATGTCATTATTGATACTTTTGTCATAAATAAATTTGTTTCCAACCAGCTTTATTGTCCTTCATTTTCTATCTTATAGATGTTTGAACAATGTTTTCAATTCTTTATTTAGCACTTTGGAGATTTGACGTTTACCAATCTTGTTTTTATTTCTGAAACTGATTCACTTTATTGCCAAATGCATTATATTTATCAACCTCAAGAAGTAAATAACTGCTGATTATTCCGATGGAGAATTTAGCAGTCAAAGAATATTCCTCTGATAATCATTTCTCACTTTCCTCCCTTTTCAAATTGAAATTATCTTGGATTTGTTGACCCATTTTTTAAATTTCACAATTATGAATATCAATATGCATCATGTCTTTTTGAGTTATGATTATTTATTTTGTTTTGAAAAGTATTTATGACTATAACAATTGTTCTACAATTACATGTCTGTGTGATCCCATTGCTTGCCATAAACCTTTCTACCCCTTGTTTCATTCCTGCTTCTTTTAAAATTCACCATAATTTTCTATATAATTCTCAAAGTTACTTTTTTACAAGGAAAACGGTGGGAGATAAGTTTATTTAATTGCTTCCTCCTGTAATCTTATCAATGGAACAACTTTGCCAGGCATCCAGTTACTGGATAGCAGTGTTTCCTTTCTCTGGCCACTTTTTGTTCACCAGCTCTGAGTCCCAGGGATGCGGTGCCCTCCTCTCCCGGGATTTAATGCATGGAGGGTAGCCCTGCCTTCCCTTCACTTAGTAGGTAATGTTTTAGTAGGGTTGGTCTTTGTGATTGTTGTTTTTCTATCTAGACTTTTGCATGATTTTCTTCTTCTTTTTCTTTAACTCCACCTTTTTCTTCTTCGCTTTCAAAACTCAACTTCTTAATAATTTGCACTAGGAACAAAAAGCATCTTTAAGGCATCAGACCTTACTTTACTTTAACTCATTTTCCCACAGTTATGTTCCTGATTGCTGCTTCTGCCTTACTCATTGTTGCCTCTCTTTTTTATTTAATTTATCTTGTTTGTTCTTTTATTCTTCATCCTGAAATATTTATTCATATACTAACAATATACTTAAATTCTGATCTTTTCTGTATTAAACTTCATTATCATTGTTTACCTTAATTTTATTTTCTTGTTTCATATGTATCCTTTTATATTTATACCTTCATCTAATCTACCTCCTTATCTTATCTTCTTGTCCTTTATTTCTCATACATTAGGACTCTTATCTGCAAGTGACAGAAACTGAAATTGAATTGAAACAAACATACAGAAGGAACTTAGTGGCTTCTGTCACAGAAAATGTCAGGAGGCGCATTAAGAACTCAACAATGAGAACACATGGACACAGGGAGGGGAATATCACACACTGGGGCCTGTCAACGGGTCGGGGGCTAGAGGAGGGATAGCATTAGGAGAAATACCTAATGTAGATGACGGGTTGATGGGTGCAGCAAACCACCGTAACACATGTATACCTATGTAACAAACCTGCACGTTCTGCACATGTATCCCAGAACATAAAGTATAATTTGAAAAAAAAAAAAAAAACTTTAGGTCCAGATACACAGCCTGGGGAGGACCTGATTTCTTTCTTGACTCTTCCTTCTCAGGCAGGTCCTCCCTCCCGACATGAAGTTTGTTGTCTGCCATTCTTAGCAAACTCAGCAGAAAGTACTCTTCATCCAGTAGCACCGACCAGCATCCTAGCATTGATTCTGATTGGTCCACCGTGGGGTCTATGACTATAGGAGTGCCATGTTTTATTATCAAGCATAGGAAATGTGCCCACTTTTGGAACAAGAGGGTGGAGTCAATGCATTCTACTAATAATAAAAACAAGAGACTGGGGAGAGCTAGTACCCCCAAGGTAAAATCAGAAGGAATTCTCAACACCAGGATTCTTCATATCAGAATAAAGGATACTGAAGAAGCAAACCTCACAGAGTTCCATCATCTTTTTCAATAGAAAGAATGTTCAATGGACTGATTTTTTGTTCAGCTGAAGTATGTCTTCTGCTAAGGAAAAACCTCTTGCCTCAGGAAAGTCCAACTGCCGGTGCTTCTGCCTCATTGTTTATAGTGAATGGATATAACCAAAACTGCGGCAAGACTGGATAGCAACTCCTGTCGAAAGTGAAGTCTATTTTCAAACGCCTGGAATCTTCCACAGAGTGACTTGCTTGGATCCAGAGACTGTGGCAGAAATGATGCGCCATCTGCAAGCCTCACTCAGGAGCAATGTTGCATCTCTCTAGCGCCCCTGAGCCCCATGTCACGAGATCACGCCTGGGCTAGCCTGCAGGATGAGGAGAGGTGGTGGCCCAGTCCTCCCGTCACCCTCAATGAAAATCAGCTGACCACCACATGAATGACATCCCCACAATTCTGCCTGCCTCCACCAGATCCACCAACCCACTGCATAGGCAGGAACAAGTCCAGCCTGGGTCATCTGAGAACAGCCCAGAGCAGAAGGCCATCATATTTGTTGGCAAATATTGTTGTTGTTGATAGCCACTAGGTTGTGGGTGGTTTATTACGCAGCAGTAGATAGCTGAAATACCATTGGTGTGTCCCTGTTTATTGCAGCCCTGTGAGAGCTGAGCCTCTCCAATTCCCATGTCTTCCATCAGCAAAGAAAAATGAGACTTCAAATGAGATATTTTCTCTGTCGGTTTTACAGCCTAAACTGTTCCATCCCTTTTCCTTCCTGGGTGGATTATGGAGTTCCTGACTTCCATTAACTCCCCTTGAGGCTATTTCTTTCCTTGGGGCACTGATTTGCAAGGCTGCCTTGGGTACCCTGCATTATCTGTTCCCATAGTCATTTATCTAGCGGAAATGTCCAGACTTCCATATTTGCCCAACTTTTCTTACAGCTCCCAGGGCTGATACTCACCATCGCCCAACACTCCCATGCATTCACAGTTACCAGGTAATTTCTATACTCATAAGATAAGTTGAAATAATGTTTGTTTTCCAAGTCACAGTATTAAAAAAAAATCCGTTATCCACGCTCTCCTTGCTCATCTCTGCCACCATAAGTCGTCCTTAAAACACTTTAAATTTTCAGGTTAGGACACTTCCTAGAGGCATGTGCTACACAGGCTTATTTTCTGGTGCAATTTATTTAAAGAAAACTTGTGGCCAGTCATGTTGACTCACGCCTGTAATCCCAGAGCTTTGGGAGGCTGAGGCGGGCGGATCATCTAAGGTCAGGAGTTCGAGACCAGCCTGGCCAACATGGTGAAACCCAGTCTCTACTAAAAATACAGAAATTAGCTGGGCATGGTGGCACACGCCTGTGATCTCAGCTACTCGGGAGGCTGAGGCAGGAGAATTGCTTGAACCCAGGAGGCAGAGGTTGCAGTGAGCCAAGATCGCGCCATTGCACTCCAGCCCGGGCAACAGAGACTCCGTCTCAAAAAAAAAAAAAAAAAGAAAGAAAGAAAAAGAAAAAAGAAAACTTGCAGAGTGTCTTGATGCTATGGAATTCCGGGCTTAAAGAACAGACTTTGTTTTGTTTTGAGGCTACATAGCTTTATCCTTAACAGCTCAGATTTAGACTTTGAAGTCAGACTGCCTGGGTTCGGATTTCAGTTCTACAGCTTTGTAGCAGCCTAGACTTTCGCAAGTTAAATACTATGTGCCTCAGTTTCTTCATCTGTGAAATGAGAAAAATATCAATACCTGTCTCATGGGGTTCCCCTGAGTAGATTAATATCTAGTCTGAGAATATTGTCTAAAACATTGATATTCCCCTATCAGTTAACAATTATTGTCAAGTTTGTAATATTTTATTGACTTTGATATTATTTCCATCAGTCATTTTTTTATAATGAAGCATCCTAATTTTTTAAAGTTTTATTTAAAATATTCAAATATTCTAGATATTACCACAGATAATTTAAAACATAGTAACCCAGGATAATTGTGTGTGTGTGTGTGTTTGATGTGTTCTATACCACTCATCAACAATAAAACAAAGGACTATCCTAATAGATGCCATAAGAAAAAAAAAAAAAAGCATGTGAGGGAGAAGTACAGGTGGGAAACTGAGTTTTTTTCCCTGAACATATTTATACTTTCAAATATCCAAAATCTTTTGCTTAACAGAAGTGTGCTTTCTTTTGTTGCTCATCTTTCAAATTCTTCTAGTCTTTCAGTATCCTGTTTCACAAAGCTGCTGAACTGAATTACACCTTCTTCTAATACCCAAAGTCCTTGAGGTGCTAAAGAAAATACTGCATATAAAATGCATGGACAGGCAGAATAGGTTTACATAATGTTAATGTAGACAAATGACATACACAAAATTATATCTAGCTGCAATTTAATTAGATTAATTAGATCAATATAATTAGTAGGGCTATATTACCCTAGTTGGACTTAAGGGTTTTCTCTCACTCTGTCTCTCTCTCTCTTTTTCTTTCTCTCTCTCTCACACACACCAGCTTAAAAATGGTTTACAGCCCTAAAACATTATAATAGCACATGGAGCACCAATGCAATAACACATCAATTTCACCATGAACACACCATTAAGAGTGGGAGTTTGTAGGACACTCAAGAGACACATAAAATGCTACCCTACTAGGGGAAAATTTGATAATATAGACTGAAAAATATCCCTACTGTCAAAAAAAGTGCTTATTTCACATTAATCCCAAGTTTAAGTCTGGTCATGATTACACAAAAATGAATTTAACAAACAGGTTCTGGAGTTCACCTAATGAATAAAACAGACTTAGTGTGGCTTTAGTTAAAACCCCATAGACGTTGCATTTCAAACACCCACTAAATCACAGATGTTAGTGAATTATTGGGCCATCCGTTGAATACCTTGCAGATGGTATGGTCCATAAGCATCCCAAACCTTTAGGAACTATGGTGAATTAACTTCTCAATCAACAGAAGACTGATCACCAGGCCAATTGGTGTTCTGGTTCAGGGGAAGGGGCTGGCTGCTCTGCCTCAGCCTCTATGATTTGTTCTTTGAAAATGATACTGTCCAGCTTCCCTAATTATGAAAACTAAGATGTGCTGTCATGGTTACCTGCAGGAAAACCTGATGGAGATGAGAAGGTGAGTTGACTAGCCCAACAAAAGTCCACCCAAGGCTCATAACAGCTAAGTTGTTAATATTCCACACTAACGTTTATTATTATGGTTACAGAAGAACTGTCTGCCTTTCCATTTGCCCTTCAAGTGGAATCCATAATGGTAGAAAAATTACAAAGTGGCAGTGCTGAAATTGACAGAAACTATGAAAAAGAAACACTCATCAATATTCACCAAATCAGAAAGATTTTCCTGATTTTAGAATTTGAATCAACAACTACAGGACTTGAAAAGAAGAAGAAATCAGGGAAGGAGAAAGGGAGGTGGATAACAAAAAGTTTTGCAATTAATTTACATAGGCTGAAGTTTAACTTACACCAAGCCCCAATGCTGTCTATCCCATGAAGATCAGAAGACAAAGATTTCCTTCCTTTATTGTCCTCACCCTACCCTCGACCTCTGGAATTCCCCATGCCCTGAAGGCAGTATCTCCTTATTATTGTGGTCCAATTTGTACTTTGACAAATATTGACATCTACTTCAAAGAAATGGCAAAGAAATCTGGTGTTCATCTGATTTTTGTTTTCATCTTGCCTTTCTCAAGCATAAATTAAGATATTCTGTTAAATGTTCGTTTCTGTAGCCTAATTACACCAAGTACACTGTGGTTGATAGTGTTTACATACTGCAAACTACTTAACATCTTATATATAGTAGGAAAGATGTGTTTAAATATGTTTGCATGGCTTGTACTTGTATATCTCTAAAATAGACTTGAATCGTTATCAAGCATTGCCATCATGATGCTTTTTTGAGTTATAATTAAAATGTATCATTTTATTATACTTTCAATTTTTGCTCTAGAAAATGTTGAATTGTAACTGCACATTCAAGTTTAAATTAATGCACTGCTTCAAAAGTAATTTAAGCCATCTTTTACCTATAAATATTATAATTTGGTGGTGTATGTGGAACAGAATTTGTATAAATATTTAAATGAGCGCATGGAAAATGTTAAACATTTCTACTAAATTTAAGATTTGAATGGTACATATTCCCTCTAAAAGGGTGACAAACATATCAATTTATATTTATCCATAGCTGACAATCCTAAATTTGAGCTGCCAGATTCTCTTCCTAACCCCTTTCTATGCACAGAAGTGGAGTCTCTTCAGTGAAATTATATCCCTGATAATCGTTTAACTTCTTAGATCGACCTGCAAGATTTTCTTACTGTGGAACTTCATCTGGAAGGCATTCAGAAGGTGGCATGACTGAGCTAGAATATGGTTTCTAATTGCTAGTCAGTAAGAGCAGAATTAATATGGGATATATTGAACATTTTATTCTTAGAAGCCAAATAAACTAAAATAAGAACTAGGAATTTTTTCTATTAGGTAAAAATTTATATTAGCCGAATTAGGGCTGTTTGTGTTGGAAGGAACATATCCCACATGCACTAGAGTAAGCAAAAATGAAAATTAACTGCAAGGATTCAGGGCTGGAAGGTGGAGGTAGATTCCGAGGGTTGGAATCTGGCTGAATATCAGATAGGCTTTCAATCAGGAACTCATGCCACCAACATGATCTCGCAACTCTGCTCCTCTCTGACAATCCGTGTGACTCTCCTTTTCTGCAAATGCATTGACCAGACAGAAAACATGATTGCTGGCAACTCCTAACTTGATCAGTTACTGAAAACTCTCATCTTCTGCCACAAGAGAGTGAAAATGACTCAACTCTCTGAGTCCTTGTTTAAAAGCCATGGAGAAGGTAGGTCCTAGACTGAGCCAGCCAAGCACAGGTGGAAGTGCCAGGGAAGGGAATATAGGTTCCCAGCTGACCCCAAAGAAATGCATGAATGGTGAGTGTAGTTAACCCCCAAGTGGAGGCCCTCTTTCTGGAATAGAAGGGAGTGTGACAAAGAACACAAGTGAAGTCCCCATCCCTTGCTCTAAAAATACCTGCGCAAATCGCTATCACTGGTCACCTCTGCTGTTGTGTGAGTATTCACTAGACCCTAACTTGCGGCTTCTTCAGGACTGCTGCTGGGTCATGGTCATCTCGTTCCTGCTGAAGCCTAGCACAGTGACCGAAGCAGCTATCGGAAGGGAGGGAGGAAGGGAAGAAACGAACTTTTAATCTAGATGTAAAGCTGCCTGAAAATTCTGAGCTCTACTTGTTCTTCATCTCTGTTTAAGCCACGGGAGCTTCTATTGCAGTGATTCGAAGGCAACAACACGTACTACTTAAATCATGGTCTCCTAAGCCAGAGGTAGCAGGTGCAAGTCCCCCACTCCAATGCCACTGACGAGAGTGGCACCTTCTACAAATCAATTCACCTCCCTCTACCTTAGTGTCTTCATCTACAAAAGAAAAAAATGTTGACACTAGGACACTTCTCATGAGCTGGTTTGACTTAACCATTTGTAGAGCAATTAAAGCAGTACATAGCAGAGAGAAAGCACTATATTTTTAGCCATCATTATTATTATTCTGGATTAGTATTTTCTATTCAATTTTAGTTTCAAAGGAATTGGGAGCAATTACTTATACAAATATGGTTTCTGCATCTGATTTTTGGAAAGCAGAATGGGATTTCAAGGACAGTCAACACTCAGATGGATTTTTGTTCCTCACACCCCATTATTCTTTAAACTAGGGAATAAGGTTCAGATAAAATCGTATCATCAGAACATGGAAAAATAGCTATCTAAACCCAGTATCAGCCACTTGGGCATGTAAAACCCTGCACTGGAAGAAAACATATTGTAGGACAAAGAGTGTATGCTTAGTGTTGAATACAAGCTCTGGTCAATCAGTGGCTCTGGAATTTCCTTACCTCCCACCCACAATTTACTAACTTCTGTATGGAGAATAATGATGACTTCAAAGAAGGAGTAAGAGGGCAAATGAGTTGTTGAAGAAATTAAATTTCCTTACATACATAATAGAGTCACAGTGTGGTATCTGATTTGTAATAGATATTTAATAAATATTAGCTGTAGTTATTATATTTGGCTTGCTTTTTTTTTTTACTTAGTAGAAATGGAAGTGAGAAGGACTGTAGGTTCCTAATCCCCAGGGAAGAAAATTACAATCCAGTCATTAATGCTCTGGGGTCAAGGTTGACAAGAGGCAACTACCATCATTAGAGAAAGACAGCAGAGACTCTCCTGGCTCTGGATGGAAAGGGGACCTATAGGATGAGAGGAGGAGCACCTCAGCTCCAGGGTTTCTGGTCAGACCACCTGAGATGGAAATCCTTATGGGGGTGTGGCTTGGAGTACATACTCTTCAAAACTGAATAACGACTTGATTATGGAATGCCCACCCCAAAGATCAGTGGTCCATACACAGACAGAAATCCCTGCTTTCATCCAACCTACATTCCGATTAGTTAACCTCTATAAAGACGGAACAATAATATGTCCTACCTCATCTGGTCGTCATAATATTTAAACAAGGTAATGCATATAACACATGTCACATAATGCCTGCCATTTCTAAGAAATAGCAGTGGCTATAATTATTGTTACTAGCATCATCAGCATAGTTATTTGTTAGCAACGCCTCAGGGGCCCACAGGAACTTACCCACCTATTGGTTTCTCTTCTTGCCCCACAGCAGTGAGCTTTGTGTGACATTCCCTCAGCAGTACCATAAAATAAGGTTAAACAGGGCCCTAATAAGAACTATTAGATACACAGATAGCCCAGTATTGACTGAGATGTCTGTCTTATTTATCAGTGTACTCGAGTGTCTAATCTCACATTCTGAAATAGAGATAAATATGTAGCTTCTTCTAGATACGAATGTACGCCATATACCAGAAATGATACCACTGAATTAATGTGTGTGGGCTTGACATGAAGTCATAATTAACAATGTTTATAGTCTTAATTTTAACATAATAATGTGAAATTAGAACATTTATGATCTGAAGTTAGAAATCAAGACATTGTAATGTGTATATTTTTTGGTAATGCTGTTTTAATGTACCTTAGTTTTTAAAGCACATATGACTGAACACCATTTAATAGAAATATTAAATATTTCATTTCACTTTGTTTCTATCATTTTAAGTTGATTTTTAAGATACTGTTAAAAAGTGACATTCTTGATGGTCTTCTTTTAAAGGAAAGTTAAACAAATTTCAGATTTTCAAAGGCACATACTGAGTTGTTGAATTAAGAATGAGGCTAACATTGAAAAGGCGTTCTCTGAGATCATGTCCTTTGCAGGAACGTGGATAGAGCTGGAGGC